>NC_000003.12:111887392-112190422 GCF_000001405.40 Homo sapiens
TTTGTTTGACTACATTGTGGTAAAAGGGATGACGGATTCTTATCAAGCCTATGCAAAAGATGATATTGCCATTAAAAAGTAAAGTGACTCAAATTACTTCCTGAATTCTGAGAGATCAGTGAGAACAATTTACCATTAAAATAATATTTCATTTAGTTTGCAAAATCAGAGTTAGCTGAATAGAGGATTAGAGATAGAGCAGTATGAATGCCAAAGGGTTTTCCCCCTGAAAAAATAAAACATTAAAAATAATACTAGTAATATTCCAAAACATATATCCACATTTAGAAATTCATTTTTTATTATCAATTCAATCACTTCTATGTAATTAATTCTTATTCCTCTGTATCTTAGGCTCTTAATTTGGTTTCATGAAGTCATCTATTTCTAGACTAAAAAGTCCTGAAAATCTGATGTGGCTGCCTAGTACTATCTCATTTTTGTCTATGCAATTCTTTGAAATATTTAGGGTTAAGAATACCTGGTAAAGTTCTGTCCACAAGGTTCTAAAACTGTCTTTTCTTCATTAATGAGATATTGTATTTTGTAGACAAGCTCACAGAGAAAGTAGAGAACACTTGGTGAATGTAAGAGTTAAGTGGCTATGGTTATTTATGGTTAATTTAACAAACAATATCAGCATGAAGGAGAGTTAAAATCCTTTAAATCAGTTTTTTAAGAACATATTACAGAGAGTGAGGGCACTGACATATATTCAGGGTCTTTGTGTAAAGTACCCAATCTTTGAACATTACCTATAATATTAAAAATATTATTTTACCCGTACAAAATTATCTTAAGGAAGGGCAACTTTCTCATTTGATTTGAGAAATTTTTAGGGGCACAGTGAACAAACCTAATTATTTCTAGCCTCTTTCTTTTTGTAAAATTAAAGACAAATCTTTGTGATTGCCCAGAGGTTCTCTGGGAAAACCTAAAAGTAGTTCAGGAATAGATATCTTGGAAATTATATTTTTTTTCTGTATTTAGGGTCTGCCTGATCTTGAAGGCAAAATCAGAGATTTTGTCACTTGAGTAATAAAGAATTGTGTATACCTGAGAGTAGTGAATGTTTGTGGTTTGGCTATTTAAGAAAATGGCAATAGATTATTTTATGATGAGCAAGAAAGCTCAAATCATTCAAAAATGAAGAAAACTCTTTGCAAGAATATATTCCAATCATCGCAAAGCTCAGGAAGTTACACTTGTAAGGTACTAATCTCTGTTCTGTGGGCAGATTAGTACTGCCTTTTACAAGCATAGGCTGATTTCTCCAAGATCAGTCTGTCATTTCAATAGAGATAACTGCATTTTAGTTTTACATTAACAGGGTGCTTGTCATATATTACATTTTTAATGCATTACATTAAACATACTTTATGAATAATTGCATCAAAATCATGCAAACTTTGCCAAATTTTTAAAATTTTATTACTTCTTTATAGCCTTTTTATTTGCAAGCATTATAAACCAAGTTAAATCTAACTCCCTTTTTGCAAATCTGCAATTTTCTGTTTCCATCAACTTCTGCCCTTCATTGTTCTCTTCCACATTCTGGAACAACCAGACACTAAGACAAAAATACTTAAAGGTATCAGAAATTATGTTCAAGCTAACACATCACAGAACATAATTACTGATAATGTGAAAAGGTTTGTCACAGTTATAGTTCAGTTTAGATGAGCACAAAGTTTATATTTTTCTTAATTTTATAGAAGTAATCTTAGCTTATGTTTTTAGCAAACTAATATAAGACAGTTTAAAAGTTCAGGTAAACTAATCTCTTCATCATAAAACATTCAAGTTTTTTTAAAAAATGAGATTATACTTGTATTATACTGTACACTGATGAAACAAGGAAAAGATGTGTAGCTGTTTTGTTGTTGTTTTTAAAATGTATTTTTTTCTTAAAAGTTGTATTTACCCATGACACAGCCCCAGGAGATCCTGACAACATGTGTCCCTATAGCTGTTTTTAAAACCAAATTATCAAATCAGGTCTTTTTTTTTTTAAGAGAGCACAGTTAGGCTGGGTGAGGTGGCTTACACTTGTAATCCCAGCACTTTGGGAGGCCAAGGTGGGAGGATCACTTGAGTCCAGGAATTTGAGACCAGCCCGGGCAACATGGCAAAACCCTGTCTCTACAAAAAATACAAAAATTAGCTGGGTGTGGTGGTGCACACCTGTAGTCCCAGCTACTTGGGAGGCTGAGGTGGCAGTATTGATTGAGCTCAGGAGATTGAGGCTGCAATGAGCCATGATCATGCCACTGAACTCCAGCCCAGGTGGCAGAGTGAGACCCCATCATTAAAATAAGCACATTTAAAGCATTGGAATTTCACAAAATTTATTTCAAGAAAATAAATTCTTGAAATTCTGGGAATGTTAAATTTATCTAACTACTTGATAATCTCTATAAACCAATCAGAACAGTAGGCCTTCTCTGTTTAATTTATTATTATCCTCGGGAGTTAGAAAAATACTTCACCTACAAACAGTGTTCCCCACCCTGCCCCCAGGTAGAAAGACAGATGAAAGGTTTATGGCTTAAGTCCTACAGCTCCAATTACAGATCAAAAGTGAACACTAGAACACAAAATCTCACTTTTCCAGATCTCAAAAGACTGATTGCTTTTCCATCAGGCACAAAATATATTCCTGATCTGAGTACACAAATAGAAAAACAAATTATAAACAACAACAACAACAAACAAATACTCTGTCACCTCTCACCTGACCAAGACTGGATTCCGATTCTACCTGTCAACTCACCACGTGGTCAGATCGTGAAACCAGATTCCTAGTCATGGCTGCCACCAATGGAGATAACTGTCAGTTGTATGCAAACCAAAACCCCAGTGAAACTTGGCCAAGGATTAGAAACAAAAACTAAGACAGACTCAGTAAAACAAAAGCTAAAGAGATTAGCGAGTCAGTGAAGGTGATGTTCTACTGCCATTTGTGATTTACCTCAGAAGCCAAGAAAAGATGTGTCTGGGCATCCAGCCCATGAGATATACTTCATGGGCAGTGCAATTTAATTGACTGGATAGAGTGAGTCACTTGCACATTTTATTAGGACCTCCAAATTGTCAAAGCATAATTTTCAAAAAGTAAACGCAACTCTTATATAAATGAAGAATGAATAGATGCCAAAGATTTCTTTAACTCATTAATGAGGAAACCAGGTGGGGTAAAGCTGGTTCACTAAGCATAATATCTGTAATATTTTTAGGTCTGCTGTGATTCTACTAGTGTTTCACCTGGATTTTTTTTAATGTGTTCAATCTTTATTTGAAAACTCAAGGTAGTTTTATTGAGTATTAAAGATCGAACTGTAATTATGTATCTCCAAGGGCCTATTAATGAGGTAAATAATCCACTTTGAGTCCGTATTAAATAACCTCCAGCTGCTGTGCTATTTGAGATGTTTAGTTTGTTCCTTTTTTAAAAAAATAATTTTACTTTTTTGGTTTTGCTCTCAGCTGCCAATTCATGCTTTGGTCATTTTTGCCAGCCTTTTCGTTTTTTATGATCTTAGAAACCAGTTATCAAGCCTTGATTTGAAATGTTCTGAACTAAGAGTGACTAAGTACAAGTGAGGTTCTCAAGGAGGTCCTGAGCACATGAAGTGTGTGCTCTTTAGTTCATAGACCTTGTGACATCCATTTGGACTGGTTGGTGGTCATTTTAACTTCCTCACTCTGAGCTATGTTTCAAGTAGAGGACATTAATGGATAAGGTGTTGCTAGAGGGCTGGGATGCTGATTCTTTGACAAATTAGATGTTCTAGAGCATGGGTCACCAACCCCTGGGCCATGGGCCACAGACCAGTAGCGTTTGTGGCCTGTTAGGAATGGGGCCGCAGAGCAGGAGGTGAGCGGTGAGCCAGCAAAGGTTCATTTGTATTTCCAGCCACTCCCCATCACTCACGTTACTGCCTGAGCTCCAACTCCTGTCAGATCAGTGGTGGCATTGGATTTTCAAAAGAGCATGAACACTATTGTGAACTGCTCATGTGAGGAATCTGGGTTGCGCGCTCCTTATGAGAGTCTAATGCCCTGATGATCTGTCACTGTCTCCCATCACTCCCAGATGGGGCCATCTAGTTGCAGGAAAACAAGCTCAGGGCTCCCACTGATTCTACATTATGATGAGTTATATAATTATTTCATTACACATTACAGTGTAGTAATAATAGAAATAAAGTGCCCAATAAATGTAATGTGCTTGAATCACCCCGAAACCATCCCTCCCCCATGTCCATGGAAAAATTGTCTTCCATGAGACCAATCCTGTTGCCAAAAATTTTGCGGACTGCTGTTCTAGAGGTTAGAAAAGTCATTATAAAGTAGGGTATTCTTGTATTCATCCTATTTGACACCTGCCTTCCTCCAAGTAGTCCAGAGGTAGTGATGGCCGTCTAGAGCTTTTTATGGTCCAAGGCAGTGAAAGTCATTTTCAGAAGAAAAGGGGAAAATTAAAAAATGAAAGCAAACCCTGATGCTTTTAAGAGTATTCATTTGGTTACGTTGCCAAAAGCATCTTGTTCTTTTGTGGAGAACCAGTGGATTCCCACAAATTGCATTGTAGCCATCCAATATTTTCTTTCTGACTGGTGATAGTCGTCTGTAGTGCCTTGGTAAATAGCATTGTTGCCATTTAGAACTATGCAGGGCCACATTGATACTTATTTCTCAAACATGTTGTAATGTGATACCAGCTCTCATGAAGCATCATGGAGTAAGTTTTTCTGATTTTTTACACACATACGAATTTTTTCCATTACATATGGATTCCTTGAAAATAAGGTTGGCTTTCTTTTAAGGCACATATTAATGTTTCTGTGGTAGTTATGCGAATAGGTGAAATGTCTGGGTCAGCAATTCCTACCATTGAAGGTGTTTTGTCCTTATAGTTCCCATGAAAGCACTTTATAACTATATAATTTTAATCAGTAAGAGGCTGGGACCATACCTATCTTGCTCACCACTATAGATGCACCTCCTAGCCAGATGACTAGAGTATAGGAAGCATTCTTTACATGTTTTTAAAAAGAGTAATTGAATGTTTTTGATACCCATTCTTGACATTTATTCTGGGTTTCCTTAATCTGTGACTGTAGTTTGCATCCCTGGTTCCCAGATGATAAGCATTTAGTTCTAGGTAATAGAGAAGCTCTATACAAAAAATGAAGATATCTCAGTATAAATGCATTCTTTTTTACTTCCAGAAAGGGGAAATTCTTTTCCAACTTTCAATTAAAAATAAAAAGATGAAAGAGTTATTTTTCTTTACTTTGAAGATTTTCTAGCATTCTTTGTAAGAATTGGTGCTCTCCAAGGTCGTACAAAAACCAAAGCTACAGGTCTGAGAGTCTTGCTTGTGTACCATTGAGCAGATGATAGATCTAATGTTTCTAAAATTAAGTAAAAGACTAATTGAGCATATTTGTTTAAGGATTTTTGGTATTTTATAAAATAAACTTATATGTTCTCTAATCTCTGAAACGTGGTCAGATGCAGATGCTATTTTAAAGACCAGAAAATAAACAGGTTGGTATTATTTAATGTTGTAATTAGGAAAAATTGTTTAGGAACCCAAGACTAGTGAGCGTTGTCAGGTCAAAGTGACTCCACATGTAGATTTTTGCTTCTCTATTTGCTTCTTGCTGTCTCTATTTCCTAGTGAGTCCTGACCACCCCCCCAAAATAAGTTGGGCATTCAGACCTTTTTGGCTATGTTGAGCCATATTATAAGTTTGACAATATTTTTTGTTTGAATAGCAGAATGGACAATGTTAAGAGCATGCTTATTGTTGCTTAGTCATAGTATTAATCTTTTTTTTTTTTTTAGAAGAATGTCTTTGAAATGTGAAGGCAAACTTAAGTATTGAAAACTATTTTGTCCTCCAGTCTTACTTGAATCTCCTTCCTGATGTGGCCCTTCCATTTGCTACATCCTGAGTATAATTTTAATTTATTAAAAAAATGGCTGCACTAGCTGGAAGAAGCCAGCTAAATTGCAGATGGTGTGAGAGGTTTGTTTACCAACCCAATAAACTTAGTGGCTCAAGACTTTTGAAAGGATCTTGAGAAACAATGGCTCTCTTCCTATACTCTGAGCTAGAATGGCCATTGTCAGGTACATAAGTTGATTTAATCTTCAGATTCAGCCTAAGCCTTAAGCTGAATTTTTGCTGTGGAGCCTTTTCTTAATTTCCCTAATGTTTAAAATAGCCAGTCAATTCTCTACCTTTTTTTTTTTTAACTTTCCTACCTTGTTTGGAGGGTTTATCAGATTTAGCTCAGAAATATGATGTGAGCCATGAATGTCATTTTAAATTTTTTTATGTTAAGGTAAGCAAAAAAAAAAAAATCCAGGTGAAATTAGGTATAATATATTTGACAGCACAGGAGTAGATTGACGATGCTACCCACTCCCTAAATTAGCAATCTATTCTCTAAGTAAACAGCACTATTTCTTTTTTTTTTTTTTGGATTTATTTTTATTTATTTATTTATTTTTTATTATACTTTAAGTTTTAGGGTACATGTGCACATTGTGCAGGTTAGTTACATACGTATACATGTGCCATGCTGGTGTGCTGCACCCACTAACTCGTCATCTAGCATTAGGTATATCTCCCAATGCTATCCCTCCCCCCTCCCCCCACCCCACAACAGTCCCCAGAGTGTGATATTCCCCTTCCTGTGTCCATGTGATCTCATTGTTCAATTCCCACCTATGAGTGAGAATATGCGGTGTTTGGTTTTTTGTTCTTGCGATAGTTTACTGAGAATGATGATTTCCAATTTCATCCATGTCCCTACAAAGGACATGAATTCATCATTTTTTGTGGCTGCATAGTATTCCATGGTGTATATGTGCCACATTTTCTTAATCCAGTCTATCATTGTTGGACATTTGGGTTGGTTCCAAGTCTTTGCTATTGTGAGTAATGCCGCAATAAACATACATGTGCATGTGTCTTTATAGCAGCATGATTTATAGTCCTTTGGGTATATACCCAGTAATGGGATGGCTGGGTCAAATGGTATTTCTAGTTCTAGATCCCTGAGGAATCACCACACTGACTTCCACAATGGTTGAACTAGTTTACACTCCCACCAACAGTGTAAAAGTGTTCCTATTTCTCCACATCCTCTCCAACATCTGTTGTTTCCTGACTTTTTAATGATTGCCTTTCTAACTGGTGTGAGATGGTTTCTCATTGTTGTTTTGATTTGCATTTCTCTACTGACCAGTGATGATGAGCTTTTTTTTCGTATGTTTGTTGGCTGCATGAATGTCTTCTTTTGAGAAGTGTCTGTTCATATCCTTTGCCCACTTTTTGATAGGGTTGTTTTTTTCTTGTAAATTTGTTTGAGTTCATTGTAGATTCTGGATATTAGCCCTTAAAGTAAGTACATTTTTTGTCACTGGGTAATATAAAGAAAAATGTTATCTGTCATCAGATCACCTTGGGTCATTAGAGAATAAAGCAAGGACTTTCTCTCTACAAATTGCTGGTTTGCGTGTGTGTGTGTGTGTGTATGTATGTATGTGTGGGTCTGTATGTGTGTATATGTTGATTAAATATTAAAGGAATTAATCATTAGCAAAGTTGGGCTGCCAATTGTCCTCCATTAACTGAGAGTGAAAAAAAAAAAACGGTTGTCATACCTTTTTTCTTTCTTCTTCACTTGGAGAGATGGGCAGAAAAGCAGTGAGAAGGAAAAATTAGCATTTGGCAATAATCTAATGACTTCACATTGGGGAAACAGAGCTAAAGTCTTCATGAAATTCTATATTGCAGTAGTCCATTCTTGAGAGCAAACCCTCTGTTCTTATAGTAGCAGTACAAGCTATTGCCTCTTGATGGTGCCATGCATTAAAGAATTTGAGAGATGTATGTTCTGACTCTTCACATGGTTCAGCTTTCTCAGGCTAAACGCTGAAATATAGAAAGCAACTTGGACTAAAAAGAGGCCCTGTATGCCCCTGTGTCAGTTATAGAAGAAGTCTCATTCTTTTTTAAAATCATAAATAAATATATGAACACTTGTTTCTTAAATAAGAAATAAAGATCATAAATAAAATTTGTAGAAAGAAATATAAACTAAATAAAAACTGAAAATATATCAAGACCAACAAATATATAGGAGTGGAGGCCAGGCGTGTTGGCTCACGCCTGTAATCCCAGCACTCTGGGAGGCCAAGGCAGGTAGATCACCTGCGGTCAGGAGTTCGAGACCACCCTGACCAACATGGTGAAACCTCGTCTCTACTAAAAAAATACAAAATTAGCCAGGCGTGGTGGCACATGCCTGTAATCCCAGCTACTTCGGAGGCTGAAGCAGGAAAATCACTTGAACCCATGAGGTGAAGGTTGCAGTGAGCCGAGATCGAGCCATTGCAGTCTGGCGTGGGCAAAAGAGTGAAACTCAGTCAAAAAAAAAAAATCTATCTATCTATCCATCTATCTATCTATCTATCTATCTATTTATATGGAGATACATTAAGTGAAGGAGGACTATTGATTGTTTCTGGTAAAAGTGGTCCCCATATTTGTTGTCAAATTACTTAGTATATCTATATTTATTTATTATTCTTTTTTTGAGGAGAGTCTTGCTATGTTGTCCAGGCTGGAGTACAGTGGCATGATCTCGGCTCAGCCTGCTGAGTAGCTGGGATTACAGGTGCATGCCACAATGCCCAACTAATTTTTGTATTTTTAGTAGACACAGGGTTTTGCCATGTTGGCCAGGTTGTTCTCGAACTCCTGGCCTCAAGTGATTTGCTCCCCTTAGCCTCTGAAACTATTGGGATTACAGGCGTGAGCCACCATGCCTGGCTTAGTATATCTAAATTTAAAAGCTATTTATTGAGCTACCATTTTAAAAATTTATCATCAGCTAATAGGTTTAGTGATTGTGCTGGCTAATTCTTTTTTCTTCCCCCGCCCCGAGACGGAGTCTCCCTCTGTTGCCCAGGCTAGAGTGCAGTGGCGTGATCTCAGCTCACTGCAACCTCCGCCTCCTAAGGGTTCAAGCAATTCTCCTGCCTCAGCCTCCCAAGTAGCTGGGATTACAGGCAGCTGCCACCATACCTGGCTAATTTTTGTATTTTTAGTAGAGACGGGGTTTCGCCACGTATGTTGGCCAGGCTGGTCTGGAACTCCTGACCTCAGGCGATCTGCCTGCCTTGGCCACCCAAAGTGCTAGGATTATAGGTGTGAGCCACCGCGTCCAGGCTGCGCTGGCTAATTCTTATAATGTGAATTTCTCTTCCCCAGCTTGAGAAAAGATTATGGGAATATTTGCTGTAGAGAATATTCTTAAAGTTGGAAATTGATTTTTCAAAAAAAAAAAAAAATCCAAAACAAGCATTACAAGGGTAACACATCCAGCACTTTTTCTTTTGTTTCAGCCATCTCAATGTGCTAGTTATGAAGGTGCTTATTAGAAGTCACTTAAACAAAATAATCTCTTTATGTTGAATAATCGGAGATTCACAAGCAATCATAGGACGTAATTCAAAGGGATCCTGTGTATCCTTTACCCAGTTTCCTCCAATGGTAACATCTTGCCAAACTATAGGACAATGTCAGAGCTAGGATATTGACATTGATACAGTGAAGATACAGAACAGTTCTAACACCACAACGGTCTCTCATGTTGGCCTTTTATAGCCATACCAGCTTCCCTTCTCCTTAACCCCCATAACCACTGATTTCTTCTCCATTTCTATAATTTTATCATTTCACAATATAACCATATAGCATGTAACCTGTGGGTTTGGCTTTGTTCACTCAGCAGAGTTCTGTGGAAATTGGGCAGGTTGTTGCAGTCACTGGTTCATCAGGTTTAAGACTAGGATACATGAGGCAAAGGGAAATCCCAGAGACACACTTCTGTGTGTTTCGTTGGGTCCCCAGTCTGCCTTTTTCCACCTTTCAGAGTCTTCTGTTTTTTTCCCCATATAATGTACAGGGTTCTGAGTTATACTTAGTGGGAGAAATAGGGTAAAGTATGTCTAATTCATCTTCCCTGAAGCTGAAGTCAGTGAGATTAGTTTCCTAAAGTTGCAAATAGCCAAAAGCTTTGCTCTGGTGAAGTCTAATGACTGCAGGTTGAAAATTTTTGGTTTGGATAAATTGGTATTTCTTATTCAAAATTGCTAAGACCATATCCCAGCTCTGGGGTTGTAATTTGGATTTTGAGAAAAGACAGAATTTTAGGAAAATGCTGAGTAGAATTAAGAGGAACAAATTTCTCATATGGTGATTATTCTTTCATTCTGATTATAGAATAACAAGCTGAAGCTATGAAAGGTCATCTTTTCCATCAGATCACGAAGACCAAGGCTTAAATCATCTTAGGCAGAGATTTCAATTTACAAGTTGTCTTGGGAGAAAGGAAAATATTCAGGCATACCTCTGAGATATTGTGGGTTTGGTTCCAGACCACCGCAAGAAGGCGAACATCATAATAAAGCAAGTGACGCAAATTTTTTGGTTTCCCAGTGCATATTAAAGTTATGTTTACACTATACTGTAATATATTAAGTATGCAACAGCATTATGTATAAAAATGTACATACCTTAATTTAAAAATACTTTATTGCTTAAAAAAATACTAACAATTATATGAGCCTTCAGTGAGTTGTAATCTTTTTGCTAGTGGAGGGTTTTGTCTTGATGTTGATGGCTGCTGACTGAACAAGCTGGTGGTTCTTGAAGGTTGGAGTGGCTGTGGCAATTTCTTTGTGTGTGTGTGTGTGTGTTTGTGTGTGTGTGTGTGTGTGTGTGTCTTGCTCTGTCTCCCAGGCTGGAGTGCAGTGGTGTGATCTTGGCTCACTGCTGCACCTCTGCCTCCTGACATCAAGTGATTCTCTTGCTTCAGCCTCCCAAGCAGCTGGGATTACAGGCACCAGCCACCACACCCAGCTATTTTTTTACATTTTTGGTAGAGACACGGTTTCACCATGTTGGCCAGGCTCGTCTCGAACTCCTGATCTCAAGTGACCCGCCCACCTCAGCCTTCCAAAGTGCTGGGATTACAGGTGTGAGCCACCGCACCCAGCCAGCAATTTTTTAAAATAAGATAACAATGAAGTTTGTCACATTGATTCAACTCTTCCTTTCACAAAAGATTCCTCTGCAGCATGCAACGCTGTTTGGTTGCGCTTTACCCACAGTAGAACTTTTTTCAGAATTGGAATCAGTCCTCTCAGTCCCTGCCACTGCTTTATCAATTAAGCTCATGTAATATTCTAAATCCTTTGTTGTCATTTCAAAAACGTTAACAGCACCTTTACCAGGAGTAGTTTCCATCTCGAGAAACCATTTTCTTCACTCATCCATATGAAGCAATTCCTCATCAGTTCAAGTTTTATCATGAGATTTCAGCAATTCATTCACATCTTCAGGTTCCACATTTAGTTATAGTTCTTTTGCTGTTTCTATCACATCTGCAGTTACTTCTTCCACTGAAGTCTTAAACCCCTCAAAGTCATCCATAAGGACTGGAATCAACTTCTTCCAAACTCTCGTTCATGTTGATAAAAATGTCAATACCTCCTCTTCTGAACCAAAATGTATTTAATGGCATCGAAACTGGTGAATTCTTTCCAGGTGGTTTTTTGATTGGCTTTGCTCAGCTCTATCAGCAGAATCACTACCTATGGCAACTATAGCCTTACAGAGTATATGTTTAAAATAAAAAGACTTGAAAGCCAAAATTACCCCATGGGATGTAAAATGGATATTGTGTTATCAGGCATGAAAACAACCTTTATTTTCCTTGTGAATCTTTATCAGAGCTCTTGAGTGACTAGGTGTGTTGTCAGGGAGCAGTAATTTTATTCATATATTTTTAAATTTATTTTAAGTTCTGGGATACATGTGTATAATGTGCAGAATTATTACATAGGTAAACATATGCCATGATGGTTTGCTGCACCTATCAACCCATCACCTAGGTATTAAGCCTGGCATGCATTTAGCTATTTTTCCTGATGCTCTCCCCCACTTCCCCCAAGCAGTAATATTTTTAAAGGAATTTTTTTTCCCCTGAGCAGTAGATCTGAACAGTGGGCTTAAAATACTCAGTAAACCATGGTAGAAACAGATGTGGTGTCATCTAGGCTTTGTTGGCGCCACTTACAGAGCACAGGCAAAATAGATTTAGCATAATTCTTAAGGGCCTTGGTATTTTTGGAATGGTCAATGAGCATTGGTTTCAACTTAAAGTTAGCAGCTGACTTTAGCTCCTAAAAACAGAGTCAACCTATCCTTTGAAGATTTGAAGCCAGGCATTGACTTCTGTCTAGCTTTGTAAGTCCTAGATGGCATCTTCTTCCAATATAAAGCTGTTTTGTCTACGTTGTTTGTTTGTTGATTGATTAATTGTGGCCCAGGCTGGTGTTGAGCTCCCGGCCTCAAGTGATCCTCTCGCCTAGGCCTCCCAAAGTGCTGGGATTACAGGAGTGAGCCACTGGCCCAGCTGAAAACCTGCTGTTTCATGTAACCACCTTCATCAATTATCTTAGATCTTTCCAATTGACTTGCTGCACCTTCTACTTCAGCATATTCTGTTTCACTTTGCACTTTTATGTTATGGAGACAATGTCTTTCCTTAAACCTCATGACCCAGCCTCTGCTAGTTACAGATTTTTCTTCTGCAGCTTCTTCACCTCATTTAGCCTTCATAGAACTGAAGAGAGTTAGGGCCTTGCTCTGGATTAGGCTGTGGCCTAAGGAAGTGTTTGATCTATTTTGACCACTAAAACTTTCTTTACATCAGCAGTAAGGCTGTTTCACTTTCTTATCATTTGTGCGTGAAGAATCACCTTTAATTTCCTTCAAGAACTTCTCTTTTGCATTTACAACTTGGCTAATTGGTACAAGAGAGCTCACTTTTGGCCTATCTCATTTTTGGCATGCCTTTCTCTCAAAGCTTAATCGTTTCTAGCTTTTGCTTTAAAGTGTGAGATCTGTAACTCTTTCAGTTGAACACTTAGAGGCTATCAAAAGGTTATTAATTGGCCTAATTTCAATATTGTGTCTTAGGGAATGGGAGGCCTGAAGAGAGGGAGAGAGACAGGGAAATGGCCTGTTGATGGAGCGGTTAGAACAAGTACAACATTTATTAATTAAGTTTGCTGTCTTATATGGGCATGGTTTGTGGTGTCCAAAACTATTACAATAGTAATGTCAAAGATCACTGATCAGATCATCATAACAGATATGATGATAATGAAAAAGTTTGAAATATTGTAAGAATTACCAGAATGTGACGCAGAGACATGAAGTGAGCACATACTATTGGAAAAATGTGCTAATAGACTTGCTCGCTGCAGGGTTTCCACAAATCACTTTGTAAAAAATGTACTATCTGCAGAGCGCAATAAAGCAAAATGCAGTAAAATGAGATATGCCTGTAGTTACTTTCTTAACACTATTCTCAGATTTAGAAAGAAGACATGCCATTGTTTGTTTTGCTTTTTTTTTCTTTTTTATAGAAATGGGGTCTCTCTATGTTGATGAGGCTGGCTTCAAGCGATCCTCCTGCCTCAGCCTCCTGATGTGCTGGGATCACAGGCGTGAGCCACTGTGCCCAGCCCTCTTTTGCATTTCTCTACATAAAACTTTGTGACATGCTTTTAAAATTTTAACACAGGCCAGGCTTGGTGGCTCATGCCTGTCATCCTAGCAATTTGGGAGGCCGAGGCGGGCGAATCACGAGGTCAGGAGATTGAGACCATCCTGGCTAACACGGTGAAACCCCATCTCTACTAAAAATACAAAAAAATTAGCCAGACGTGGTGGCACATGCCTGTGGTCCCAGCTA
This sequence comes from Homo sapiens, assembly GCF_000001405.40. NCBI lineage: Eukaryota > Metazoa > Chordata > Mammalia > Primates > Hominidae > Homo > Homo sapiens. The sequence continues at coordinate 111,901,250 of NC_000003.12, forward strand.
CTCAGGAGGCTGAGGCAGGAAAATCACTTGAACCCGGATGCTGGAGGTTGCAGTGAGCCAAGATCGCACCATTGCACTCCAGTCTGGGTGACAGAGTGAGACTCTGTCTCAAAAAAAAAAAAAAAATTAACACATAATATTTTTATGTGATATGACTCAAAAATAATTGTATTATAGTACTTTCAGTTGTTATGTTATAGTCTACTGTCGTTTTTTTACATGCAGACTTTCCTAGTTCTTTACCCACTGGTTTCTTTATGCATTAAAAAAAATCTTATTTTTTAAAGGATAGGATATGTTTTCAAACATCAGGATTTAAAGGTCTTTATACCTCTCATATACTTATTTTGATTGAACTAAAGTATTTTAATGGATTGTGTTTTATAGACTATAGTCTTTCAGAAGAAGCAAACAAGATCTTCTGGAACTTGATCAAGCTAAAGTGAAAATGTAAAGAGATGACAGTATGATTAGATTTTGTTGTGTTTTCTTTAATGGTGAAGAGCAATAGCATAATTTCTTTAACAGAATGGGCTCAGGCACTGTGCAGACTTCCTTCTGGAACACTGTCTATGTAAGAAAAACATCTGGCATGTTTTACATAGATGCTGTATGGAAATTATGATGATACGGATCACATGAATTTCTTTGACTTATGGCCGGTTTTTTTCAGTCAATAGGGAGAAATACACTGTTTTCTCCTTTGAATATTTTGGAGTCATTCATAATGGGCATTTTCTTTAAAATGATATATTTTTGTCTTTTAAGAATAGTTCACCTCCAACCTTAATATTTTTTAAAAGTAAAACATTTCATAACCCACCCATCTGCTGGTTGATTTTAAGTAGAAAGTGCAAAAAGTCATCAGGAAAAGGTCTAAAATATAGAGGATCCTAGATAAATGGTAATTGTGGTCAGAGATTTACTTGCATCTGCCTAACAAAATGCTGAGGTGGAAAAAACAAGTCAGGAAAACGTCATTGGCCAAAAAGTTAATAGGATTAATTAAATCAAGTTATATTACTTAAGAATGTGTTTAATGTAAATGAAAATCAAAATAGGCTGGGCATGGTAGCTCATGCCTGTAAATGCCAGCACTTTGGGAGGCCAAGGTGGGAGGATCACTTGAGCCCAGGAGATTGAGGCTACAGTGAGCCATGATCACATTATTGCACTGTAGCCTGGGTGACAGTGCAAGACGCTGTCTCAAAAAGGAAGAAAATAAAAATAAATAAACATTACTTTAGCATATGTTAGTAATTAAATATGTACTTAATTTATATCTATTTTTAAAGTACAAATAAAACAGGCACATAGCCAGAAATAGTAGTAGAGGCAAGTGGGTTTGAGGGAAATGTTGACACAGGCAAGTAACAGTAAATATTTATTCAGTTTTTTTTTTCTTTGAGGCGGGGGTCTCCCTCTGTCACCCAGGCTGGAGTGCAGTGGTGTGGTCACAGTTCAGTGCAACCTCCGCCTCCCCAGCTCAAGTAGTCCTCCTGCCTTGGCCTCCTGAGTAGCTGGGACTACAGGCGTGAGCCACCATGCTCAGCTAATTTTTGTATTTTCTGTAGAGATGGCATTTCACCATGTTGCCCAGGCTAGTCTCTAACTCCTGGCCTCAAGTGATCCCCTACCTTGGCCTCCCAAAGTGCTGGGATTATCGGTGTGAGCCACCAGTCCTGGCAATTTATTCAGTTTTTATTTTATTTATTTTTTAATTGGAAAGCTACCAAACCACAATAGGTTTAGAGAGACTTCTGAGTAATCATAATTTTTATTTGTATTTTTTTTTGTGATAGTAATTTTTAAAAACACAGGTGAGGAATTGGTTCATGAGATAAGATTAAAAGAACTAAATTTCTTCTTCTAAGTATGAGTAAGGCAGGATATGAGAAAGTTCCTCAGGTATTTGAATGATGCATGCCTTCAGTAAGGGGGGGACACCCGTTTCTCTGAAGTTTAGGGTGGAGCCAGGGCAATGTGAAGAGAAGCCTGGGTTTTATGTCAAGGGTGAAGTATGTGTCCTTAATAAGACAATGGATTTTTTGGAGGGTAGTTCTTTCTAGAAGCAACTCCACTATACTTAATGTGTTGCTCTGTAGTGGTGAGCGTGGGAGGACCAAATGACAAGATGCCTTTCTCCCCAGGTTACTATGGCAACTGGGCAGAGCTCTGTTGCCAGGGGCAGAGGCAGGTGGACCACAGGGCAGGGAGTTGGTGGCCTTGAGGGAATTTTGTGTCCTTCTAGATAGCCAAAGAAACCCCACAGATTTTTCAGGGAGACATTTGGCTGCATAACAACGTATTTTTCCTGTATTTCCTTTCCCTGAAAATAATTGGGTCTAGTTTTTAGGCGTGCTTGTTAATCAGTATTAGAGATGGTTCTTCAGAGTCTACAAGATAATTATCTAGTTCACTTCACGCTTTTGACAGAAACCGTCCTAACCATGACTGACAAAGAGTGAGCACCTACTACAAGACTGGCACCACCTTTAGACTTGAAAGCACATAGTCTATCACATGTTCGCACACACATTTCTTTACTGAATTCTTCCAAGATCCCAAGGGGAGGCACTAATCTACTCATCTCTGTTTTATAGACCATGTAATTGAGGCTTGAAAGGTTGAACTTGATTAAAAAAAATAATAACTGTGTTATAGGTCTGATAAGTGCCAGAACTTCAAATCCAACTCTATGTTCTTTCTACTTAAGCTGAAATACAGATTCTGCTCTTCAAGTCCAGCTGGACACAGTGGCCCACACCTGTAATCCCAGCACTTTTGGGAGGCCGAGGCGGGCAGATCACTTGAGGTGAGGAGTTCGAGACCAGCCTGGCCAACATGGCAAAACCCCATTTCTACTAAAAATACAAAAATTAGTCAGGTGTGGTGGCAGGCACCTATAATCCCAGCTACTCGGGAGGCTGAGGTGGGAGAATTGCTTGGACCCAAGAGGTGGGGGTTGCAATGAGCCAAGATTGCAACACTGCACTATAGCCTGGGTGACAGAGTGAGACCCTGTCTCAAAAAAAAAAAAGGCCAAGGGTTCTGTGGAGGTAAGAAGTCAATTTATTCCACAAATCATTAAAATATAAGATGACAGAGAGGTACTGAGCCTCCTGTAGTCCTGATATCTTTATTTTTAAGCACTTCGCCTATTTCTGGTCATTTTACTCCTAATTTTCCTGGGGAAAGTGTGAAATGCCCCTTCTCATTCGGGATGTCCAGTCTGCATAAAGGCAGGAGCATGCTGCCCCAGATTGCAAAGCTCTGGGAATGAGTGGAGATGGAAGTACTGAGCATTAGCAGCTTCTTGGAGATTGGGAGTTTGGGTGTGGTGGGTGTGAAAGGGGAAGTAGGGAAGTAGAAAAGTAGATCTACTGGATAATCTGATCAAGATGGCTTTTTGTTTATTTTGAGGGGAGGGAGGGACTTGAGTACATTTTCAGACAGAGGAGAAGGAGTCAATAGAGAGGGAAAGGTGTAGGAGAAGGGATAATCAATAGAGCAAAACCACAGGACAGTGGGAACAAGGTGCAGTGGTGCAGGCAGAGGGCTTCCTCTTGGAAAGACTGAGAGACTCTCCTCAGATAACTGAGCTAATGCTTATGCTGTTTACTTTGTCCCAGACACCCTTCTAAGTGTCATAGATGAACAGTCATGCATTGCTTAATGATGGGAATGTGTTGCTGAGAAATGCATTGTTAGATGATTTCATCATCTTGCAAAAGTGTATTATGAAAGAGAACGGCAATGATTTTTCCTATTCACACTGGCCACTAGTTGCATGAGAGCGGGCCCTCTAATTAGGTTACTAAGTCTCTCTGTGCCTCACTTTCCTTATCTGTTAAATGGGGATTAGAATAAAACCACCCCCCACAAAGTCATGAAAATTAAAAATTAAAATACAGGTGGGGATTGTGTCTGGCACCCAGCAAGCACTCAGTGAGTTTTAGCTAACTGCTGTTGACTACTATTTTGTTCTGGGGATAGGTGGGAATCATTTAAAAGTGTAAGAATTCTAAAGTAGACAGTAACCCTTTCAGTTGGGGTCTGATGTAATGTGTCAAGAGATTGGCTTTCTGTTTTTTGTTTTTTTAAGTCATTTATTTATTTATTTATTTGAGACAGTGTCTCATTGTCACACAGGCTGGAGTGCAGTGGTGTGATCTCGGCTCACTGTAGTCTCTGCCTCCCAGGCTCAAGTGATCCTCCCACCTCAGCCTCCCAAGTAGCTGGGACTACAGGTGCGTGCCACCTCACCCAGCTAATTTTTGTATTTTTAGTAGAGACAGGGTTTCACCATGTTGGCCAGGCTGGTCTCGAACTCCTGTCCCCAAGTGATCCACCGCCTTGGTCTCCCAAAGTGCTGAGATTATAGGCGTGAGCCACCACACCCTACCTTAAAAGTCTGAGCTACCTTTGGGAGGGTCACCCCATGGGTAAGCTAGGGATTCCTCAACATGTTTTGCTGTAGGTTTGTTTATATCAGCATCGCAGCAAACACATGAGTAATATGTTGCAACATATTATGTTACAACAGCTATTATGTCATTAAAAAATAGGAATTTTTCAGCTCCATTATAATCTTTTTTTTTCCTTTACGTTTTTCAGGTTAGAGAATGGAAGATGACACCCATTATAATTTTATGGGACTACCTTTGTATATGTAGCACCTTGTTGACTGGAATGTCGTTATGTGTGCAGATATTTTATTTTGGTCAACGATGGACCACAAATATGATAGTGGTCCTATACAATTGTAATACCATATTTTTAGTGTACTTTCTATGTTTAGGTATGTTTAGATACACAAGTACTTACCATGGTGTTACAATTGCCTACAACGTTCAGTGCAGTAACATGCTTTGCAAGTTTGTAGCCTAGGCGCAATAAACTATTACAATATAGGCTAGGTGTGTAGTAGGCTAATACTATATAGGTTTGAGTAAGTACACCCTGATGTTTGCACAAAAATGAAATAGCCTAACCTTGCATTTCTTAGAACATATCCCCATTGTTAAGCAACACATAACTGTATACATTCATATATATAAATCCTCATGATAACCCAATAAGGTAGATATTCTAGTAATTCTGGTTTATACTTGAGGAAACTGAGACACAAAGAAGCTAAATAGCTTGGCCAGGGTCACACAGGTAGCTGCAGAACCCAGATTCAGACCTAAGTGGTCTGGCTCCAGAGTTCATGCATTTAGCCACTATAGTACATTGACGAAAGGAGGACTAGATGGACAAAGATAGAAGAGGGAAGTCTAGGGAATTTAAGCAGAATGGCCTTGGTCTCCTTAGGCAGTGTGTTTGTGTATGTAAGTGTATTGAGCATGTTTGAGAAAGGGTATTGAAAAATCAATGACTGGTAAATGCTGTCCTAGTTATTCACGTATGTCTCACTCTCAGTACAGTTATCTATTATTCTTTGGGAGAATAGGCATTAGCATACAAAATATCAATAGTAATCTGCACATAACAAATGTTGGTCAGTTAGTGGCTGTCACATTCTCCAATAACTTACAGTTGCCTCCAGAGCAGACACAGTCATACAAAGGCATTACACTTTTGTTTCCTCTTTCCAGCTCAGCCCTACTGATGGTGCACGCATACATGCACATGCTATTTAAACTAAGGGTGGCAGAGTAAAGTGTTTTCCTGACCACAAGCCTGAAGGCAGACTTCCCAGCCAGTGTATAAAATAAAATAATGTGTGGCTAAGAAGCTAGATATTGAACTGACTTCCATAAAGATAATTTGTAAAACCAAATGATAAAAACCCCTCACTTTTATATACAAATGAGATCATTTGTCCTAAACTGATAAAAACAATACTAAGGCAATGTTTGTGTAAATGTGAAAGCCAGTGAAAAGTCTGGAGAGCAGTGTCTCCACACAAGATTTTCCCCACATCTGACTCCAACCGCAAGTTCTGGGGTTTCCTAGACCACCCTCAGATTCGATAATTCACTAGAAAGACTCACAGAACCCATTGACAGCTATGATAAGCACAGTTACGATTCACTATAGGGAAAGGATACAGATAAAGATTAGCCAAAGAAAGACACACACGGGGCAGAGTCCAAAGAGTTCCAAAGGCAACACTTCCATGTCCTTTTCCTGTAGGTCAGAAAGTGTTACTCTACCAGCATTAAGCATTGGTAGGTGATAGTGTGCACATGACAGGGAGGCTTACCCAAGCTGTAGTACCCACAGGTTTTTTGTTTGTTTGTTTGTTTGTTTGTTTTTTGAGAGAGAGTCTTGCTTTGTTGCCCAAGTTGGAGTGTAGTAGCACGACTGGGCTCACTGCAACCTTTGCCTCCTGGGTTCAAGCAATTCTCCTTTCTCACCCTCCCAAGTAGCTGGGACTACAGGTGCCCACCACCGCTCCCAGCTGATTTTTGTATTTTTAGTAGATACAGGGTTTAACCATATTAGGCTGGTCTAAAACTCCTGACCTCTGGTGATCCACACGCCTCAACCTTCCAAAGTTTGGGGATTACAGGTGTGAGCCACCGTGGTCAGCTATTTTTTTCTGTTTTGTTTTTTTGAGACAGGGTCTCCCTCTGTCTCTCAGGCTGGAGTGCAGTGGTGCTATATCAGCTCATTGCAACCTCCGCCTCCTGGACTCAAGTGATCCTCCAGCCTTAGCCTTCCAAGTAGCTGAGAATACAGGCATGAGCCACCACGCCCAGGTAATTTTTGCATTTTTTGTAGAGATGGGGTTTTGCCATAGTTTTTATTGAGACTTCATCACATAAGCATTACTGATTGATCAGTTTCCCACATGGTTAATTTCAGTCTCCAGCTTGGCTGATAACCCATGACTTAAGGCTCCCACACTAAATCACATAATTGGTCTTTCTGGAGTGGCCAGCTTATACCCTAAGATTATCACATGTGGCCCACTCTACCCTAAACAAAGACACTGCAGCTGAGTATGACATAGATAATCTCCCAGAAGCCAATGGCAAAGGTCAGACCTCTCTTTGGGCGAAGACAAATTATTTATTACCCAATAAGTAACTGAGCTTTCTTTAGTAGGATCCCTGAGTCCCTCATCTCTAAGTTTTGGAAAAGTGTTCTGCCTGAAATTGCACATGGTTTATTAGTCATAATGTAGAAGTCCATTAGTAAAATTTAAAAAAAACTCCAAGTCTTAAATACAGGTCTGTTTCTTTCTTACACTCCAGGACTAGTGTGGGTTAAAAGAGGCCTCTGCTCCACGTTTCCTGATGGAGCCAACACCTGCAGCCAATCTGGAGAGCCACTCTGCCATGTTAGAGCAAGGCATGTGATGAATTATGCCCTGGCTGTTGTTCATGCAGAAGTGATACACCTTGCTTTTCACACTTCATTGGCCGGTACAAGTCTGAGGGCCATATCCAGTTTGAGGGTGAGGAAGAGAGGAGCCATCTTACCCTGTGTCCAGAAAGAGGTGAACTGATTGTAATAGCCCAGTTACTACCCTCAAGGATTTATCTCTAAAACAGACAGACCCGTATAACAGACTTTGAGCCATTGCTTCTGTTTTCCCTCCTTTCTGTCATTACCTAATTGAAACATCAGGATTTGTACATGGAATCCTGGGAAGTCTGCATACCTGCTGTCAGCACCAGCTTTTCTCATTCTACCACTCACTCAGACCAGGGTTCCTGACTCTTGTGGTTTCCAAAACTTACTTTAGGGCTGTTGTAATCCCTAAGAGGAAGAAATGTGACCCATTTTTGTGCAGGTACCTCATTCCTCTTCCCCCAAAAGACCCCATCTCTCTAGCCACATACTAGTTGCTGATCTCTGAGCATACCATGATATGCCACAGCTCTATGCCTTTGCTTCTGTGGTGCTTTTATGGAAATGCCCTGCCCACCCCACTGTCCCAGTAGAGCAGACAGACTCATATTTATCCTTGAGGACTCAAATTTGTTTTTCTGTAATTTTTGTGTACTGTTTACCCATCTGTGAACTCATAGGTGGTCTATAAACTTCTGTTATCACTGCTTTTATAAGTGATCACCTATTTGTGCCTCCTATTAAAGGTTTGAGGGTAGAAATGCTATGCTTTGCTATGTGCAGTGTCTCATGTGAGAGGCCAAGGTGAGAGGAAGATTGCTTGAGTCCAGGAGCTTGAGACCAGCCTGTGCAACATAGCAAGATGCCATCTTTCTTCCAAAAAATTAAAAAATTAACTGGGCAAGTTTGCATGCCTGGAGTCCCCGCTACTCTGGAGGCTGAGGTGGGAGGATCCCTTGAGCCCAGGAGATCGAGGCTTGCAGTGAGCTATGAGTGCACCACTGTGCTCCAGCCTGGGTGACATTGACAGACTTTGTCTCAGGAAAAAAAGAAAAAAATTTTCATCTTGCCATCTTTTTTCATTTATGGATCCCCAGCACGTTACTAGACAATAAGTAAGTTAGTAGACCTTTGTTGAACTGAAGATTATGGAGACATTGAAGTCCTGGGGCTAATAGAAGAGAGAAGTCAAGTCACACCAGTTATAATAGGTCCTCCTAAAAAAAAAAAAAATCCCATTTCAACTAAATTATATCTAAAAATTAAAGGTTGACCTTTTGTTTTAAGTAATACATGACCCAATATACTGGTTATAACAAAAGGTTTTTAGCAAAGATTACACCTGTGCTTAAGTGTCAGCAGTTGGTTTTCTGCATAATGTATGTATTTATGCAGTATGTGTACCGTCCTGTGACCTACACTGGTTGGTGTTAGTTACAAGGGCCCTTGGATGGGTTTAGGAGATGGATGTACCCTCTCCTGAGGGCTGTGAATCTGCAGTGGGAACAATGTCAGACACAGTCCTCTGAAGATGGAAAAAAGCTCAGAGGTCAAAAAACATACCCCTAGCCCATCACCATTTTTTCCCCTTTAACCTCTAAGTGAAAAATTGCACACAATTTTCTTTACGTATACTTTCTAAAATCTTGTGTCTCCTTCAACACTTCCTTTGATATATGTGGGAGATCAAGATGAAGAAAAGGAGAAATGGGAATGGCGAAAAAAATAAAAAATATATGTAAAATAATTTTATTCAAGATGACCTACTTTCTAAATTCTTAGCACTGATATTTTGGAGCATTAAGGTATGTAGGCTCTGTACTTGGACTTTTCAAGAGAATGAACACTAGATTCCTAGTTTGGAAAGGTGGGTAGGATTTGGAAATCTCAGAGGGCAGCCAGCCTCTTGACTTATTAAATAGCAGGTTGTTAGGTGAAGCTTCAAAGAAAGTTTGGTTTTAAGTAGGGGGACAGACATCACAGTTTGCCAGGACCAACCCCAGTTTGCATTTGAGGTTCCAGCATAATTATTAACAGTGCCCTCTTTGATTCTTGAGAGGTTCTGGTCTGGAATGGTCATTCTGGATTTGGGTCATGCAGGTTGCAGGCTATTGGCATGATGAATGGGAAGGAAGAAGACTCCAGAGTGCAGAAGGCTGAAGGGAGAATTATCTTATGACAGTAATTTCTGTTCAGAGTTTTCCTTAAAAGGCTTCCTGTAGTGCTTTCTGAAATGCCTTACAGACTTTCTTCTGATGCACCTTGGACATCAGTTTATTTTTCTTTAGTGCAGCTTTTATAGGGCCAGTGTGTCTCAGTGCAACCTGGTTTTCTTTTAAACTCGTGGGCAGCAGTGCTGCATGTGTCAGTGATTCAAACTTGAACAGATTGGCTGTGAATGGGGTGATAAGAATAGAGAGAAACACATACCAGTAGACCAAACTTCCTGTTCACAAGCCTTTGAATACTGCGTTTCACTGTCTGAAATAGCATTCATCTTAAGGCTGGGATCATTTATTCCCTTTGGAATTAAGCAATACCACTGCAGAAAAAGAAACTATTTTGGGAAGGCCATGTGGGAGGAATTTTTCTCTGTATTCCAGGCTGAACAGAAATATCTTTCATGCTTTTGAACACCACACCTTAGAGCCCAGGTAATTGGAAATGGACAACTTTCAGATAATCCCAAATATTTATGCCAAGGCTAATGTATACATGTTATACTACAAAGATTAGGAAAGACTTGAGTTTAGATGCTTCAACTTAATTACCTAAGTGGCAGAAAAAGAACTTTCCTTCAGAGATTCGCCTCTAATATAGATGCTATTGAGAAGTAAAATGTAACATCTTGTCCCTCTCCCTCTCCTTACATATGCTCTTGGAGGTTGTTTTTGCATATGCCCATGTAGACTTTTCCAGATTGTTGGAGAAGTTTAAAATAAGGCAATGAAGGCTATGTCCCCCCTGCTTCCTCCCTATAAAGCTGAGGTGGGCAGGGCTTGGCAGCTGGTGGAAACTGAAGAGATAAATAAGTACCAGGGCTCCTGGATGGATAGGGTGCAGAAGAGCCCAAGATGAGAGTGTGTAGCTATGAGTGCCTGCCGTGGGAAGAGGCCATGAGGACGGAGCTGCAGCTGGAGTCCAGAAGTTCAGGCAGTGAAAGGGAGGTGCGAGCTTGTAGGAACTAGTTTATTAGTCCTTTTGATCAAGCTATTGCTCTTTTGTTTTTTTTGTTGGGGGATTACTTTAGAGGGCAAATGTAAGTCAGATACACCTTAAATATCTGTCTTGTCATTTGAGTAATGTATTTAATGGAACCTAAGGAGTTATGTTGGTCTGTTCCTATTTGACTTTTCTACTTGTTAATAGCATCAACTAATAAAGAGCTAATTGTCTTGTAAAGTTTGTCTTTACAAATTAGCTGCAATTGAAATGAGAACAGCAGTCCAGTGATGCTTAATATTTTTCTGCTTTATTGCTGATAAGCAGTTTGGAAAATGTTTTTCTATGGAGAGCGTGTGAAGCCTCTTCTCAGTGTGGTAAATGTGATCACAATAGATGGTTTTTGTTTTTAGTTCTTTTTTCACTTTGGCCTTGGAATTAACATGAAAGGTAAAGATGTTGAGATTTCCTACCTCAAGCAATGCTGTCTAGGTTTATGAGAAGCAGAGAAGCATTTTGTAAATTATATCCTGTTGCTCACAAACTGTATAATTAACCTACTTAAAGTTCAAAATCATAGATATCTGCCTGTTGCATGGGGAGTCTGGTAAGATTGCAGTACTCTTATAGATATCAATGGCCTATGTATTGATTTTTAACAAATAAATTTTATTTTCTAGCTAAATTAATCAAAGATTTAATGACCTATGAATTTGAGTTACATCGGTGTGTATCTGGACTTCATGTGAAATGTTCTTCATTTTAGTGCAACATTCTATCTCTTTTATAATTTTAATTATATAAGAAATTAGTAGAGAAAGACCTTTATATGGTGACCAGGCATTAAAAAGTTTAGAAAATTTTCAAAATTTTCAAGAAAAAAAAATTGAAGACATAGGTCTTTTAAATTAAAAGATTCAGTAAGTAGCTGTTTTTCTCTTTGTGTGTCTAGCACATAGTCTAACAGTAGGATAATATTTAGGAAGTTAGAGAATTAGTTTTAAGCACAAGTATTAAGTCAGTAGTGATGAAAAAGCTAGATATTGTTGAAGGTAGATAAGTAGAGCCTGGGAAGGAGGATAGATAGGAAATGGAGGTTTAAAAAAAATGAATTTGGTGCAATGGCATGTGCCTGTAATCTCAGCAACTTTTGGGAGGCTGAGGCAGGAGGATCACTGGACCCCAGGAGTTAAATAAAGTGAGCTATGATTGTGCCACTGCACTCCAGCCTTTGGGACAGAGTAAGACCTTGTCTTTCTCCCTAACCCCACCCTTCAGAAACCTTGGAGAATTTATAAGTTATGAAAAGGCTTACTGAGTGCTGATGTGTGCTAGGGCCAGCCCTGTGATATACCAATAAAGGGGAGAGAGTAGAAGCCAGAATTGAGTTTGGGAGGAAAGTTGGGCATTGTTAAACCCCATTTCACCTGGATCTTTAAATGCATCCGTCAAAGATTATGAAAATCATCACCAGCCAAGTGTTTGTGGGTTTATGTATGGAATGCAAGCACCAGTTGTCCCAGCCTCTTCAGTCTTTTTATTTGGAGTAGTATTCATTCTCACAAACCCACTGACCTCCCCCTCCTCCCTGTGTTCCAGGAGAGACAGCGTCTGGAGACCATCCTCAGTCTCTGTGCTGAATACACAAAGCCTGACAGTCGCTTATCTACTGGGACCACCGTGGAAGATGTGCAGAAAATCAACAAGGAGCTTGAGAAGCTGCAGCTCTCTGATGAGGAGTCTGTGTTTGAGGAAGCCCTCATGAGCCCTGACACAAGATACAGGTGCCACCGGAAAGACTCCCTCCCTGATGCAGACTTGGCAAGCTGTGGGAGTCTCAGTCAGAGCAGTGCCAGCTTCTTTACCCCCAGGAGCACCAGGAATGATGAACTACTCAGTGACCTCACCCGGACTCCTCCACCACCATCCTCCACCTTTCCGAAAGCTTCCAGCGAGTCCTCTTATCTAAGTATCCTACCAAAGGTAATGTTGGCCCAGCAAAGATACTAGGATTTAAGGTCTAGGGCTGTGCATATGCTTTGGCATGAAAACTGATGATTTTATCATGCTAATTATCCAGGATGTTTTCAGTGAAATTTCAATTTAAGAGGTCATTAGCTGAGCGAGGTGCAGCAAATTAGGGTGTTTACTGTAAAGTAACAAATTTGCACTGTAAAAATTGTAGCAGCACAGAAGAGTAGAAAGAAAGCACATTTCTCTTCTCCCTGCACCCTTTCAGGTTGTACACCTGAGTGATAAGCAGGTGTAAAACTGGTGCTAAAATTGTCTTACCTGCCTTCCTAATATTTTCTGTGTATATATGGCTATCTGTTATAGGCATAGACAGACAGACACACACATAGTGTTCTGTACTTTTTTTCCCTCACTAAATGCCTTGGGTATCTTTGCATATTAGTATACATAGCTCTACCTCATTCTTTTTAATGACCAATTGCTCTTCTTTTGTTTGCAACTACCGTTTATTTTCAGGGTTTTTTTTTTTTTGCTAATAAAATCCATATGCGCAAATATTGTAGCATATATATATTTGCACAATTCTGCAAATGTGTCTGTGGGATCACTTACTAAAAGTGGAATTGCTGGGTCAAAGAGTTTGTGTATTTTTCACTTTACTCAATATTTCCAAATCGTACTTCTAAAAGACCATATTAAAAAAAGAGTCTATATATCCAGGTGACACTTTGACTAAGTTTATATGTGCATATAAACACAAGTGTTCTCCATACACTTGCCAAGGTTGCATATTGTCAAAATTTTTCAATTAGCCAAATTGATAGAAGTTTAATTTGCTTTTCTTTAATTATACATCAAGTTGGGGATCTTTCCATATTTTTAGTTATTATTTGTATTTTTTGACCCACTTATTCATGTTCTTCACCCATTTTTTTAATTGTTTTATTTTTCTTGTGTTTTACTGAGTAGTAAGAGCTGTTTGTGGTAAGCAGATGAGCCTTTTATCATAACTAGTCTTTATTTTGACTTTATTTGTATTTTTTCGGCATATAGGAGTTTAAGATTTATTGGTACTCATAAGTACTATTTAGTCTTCTGGTTGTATGTTGGTTTAAAATTGTCATCCTTTTGAGGATTTGTTAAATGGAGTTTAAGGAAAAATCTTTTAAATTTTTTTTTCTTTTTCTTTTTGTACAGGACTTAGAACCCCAAAATCTTTTGTTATTACGTTTTTTTCACACAGGTTAAGAATTTTTTTCTACAACAATTTAGGTTTTAAATTTCTCCAAAAATGATTTGAAGGAGCTTACAATGAAAGATATAAATTTTATTGGACTAAAATTAGAATAACAAAAATAGTAAATAGGAGGAAAAAGCAGATATGATATTCACAAGGTAGATTTACTTATTTAGGAATAAGTAGGATTAATGTATTGATTTGCTTAATTGATGCTTACTATTAAGTTCAACTGTGAGATTCTTTAGTTAATCTTTTGTTATAAGAGAAGGACACATTGACTCTTTAAGAGGAAGATATTGTCATGGTACTAAATTCTGGCAGTAATTTATCACATGGGCATTATTCAGGGGAGTTTGCGTGTTTGTTTAGCTACAGCAAGACTTTTACACTGAATGTTCCTAGTCAGAAATCATTATCTACCTAGTGAGTTTTTCCATGATACACATCAGGACTTCGGACTGTTGAATACATGTTGGACATCAATCCCTTCTTTTTTCTTTCTTTCTTTTTTTTTGAGACAGAGTCTTGCTCTGTCACCCAGGCTGGAGTGCAGTGGTGCAATCTAGGCTCACTGCAACCTCTGCCTTCCGGGTTCAAGCGAATCTCCTGCCTCAGCCTCCCGAGTAGCGGTGACTACAGGCACACGCCACCATGCCTGGCTAATTTTTGTATTTTTAGTAGAGACAAGGTTTCACCCTGTTGGCTAGGCCAGTCTCGAACTCCTGACCTCAAGTGATCTGCCTGCCTCGGCCTCCCAAAGTGCTGGGATGACAAGGGTGCGCCACTGAGCCCTACCCATCCCTTCTTTTTGCTATAGTGACCATGTTTACCTTACTAATTCTCAATGGAGACTAATTCTGAACAGGACATCTGTTTCTGTGGGCAGAGAGTTGCAATGATTAGAAACCAGGATAGGGAAGAAAGTAGGGGCAGGGGGAATCAAAAGTTGTTGTTCAGGCACAGTAAATGACCCATCACTTGAAAAGTTGAGCTGTTGTCATCAGCCATTGGGCTTCCTTAGAAACCCTTTGCTTCCTTTTGATCTTAAATCTTTTCACATATCTTCCTTTATGGAGATCTGCCAGTTTTTTGTTAAAAACATTAAGCTGTGTGCTGTCTCTAAAGACTATCTTTTGGGAGACAGGTTTCCTCCTGGAGAGGGCTATGACAAGAATGCTGTTGGTGCGTACACGAGCAGATCTTGGCAGATGTTTTTAATTGCTCAAGCGTGTAATTGTGGAATAGGAGGCCTCTGAAGCTTAGTGCAGCATCTGTTGTTGCAAGAGAGGTAAGACTCTGCATCCTTTAGAGGCAGGAAACATCAAGGACACCCAGGTTACCAGACAGCAGTGTAGAAAGAGTACAAGTGAGCAGAGCTGATGGATTCCAAGAAACACATTTTTTTACTTATTACTTTCTGAAGGTGGACATATATTACCTTGAGACAGCAGACAGAAAATTCTTTTTAAAACAACCTTCCTATTTGTTTTGCATGCTCTTTCTCTTCAATTAATTTCCACACTGGATTATTTGCCTAACAAAGTACAATGTTAATAATCGATTTAGGGATAAATGGAGAAGAGAGGAATGTGAAAAACACTGTAAGTTGACTTAACTATACAGAACAATCTTAATGATATTTAGAAAACCTGAGAGTTACCAGTCAAGAACTTGCTTTATGTAACACTTACAGATGCAGATGACTTTGGAAATATGCTAATTTTAGTTGGCCTTTGTGAACCACCCCCTGAGGTAAAAGTTGTCTGGAAAGTGGCTCATCTTCCTCCTTTTGAGTCCCTTGCACCCCTCTCTCCTTTGGCTGCAAAAAGGGTTTTAAGAAGAAATCTGTGAAAAAGGGGCAAGCAGAAAGTGTCTTTTCCCCTATCATCTCTCCCCTTTCCTGTGTGGATCAAGTTTCCCCAAAGATAACATATTAGAGGATGCATATACACACGTAATGTGCTTATTAAAACATGTCACTGTTAGTAGATTCCTGTCCATTACTGGAAAAAAAAATTCCCAGAGAAATTAAAATGAAGGGCATATGTTTAAAATTACAATGTTCTCTGTCACTGTAAAACTTAAAGCTACTCAGTGGCTACCACACCTTGGCTTTCTATTGGTTTTCTTTATTTGGTTAATAAATGAGATTACATTGTCCTCACCCCATTCTATCATAAAGCGTTTGGTTTTAGAATGCTTCCTGGAGATTTTGCTTCTTATAAATAACTTAGAAAAAAACTACAAACATTTCCTAGATGGCATTTATTGCTATAAACAGACTCTTAAGTTGTCTATTATTAAATATATCTACTGTGATAAACTTTCTAAAAACTTTGAATTATGCAGATGATTCCCACTATTAACCATCTTTACTCCCTACTTGCTTATAAAGTTTAGAGTTTTGCAGATTGTTCTGTTATTTTGTATTTTTCTTAATGCCTTGCTTCCACCTGTGAAAGAGATATTTTTAAGCCATTTTGGAAGTAGAAACCTAATATGTAATCTTGACCCAACAGGATACCGCCCTTGGTGAGGCTTTCCTGCTAGGATTACTCACAGTGATTCTGGAATGCCATTTCACTGTTACAGGCATTCCTCATGGCTTAAAACAGGCACCTTAGTATTAGGACAATGAGCTTTATTGTCTGTGATAAAAAGGTCAACAGTTGTTTTATTAGTTGATAAGATATTTCATGTAAGATGACAATTAAAAAGCTAAATGTCAAAGCTTGGAAGAGCTGCTTACCTTTGTCCTAACAAACCTGAGGTACTAAATGCTGAATCGTTGAATCACTTTAGAAAGCTACAAAGTAAAGAATAAAGAATATAAATATGAATAAAGCATACAGAATATGACATGATGGATGGCTTCTTAAATGTATTATCAGGATTGTCAAATAAATTTAGTGAACCTAGTAAAATATACTCAACTTAATGGGTTTTTTGGGGGGTTAATTTGAAGATTTTTTTTAATAATTAGTGACAAATATTCAATAATTTACTCAACTGGGCTGCTGTTTTCAATTTTCATTTGTGAAACTGTATAATTATTGACTTGCTGATCCAAAAAAATTACTTCTTTTTCAAAAAGGGATAATTTAAATAAATAATACATTCATACTGACATATAGTATATATAGAAAAATTGGTCTCTACCAGGTGATATCCAAGATAACTAACCAGAAATTCTAGAAAGAAGAAGCTATTTGTAATTCACTCCATTCTCTTCTTGAAGAATAAACAGTCACATTTTGACTGTGTGTGTGATCTACAATATTGCCTTCTTCCCTGGCCATCTGTCATAGCTCCATTCAGGAGTGTAACTATGCACTCTCTCACTTGTTTCTTGACTTTCTTATTTCTTGCCGATGAACCAGTTTTTCCATGAAATAATTTTATGAATGGTGGCCAGTGTCCTGTTTTAGGGAGTGTCTTAGATGCTATATAGCAAGAACGTCTATAGGACAAAGAGAGGAAATAGTGCACTAACACAAAAGTGAAGCATCAATTAATTTAATACTGAGTGTGTAGTTTTAAAATATTTTATGGCTCCCCAAAGTGATGTGCCCTTGCTTTTCCAACTTGTGTTGAGAAGGAAATACATAAGCATGAATGCTCATTTGCAGGTAACCCTAGCAGCAAGACCCAACAGTATGCCTAGAGATTCAAGAGGCTTTTGCAGATGTCCTCACCTGGAAGATGGGAGAGAATATTGTGCTTGTAATAACCATAGCATCATGCCCAAGAGATCCCGAGGAAGATGCCACAAGTCTTCTGTCAGTTCTAGTTCTCTGTTATGCTGAACTTTCTCTATAACCTTGGAGAAGTCATCTCAATCTCTATATACCACACCTTTCTTATCTGTGTAATCTCTTAGTTCTTTTAGCTTCAAAAGGATATGAATTGGTGAACTGAAGTTGGTTTGTCTCAACTCTCCTGAGAGCCTAACTGCCAAGGATGGCATCATGTGGGAAAAACACATCAGAGCTCCAAGCGTGCAGTTGCAGGGATGCTTTTAAAATCTACATGGGCATGGAGACTGTGAGACCCTAGACCTGTGGATGGTTTACAAGTCAAGTTGGGAAATTCTAGAACTGAGGTGTGAATAATCCATTTCTGTGTTGATTAATCGCAGACCCCAGAGGGTATAAGTGAAGAACAGAGATCTCAGGAGTTGGCTGCAATGGAAGAAACCCGGATAGTCATTCTGAACAACCTCGAGGAACTTAAGCAAAAAATCAAAGACATAAATGATCAGATGGATGAGTCTTTCAGAGAGGTAAACTTTTTACCCTCTTCCCTTTTTTCTTTCTTTCCTTCAGCTTAAAAATATTGCTACTTATTCAGGAATAGGCTTTGGAGGCCAGATACATAGACGTCAACACAAGCAAACATTTATTCAGTGGGTTCCCTGTATAGAGTGAAAATACCCTTTTTCTACATTCCTTTTTTCTTTCTTTTTTTTTCCAACCAGATGAGATAAACATATTAAGCCCTCTTTAATGTACTTTATGAATCTCCAACCAACTTTGTTTAAACTAGTACGTGCTTTCTGACCTGACCTAACAGAGGATCTATCAGCTGAGGTGCTCTGTATTTAGATTTCAAGGTCAAATCCAGCAAATGTTTTCTGAACGTGCTTTACTATGAGTTGGATATCACATTGGCACCATGATGAAATTCACACACGGATCAAAAATCGATCCAGGTTTCTAGAGGTTTGGAAACCAGGGGGAAGCAGAGAGAACACATATTGCATAACCACAATAGAAGACAGTGGCATTTTTATGTTACCCCCATGGCATGAGAAGGGGCACGTAATTCTGCCTAGGGAAGATCTGTGTGTCTGTCCTTACAGATGATACCAATAGGCCCTTAAGTGGTTAGGGGACTGCTCACCTGTTGTCTTGCGTAGAGACGCTGGAAGCCCCTCCTGCTAGCATTGCGAGGAATGCAGAGCTCACATGCTGGGCTTGGGTAACTTTCTCTTCCCATGCTCTAGGGACAAAGAAAGACGTGGCTGCTCCCATGGTGGTTTGTGCTTGATCTTGAGCTGAAGCAAATAGGCAAAATATCCTTGAGAAGTGAGCAGAAGAGGGGTTATAGTAGAAAAGTTAAGTGATAAGATAGCTAGTTTTTTTAGTGAATATATTCTAGGCTCTCTAGCTCGCTTATATGGGAATCTTGCTTTCACATGGGCTCTCTGGAGTGTTCTCAGGCACCCGATCTGGCTGCTACAGTATTACTTTTGGAAATTTGTAGCTGTTGCAAATGTATCTCTAGGGTGGTCAGTTGAGAATATCCCCAAAGGTGAAACACTTCTGAGCTTTGGTTTGTGTCCTTAGTTGGATATGGAATGTGCTCTTTTGGATGGAGAACAGAAATCTGAAACAACTGAACTTATGAAGGAGAAGGAGATTTTGGATCATCTAAACCGGAAAATAGCTGAACTGGAAAAGAACATTGTTGGTGAAAAGACCAAGGTAAAAGAAAATTATATTTCAATGCAGTTTTTATGGGCAAAGTGGTGGTCCCAGTTGATTGAATTTAAATGTTGAATGCATTACTGGGGTTTTGGATTTGTGTGTCATGTTCCTGGAGGCAGTGGCACTAGAGAAAAATCCTAAGATCATACATTGTCAGAAACCAAGAACTGCCAGGTACTGGGCAGCTGATGCTGAGAGAGCAGAGTTCATATAATTTGTGAGCCGATATTCCTGGCAGCTTTATCCTACTTGAGATGAGTGCGTTGTTTGTTTGCTTTTTTTCATTGGCCTTTCTGCTTTTCTGATTCCATTGTGTTTTTTAAGTAATTTCTTTAGTATACTGAAGTTCTTTACCACTGCTGCCCTGTAGGGATGGCTTAAGCAAATTCAAATAGGGTTGCCTCATTTCTTTTATTTCTTTTCATTTTTCTGTTTATTAAACAGATGAATGAGAACCACTCATCTCACCTGCTTTGCCTTGCTATTGTTTTCAATGCAAGTGCACTGCTTTTTGACAAATGTATTGGAGTTTCTAAAATTTTCTTCTTGGGGTAGTCCTCACACACTGCCAAGAGAAAGCTATCTGTGAAACACAGTTGACACTTATCTTGGAAAAGGTTCTGTGTATACATTTTGGATCACAACCTGAATGGTGGCTGATATCTATTAGGGAAAGTATGAAAAATCACTTGCAAATTTTAGAATTCAGGATGGTAGTTGGGTTTGTCTGTTTATGTGTTTTTTTCCTCTGGGAAATATACATTACTCTCCTCTCCCATTCTGAGTTAGTTAGAGCAGAACTAAAAATAAAATTCCAATAAAACTGAAAATAAAATTCCAATTTGAGAAAGAAAAAGCAAATAAGCTTTAACACATTCTTCCTTACTCAACATGTTCTCCACTAAGCTGAGAAAAAGAAAAAATTTTTAGTTTGAGTAAGTTCTAGTGGTAATGTGTAGAAAGAATTTCTGCTGAACGTGACTTCCTTTTTAGGCTCTTATTTGTTTAAGACCTATAAATAAGGGCATTTGATCTTGGTGCCAGAGAATGAGCTCAAAATGGTAGTCAGAAATAAAGTCAAATTAAATGCTACACATCAATTTCTTGGTTACCAGCATGTCAGAATTAAACTGCACAGGCTTTTCATATTAAATTTTATGTACGTTCATTCTGCCCCCAGACTTTTTTTTTTTTTTTTTGAAACGGAGTCTCACTCTGTCGCCCAGGCTGGAGTGCAGTGGCGCAATCTCAGCTCACTGCAAGCTCCGCCTCGCAGGTTCAGCCATTCTCCTGCCTCAGCCTCCCAAGTAGCTGGGACTACAGGCACCCGCCACCACACCCGGCTAATTTTTTGTATTTTCAGTAGAGACGGGGTTTCACCATGTTAGCCAGGATGGTCTCGATCTCCTGACCTCGTGATCCGCCCACCTCAGCCTCCCAAAGTGCTGGGATTACAGGCGTGAGCCGCCGCGCCCGGCCCAAACTTTTAAGTAGTATTTGGGTAGTGGGTGTATTTTTCCTAAAAGGCCAAAATGAAGTCAAAGAGTTGACTGTCTAAGTCTGCAGTACTGAAGGATTCAGTTAATGGCTATGCTTTTCAAAGATTCTGCAAGAAGCCTTCATTGGAGGCATCAGATGTCTTGTGTTAATATTTTATTATCAAGTAAATATTAATTAAATTAAGTAATAGTAGAGTAGTTTTATTGCTATGTATATCATATTGGAAAACTCGTGCAACATAGGAATTAGGTATCATGTTCCCTGTGAACCCTCCTGCCATCCTAATCCATGTAGTTATTTATTTTGTGTATCTCACATATGGCATGGCCTGCAAATTCTATTTGTGTATTTCTCATTAATATCAGATTCTACACAAAAGTGAAGCAAGTTGAGCCAATGTTAAATCTCACTTCCCAGGGAAAGTTATCTTATGTTTTCAAGGTGGAATTCTCAGGTGGAATTCTAGGAACACGGGCAGAAACAAGCAAGGAAGCTACCTCCATCCTTCCTAATATTGTTTTGATGGCTTGACAGAGGCTATGCACTGGAGAGGGGACTACAGGGGCTTGACGCATAGGACCAGCTCATACAGCTATGAGGGAATTAGTTGGTCTTAGAAGGTAGGATTATTCTCTGTCATTACATCATGTGAAAAATGGCAGAAACTGGCTTGGGGTGAGGAACTCCAGAAGAGGATGTGGGAAGTGGAAACAAAGACTGGTCTAGATGATGTTACTACGTATTCTTGACAACTAAACTCAAATAGAGACTCAACACAGCTTGGCAAAAACATTATTATGTTTCTCAAATAAATTTATTCCACCATTTAATGACACAGCTATTTCATACACTCTGTTCATACTCCTGGCCAACTTTCATCCCTCTGGCTCAGAGATCATCTTACCATAGAGAAATTAGAAGCATCCCATCTTCTCACAATGAAGGCGGGGTTCCCTCCTTCCATCAAAGACCACTCCCTTTGGATGTGCTCTGGGTGTCATCCTATCCCACCTTCTTGAGGTCTTCAGTCTTTCTGCACCCTCACCCCCTGGGGTCAGTTTCTCTCTCTTTACTGTCAGCATGCCAATATTATTATTTTTAAAATAAATTACTACTTTATCGATTAACGATAAGCTACTACCTTATCTCTCTTCTCTTCATCATAGCTAAACTTATTAAACAATTTTCTGGGTATACTGTGTCTCCTTTTCTTCATTTTCCAATTAAACATTCTTCCCACTCCAGTTGGCTTAGACCTCTACTCCTCCATCAGATTCTCTCCTGTTAAGACTACTAAAGACCTCAGTGGTGCCCAGCCTGCTGGGTGCTTTTCAGTCCCCTCATGATCAGACTCCCGAGCAGCATTCAGTACAGGGGACAGCTCTTTTCTTGGTGCTTCTTCACTGTCTCCCTTTTGTTTGCCTCTGTGTACCACAATCTTCTGGTTTTCCATCTATTTCTCTTACCTCTTTCTCACTCTTTATCTCTCATCTGAACTCAGTTCTCTTGTACCCTCATGTCCTTCTATAGCTATGGCTTCAAATAACTTGTATATGCTGGTGACTATCATAGGGATTTCTCTAGTTCATAACCCTTTTTGGAATTCTGACTCATATCCTGTGCCTACCTGACATCCCCACTTGGATATTTCATGGGTATTTCCAATTGAACACACCCATAACTGAACTCTTGATCTTATCTTTTCCCTTGCCTTCCACCCTCCACCCTCCATCCTCTAGTTTTTCCAACCAGGAGATTGCATCTCTATTCACCTATATGTTCAACAGAAACCTGGAAATTGATCTTGACACGTCTTTCCTTATCATCCCTACATTCAGTTGATTACCAGCTTGTTTCTTGATTGCTTCAACATCTCTGCATCTCCACTAACAGCATTCTCTTCTCTATTATGAAAATCTCTTATTTAGTCTACTTCCACTTGCTTTCCTTCAATCCATTCTCTTCACAGCAGCCAATGTGATTAAAAAGAAGAAATTAGACCATATTACTGTGGTTTGCATCACACTGTACTTGACTATGCATCCAAATTCCGTAGTGTGATCTGTCACCAGCCTTTCTGTCACCACCCTCCCATTCTTCACAGCACTCTCAGAGTCACCTTCCTTTCTATCTTTCTGTTTGTTAAAAGATTCATCCTCCCCCAACCCCAGTCCTTTGCAGATACTGTTTTCCCCTACCTGGAATTCCCTTCCTCATATTCCATGCCTCATTGGTTCTGTCTTTCAGGGCTCAAGATCAGTGTTAGTTTTTCAGAAAAGCCCTCCTAGACCTTTCCAGTTCGGGTTAGATTTTCCCTGTTGTTCTTTTTACAGATAAACATTTTATAATTTATGTTTGTTTTGAGCCTACTAGACATTTATATCCCACTCTAGCCTGTGAAATAGAGGAGGGCACTAGGGCACTGTGATCCACTGTTTATCCAGCCCGTAGCATGTGCCAGGCAGGATACTGCCCAGTGTGCTTACGAATATTGTTGTTGGATTTTCCTGCTAATGGCTGGTCCAGGCTGGGCCTTAGCAAAACACTGAGCCAAACACCTGCCAAAGAGTGCAGCCAAGTTTCAGGACAGCTGGGCTGGGCTGCCCGTGTGCATATGCCAGGAGGCCTGTAGTCACACGGCCCATCATGCCAAAGCGTAAGACAGAAGGAGGAAGTGGCCTTTCCCCTTAGGGATCGTGTTTCCTTTTCCATACACCTGTTGCTGTGGTCAGATATAAACCATGGAATGAGAAAAGCAAAACCTGAAAAGATATCTCTGTTGGGCAAGCTCCGATTCAGATGTTAATAGTACATCCTGTAAGCCTGGCTCTAGAATTTTGGAGACAAGGCCGGAGCCATAGGAAAAAGGTTTAATAATACCTCAGAATGCCTCCCCATTCAAATCTTTTGTTTTTTATTTTTTTGGGACAGAGTCTCTCTCTGTTGCCCAGGCTGGAGTGCAGTGGCTTAACATTGGCTCAGTGCAACCTCCTCTTCCCAGGTTCAAGTGATTCTCCTGCCTCAGCCTCCCGAGTAGTTGGGATTACAGACTCCCACCATGACACTCAGCTAATTTTTACATTTTTAATAGAGACGGAGTTTCGTCATGTTGTCCAGGCTGGTCTCGAATGCCTGACCTCAGGTGATCTGCCTGCCTTGGCCTCCCAAAGTGCTGGGATTACAGGTGTGAGCCACCAAGCCCAGACATCAGCATTCAAATCTTGATATGAAATTACTGATGTTATTTTTTTGGCTCTGAAGATTGGTCTTTAGTGTTACTTCTTTTAGCTGATTTAGGAATGCATTTTATTTTGCACATTCGTTACCCTATAAAATATAAACCATAGGCATACTTCTATAGAAAACATAAAATATAGTCAGTTTGTTCTACTGTGTATTTATTGAACATTTTTGCAGCAGTTTCCTGCACTGGCCTTTTATTACCCTTAGGGGTACCACTGTTACGAACATCAATAACCCTGTTTCCATCTGACCTTGAGATACATGCCACCTGCCGGTTGTGTTCTCGGATAGTAGCCACATCACAGATGGAGCCACTATGAACATTGATAAAGCTTAAACAAGGATCTAACTCAGACATAAATCTGGAGGGTATATTTACTTGGTGAAGCAGTAAGCAAAGAGACCATCACATTTTCTTATAGCAAGTGAAAGAAGATTGGGACCTCTGGTCTAGCAAACTGTTTTCATTTAATGGGCCTGGTGACAGAGTAGGGAAACCGCTAGCACCATGAAGCCCAGCTTGGGCAAAGGCCTGACTGTGGAACTGGCTTCCTTCCCTTCTACTCCCCATCCCCATTCCAAGGCAGAGCCTGATCTCAGGCAATGGCTAAGAAGATACGGATGTGTGCATCTGTTTGCGTAGGTTTTCTGTCTCTATTTCTAGCTGTGTTAAAAATTTGAAACTAAAAATATTTTTCAATTTCTTCTATTTATGGATTATCTGTTTTATCTGTGCTTCTTTTTAGCGCACAAAAATCAAGTCAGTTGTACCAAAATTAAATAAAATGGTTAAGAAAAGCTTCTGATTCAGTAGACGTGCTGAGGGGTCTTCCCATGACCCAGATGATAAACATATATCTCAAACTATCCTTTTGTTTAAGGACAAATATTGTGTGTCTTCACACAGATGCATTGTTATATTTTGTAGCCATCCTAGCCTGCACTCTTAAACACATGAAACACACTTAAAGTTTTGAACTGAAGCTTAAATCATTCTGTGCCATACAACATGTACCTGAATGAAATCTTAAATTCTTTGACTTCCTAATGTTTCTACAGTAAGCATATATCATTGCATGTTAAATGGTTAAATCTTTTTTCCCACGATTTTCTGGCCAAAGTACCTGTTACTTCCTCCCCATCCTTCCTTTGGAGCCAGAGAAAGACAGTGAGCCTAGCCCAGAATTCTTCAGCAAAGTGTTAATACCTCTTGAGTGCAGAACAGGTGCCAAGTCACAGTCAGTGTGCAGCAGGGACCCAGCCCTTCCCGTGCCTCTTTCTTACATTTCAAAGTTGGCTCCCTGGTCAGAGGAAGTGGAACTGTATAATGGGATTTGGGGATTAAATCAATAGGATTCCAGCTTGAGGCTATTTTTTTTCTCGTAGTTGTTTGATTACATAAGTCCTGAGTTTCTGACTTTCTAGTTTTTTTTTTTTCTATGCTAAACATTCATCAATTGTGTAATTAAAATGTCAAAGCCAAAGGAAAAAAATCTAAGAAAGAAAGAATTATAGGATGTTCCTCTTCAGAGGCAGAGAATGGTTGGTTACTCAACAATCATTATTTGTTGACACAGGTCTATAATCTTTCCTCTGCAGTTCCAAAATCTGAAAAGTTTCATGGGGAAAAAAAGTAATTTTGTAAGGTTGAATATTCATAAATGTAGCTACAGAAATAGTAACATGTTTGATTAGAGGGTACTGCTCCAAATCTCACTGGAAATGTCATATAATATACGCTATATAATCTGTGTTACCTCTATGAAATTTCAGAATATTCCAATATCCAAAATACTTCCTGACTTATATAGTATCATGGACGTATGCATATGTCCAGACTCATCAAAAGGAATGCTTAAACATGGGCCATGTTTTTGCCTATGAATTCTACTTCAATAAAGCTGTTAAAAGAAAAACGAATTTCACATAAATGATTATGGGCCTAAAATAGTTGCCTAATCTATGAACCTATAAGGATGCCTGCCTCCCAAACAAAGCCACAGGGTTTAGGAACAGGAAGGAAAGGGATTTTTAGGATACATAGATAGGACTTTGAATGGACCTCCCTTAAAAATGACTGGCCAGGCGTGGAGACTCACACCTGTAATCCCAGCACTTTGAGAGGCTGAGGCAAGAGGATCACTTGAGCTCAGGAGTTCAAGACCAGTGTAGGTAACACAGTGAGACCTCATCTCTGTCAAATAAATAAATAAATAAACAAATAAATAAATGAAGGCTTAGAGACTATAAATTTTGACATATCACTGCGTCAATTCCAAACCTGACCGCATATCTAATGAAATGTGGCCCGCGTGCCTAGAGTGCTGGGTTCTGTGCTAAACAGTTTGGAAATTACAAAAGTGGATTTTAATTTTTAGGAAAATCTTTATCATGCTAACAGGGTTGTCAGAACTAGCAAACAGAAATACAAGAACCTCAGGTACATTTGCATTTCCGACAAACAGAATCATTTTGTATTGTAATTATGTCCCGTGCAATAATTGGGACATACTTAACATTAAAGTCATTTGTTGTTCATCTGAAATTCAGTGTAGCTGAATGTCTTCTGTTTTATCTGGCAGCCCTACAGGTTAATAAATTTGTAACCTTGAACCATCTGTTTATCAAGTATTGCACACTTAAATATGATAAAATGATTTTTTAATTGGTATCCTAGAATATTCTGTGTAGTATTGAAACTCCAGAGAGTTAGCAAATTAAATTTGCTTATTCCTTCAGTAATACAACTTAGAAGAGAGACAATTTATGTTATTGTCTTTTAACCATCTAGCAGAATAAGTAGTCTTTTGACAAGCCTTGCGTTTTTAAGATCATTCAAGATTATTGGCAACTCGTGTGCAAGTTCAAATTCTTTAGTGTAAACTTTTAACAATCCTGATCATTTTTATGGTTAGACGATAAATATTTCACCTCTGAATTTGAAATGTATCATCCCTGTCTGTACGAATATTGCATACTGCAATCTGTCACAGTTTTTGTTTGGTTTACTTGAGACATTTAATTTAAATGTAAAAAATTTACAATTGGGATATTATTTGTAAGAGAGGACTTTTATACTGTGAAGTAAAGGCATTAGGACCAAATATTTTAAGAATAGTTTTTGGTGGATCCTGTATTAATGTTCTATATATTCATTAGAAAAATCAAATTGTAGTTAATTGCTTTTGCCTCTCTCATAACCCTGGGTGGCTAAGTCAATGGGTCTCAACCTGGCTGCATATCAGAAAACCTGGAGAGATTTTAAAATGCTTGTTACTAAGCCTTCTATCCCTGGATTTGTAACCAAATTGGGGCCTGGGAAATAGTATATTTAAAAGCTCTTCCACATTGTTCTAATGGGTTAACTGGACTGTGCTACATGAGGACAGGATCAATTGCTCTCTTTTCTTTCCTCTCCTCTAGTTTTCTTTCAATTGTTATTGAGCAAATGAACAAACAACTCACTATGGAAGCAAATATAGGCCCAATTTTATAAACTGATTTCTACCTTAATTTACCCATGGGTAATTTATCTTTGTCTATATATGAATGTGGAACTCTAGAAACGTCAGTTTTAAATATACAAAATAGGTCAAAACTGGCATGAATTTGTGACCCAACTGGATTTTGCTCGTACATCAAGAGAAGACAAGTCAAAGTGAGAACAGTGCTGTCTCTAGGAAAGTCCCATTCTGTTTGTGGTTTTATAAATGCCCTCTTGTACATCTGGATTTTCCTGGAGTGTTCCAATTCCTTCTAATCTTAATTTTTTCAATAAAGTGAAATGTGATAAATTTATTAAAAATGCATTTTAGGCTAGGTGCAGTGGCTCATGCCTATAATCCCAGCACTTTAGGAGGCCGAAGTGGGAAAATCTCTTGAGCCCATGAGTTCAAGACCACCCTGGGAAACATAATGAGACCCCCATCTCTTCAGATAAAAAATAAAAAATTAATCTGGTATGGTTGTGCACACCTGTAGTCCCAGCTACTTGGGAGGCTAAGATGGGAGAATCACTTGATCCTAAGAGTTAAAGGCTGCAGTGAACTGTGATCATACCACTGCAATCCAGCCTGGATGACAGAGTGAGACACTATTTTAAAAATTTTTTTAATTCATTTTTTTTCCTGAAAGTACATTTATGAATATTTTTTAAAAAGTTATATTCTCTCTCAGTTTGGTGTTTGGAAAATATTATTGTGCCTATTGCAGTTAGAATAGGTGAGTTTACCAATTTAAATATGGTGGAAGAGAAAAACCTCAATCTTAATATTTTACATTTAAAAAGCAAGAATCCCTAAACCCTCAAATGCCATCTATTTTACATTCACTGTAGAAGGTGAAACTTTCAGCTCTAATTAACTGCTTGCCTAGAGCTAATTTTCCTTTAACAACTTCCTGGACAATAAATAGAATAGAGGAATATTAATTTCTTTCTGGCTCAAAGTTGGTCTACTTCTGGCACTCACAGGAGTTATATCACCTCTGCCGTCCTCTGTGATTTATAGCCAGGCCCACCTGCCACTGGTCTTCTTTCATCCTTTCCCTTTACTTCCTTTGCCCTAGCTTTGGCCCCACTGAGCTTTTGCTCTGGGACCCAGGTAGTGGTCACAGCATTACTGATAAACAGAGAAGCTGCAAAAAGTTCTAATGGTGCCTGCTTGCATATTCTTCTAGATGCCCCCTTGTATGAATTGCAAAACCTTTTGAGCACCTCGGAAGTAAGGCACTATTTAAATATAAGATTTTTTTTTTTTTTTTTTTGAGGCAGAGTCTCACTCTGTCGCCCAGGCTGGAGTGCAGTGACACGATCTCGGCTCACTGCAAGCTCTGCCTCCTGGGTTCACGCCATTCTCCTACCTCAGCCTCCCGAGTAGCTGGGACTACAGACACCTGCCACCATGCCCAGCTAATTTTTTTTTTTTTTTAGTAGAGACGGGGTTTCACCGTGTTAGCCAGGATGGTCTCGATCTTCTGACCCGTGATCCGCCTGCCTCGGCCTCCCAAAGTGCTGGGATTACAGGCATGAAAGATTTTTTTTTATTAGTTGTTGATTTGAGTTTATTATTAACAATACAAACATTTGAGAGCATCAGGAGTACTTTTGTTATTTCTTCAGATTTGAGACCTGTGTTTTAGGCCAGTGGCTTTCTGTATTATCAAATATCATATCAGTGTTTTCTGTCAAAGATAACTTTAAATTTTAGGGCTTTATACATGTGCTATTAAATTATAATGAGTAGTCTTCTTTTTTAAATTACTTTTTAGCTTTCCATTTGGAGGTAGAGTTGCTGCAAACTCTGGTGATGCAGTACCTAGAAATAGAACTCTTGGGATAAAATTATTTTGCTGTGTAAATAGGGCAATCTTTGATGCACACACATAGGAGAGAACACCTTTTCTTAGCCAGAGGACAACAGATATTCTGTATGGCTGGTTTTATTAAGGAAAAAAAAAATTCTGAAACTAAAGACTAAATCTAACGGTGCTAGTATATTCAGTTTAACTATGGATTAGCACACGTGGGCATCCTTTGTTCTGTTAATAATGCCATTGCTTTCTCCAACTCTTGCACAATTGGTGTGTACAGTGAGCAAACTTACCATTGAAGATCGAAGAAATTTTCGTTGTTGTCTGTTAAACTTTTAAGTTGTTACAGAACCATGTTAGATTGGTATGTGAAGTAGGGGTCTCAGGTTTATGATTTCTGAATTTAATTATTTTAAGAAAATTACATTTCTAAAGCCAAATATACATTTCTAAATTTAAGTGAAAAATGGAGACTCAAGTGAACTGGTATTGATATCATGTAGTTTTAGATTTGAACCATAACATCTTTTATACGGAATCTATGTGTTTATGTAGGAAATCATGGCCATTTTGATAAAATGTAGTAAGGATAATGTCATAGGACTATTTCAGAGGAAAATCCTTAAAAAGAGTCCTTCTGTGATGTGCTTAGAAGCTAGTTTTGTTCCTGCCAGTTTATATAAAAGGAATATAAGGAAGGGAAGGTGGTGGTCATTTCACTTACCGAAGGTCAAATTGTCAAAGTGCTTCATAAAGTGCTTTTGTTTAGGCTGATGGTGTTACACAAGAAGACACATCTAAAATTTGTTTCAATTGTTCAGAGCATCATAAAAAGAACACAAGTTGGGAAGACTGGCACCAAAAAACTGAAGTTTTGTTTCTTAATTTAAGAGGTAGCATTGTAAAGCCGTGTAATCACTGTATTAGAGTATTTGCCTATTAAATCCTAGAGAATGTCCAGGGTCTCATTGGCACGTGTGACTTGGAAGGGATTTAGTATTCTCTTCCTTCTCCTTTCTTCTCTGACTCTTTTCTTTTTTTCACAGTCCGTGTTTCAGTTTATTTTTATGTCAGTCGTTGTGGGAAAGTCTGTATTTCCGCAGTCCCCGTCACATTTTTGGTGTGTCTGAGCTGCCTATGCCTTCCCTTCACTGCTTTGTCTGTCTTGCATTTTTACTAGCTCTCTCTCAGTCCTTGAATAATCTCTCTGGATTAAGATTTTCTAACTCTGTAAGTTCTGAAGTTTTCCAGATAGCTAGAACTGTTTCAGATGACGGGGATGTCAATTAATACACCTAGAATTCCTCTAACCTGAGAACAAAACCAGTTAATTCCAAAACTTGCCATACAAAGGCCTTGAGCGAGTTAGGCTATGACAGTCCTTGAGGTAAATGCCCCCTTTCCTTTGTCTGTTTCTCTGACAGGTGACTCTTAGCAAGGCTTGCTTATGAATTTGGTTGGCATTTCTTTGATTGTTGGCCAATGACCAACACTCAACATGACCATTGCTTCCCCTGCTTTTGTAACATGGTGGCAGGAAGAAGGGAGGGAAGGAAAGTGGGAGTCACTGCCATGAAGTGGACTGTGCTTTGAGAATGCAGAAACCCAGTCCCTTTGTCTTAACTTCCACTTATATCCCTTTATCCTAGCCACTAACAAGATACGTTTCTACATTCATAGATTGTCCAGAGTTTGTGTATGTTTGTTTATGTTATCCTTGAGAAATGTTCACTAGCACCTGCTTGGGGGTGTGAAGGTAATTTCTATTCTATTTTCTGGTTTCTGAACTTCAGGAGAAGGTAAAGCTTGATGCTGAAAGGGAAAAACTAGAGAGGCTTCAGGAGCTTTACTCCGAGCAGAAGACCCAGCTGGACAATTGTCCTGAGTCCATGAGGGAACAGTTACAACAACAACTGAAGAGGGTCAGTAGCAAACAGGAATGCACCAGTTATTTTGCTTTTCGTTTTTGTTTTTCACTTAAGTGCCACTTACCTGTGACTTACGACTTCATATAGCATAAGTTTGCATAAGTTCTAGTCATTAGATACGTTTAAATGGAAATATGCATGCTAACAGTATATATTATTCCATGCTAATCAGTTTTTAAAATTCCTTGTTAGAATCCTTCACATAATTTCTAATGCAAAACCATTTCTGGAGTCATTTTTTTTTGTGACAAAAGAAGCTATTTCTGATTTGTAACCAACATCAACATTATAGCATTTGTATTAACTGATCTCTTCCCCTGCATTCTCTGCTGCATCATGAATCCTATTTACCCTTGAATGTTTTGTTCTTTAGCTTGATTTTAGACTCTTGTCCCCAGATTATCCTATTTTCTGATTTGCTCCCCACCAGCAGCTATTCTTTTGTGTTTCCTTTTCTTTCTGCTGGTTAGTGACATTGAACTAATTAGCCCAATCCCAACAATTAAACACCAAGACCCAAGATGCAGGGCATTACAAATGCCCTCAACATCTCATGTGAGCTTCATAATTTCTAAGAACTTAATGCAGCATAGACTTTCTAGTTAAGCTTTATCAAGTTATTCTTTGATCCTTAAGGTTGGCAGCGTTTAACACAACCACACTGGTTATCTTCTGAAAGCAAGACTTCCTAGGTGGATAGTTTCACAAACACTGGCACAGCCACTTAATATTTCATAGCCTCTTGGCAACTGGGTCATTTCCTTTGAACAGCAGCCCCAGTAAACTGCTTCCTTCTGGGGAAGCAGTCGTTAACAGTCTTGGATATCTGAAAGAGTCACGTAATAGTAATTTGTCTTGAGTGATTAACAATTTATGATTCTACCTGAGTATAACAAGCTAGTTTCATCCATGTTATTATGTTTGTACCTTCTTGGGAATGGGGAGGTTGAAAAATTTATTGAGATAGCACATCCTTAAACGTTCTTAAGATGACCTTTAATACAAAAATATTTGCTACCTCTGAGAACGTCACTAGGTGAAAAAATAACAGTTAAAGCTTTTCAATGTATTGCAGAAGTTGAGAGCATCTTAATAATGAGAATCCAATGCAGCTGTTTAAACTGCAGCATAATAGTTTTAGTATTTATTTCTTACAATGTTGGAGCAAAGAAAGTTTTAACCATATGTCTTCCCTTTACTCTTTTTATTGTATGCAGCTGAATTTGTTGTAAGAAGATAAAACTTCCTGCCTCTCAGTCACAATTCTCTGAAAATTTTATGATAAAAATGATTGGAAGAAAACTAGTATTTGTAAAGTAATTTCAGTTTGTAATTTGCTTGTGTTTATGCTAGTTAACAAAAGAGATGGGAAAACTGATTTTTTTTACATTTGCTTACATTTTAACTCTCCTTATCACTAAAGATTTTACACAGTCATTGGAATTCCTTATTTACAGTCAGCAGCATAGTTGTATATTTTGTCCTTCCCTTCCTCTGGTTATCCATTTATTGTGTTCTTTATAAACATTGCTTTACATAAAAATTTATAGACTCTATTCACAACTTGGATTATGATTAACATAAATACTGTTTAGCTTAATCTAGATTCTGTAGGATAACTCATAATATCAGTTATATGTTCCAAAGATTCTGACTACAAAAGAGGAAAGGAAATGATGCAGACAGTCTTTTCCATTAATTGAAGGCAGAGACTTCTTCCCTTTCCTCTCCAGAGTGTAAAATTCTTATAAAACCTCTTTCCTTAGGAGAGATAACTGGCTTGTGATGGCTGCAGTTCACCTTATATTAAGAGGTCTACTAATTCTGTTTTTCAAGGATGACGACCAGTATAACTCTTCACCAATGCCTTGGCTTAATCAGTAAAAAGTTCACTTACTTCATGAGAAGTAAGTCCTAAAGTTCACTTTAGGACCTTTCTGTGTTATCACAGCTTATCTCCCTTTAGACTTCAAACACTTCAAAATATGACTTCACTACAAAGCTTTCCCTTGGGCATTTAAACTAGATTTAATAAAGTTTGTTTTATTATAAATAGCTTCATTAGGTGGTAAGTCACACAAAGTAAAAAATAAAAGAATAAGAAGAAAGTTATTTTATTAAACTGCATATTGAATACTTCAGCTGAAATTGTAGAATGATTTTGTGCATGCAGCATAATGACTTGTGGCTGGTCTTCCTACCTTTAAACATGATGTTAGAGTCTGAATATTATTTTCATCTGATATTGGTTTTGTGGCCTGTGGTTGGTATGTTGTTAACATGGCCTTACCAATCTGGTAGTTGATATGGGCACAGCAATCCCTGGGTTACTAATAGTGTAGAAAAGAAAACTGATGTTAAATGAAAATGAGTCATTTAACTCATCTCATGTGGAAAAAGATAATAGAAATAATCTCATCCTACCTTCTCATTTCATATATGAGGATATTTAGGCCCATAGAGTTGGAATGGGTTGTCCAAGACTAATGGATAAAATGATTTTAGAGCCAGTGATAGAAAAAAGGTCTACTAATTGTAGATATCACTGGATAAATTTTTTTAATCAAGACCAAAATCAAACTTTTATTTGAGTAAATAATCAAAAGCACAAGAAAACTGTCCCAGCCAGGTAACTGTCTTCTTGTGCTTTTGATATTTACTCAAATGAATGGTTGATTTTGGTATCTTGATTTTTTTTTTTTTTTTTTTTTTTTGAGACAGAGTCTTGCTCTGTCACCCAGGCTGGAGGGTAGTAGTGCGATCTCGGCTCACTGCAAGCTCCACCTCCCAGGTTCACGCCATTCTCCTGCTTCAGCCTCCTGAGCAGCTGGGACTACAGGCACCTGCCACCATGCCTGGCTCATTTTTCATATTTTTAGTAGAGTCGGGGAGTATCTTGATGTTTTAAAAAAATTTTATTCAGTGATCTACAATTAAAAGACCTTTTTACTGTCACTGGCTATAAAATTAGTTTATCCATTAGTCTTGGACAAGTCATTCAACTTCTATGGGCTGCAATATCCTCATATATGAAATAAGGAGTGTATTAGTCAGGGTTCTCTAGAGGGACAGAACTAATATGATATATGTGTATATAAGATAGATAGATAGATAGATAGATAGATAGATAGATAGATAGAAGGGGAGTTCATTAAGTATTAACTCCCAAAATCACAAGGTCCCACAACAGGCTGTCTGGAAGCTGAGGAGCAAGGAGAGCCAGTCCAAGTCTCAAAACTGAAGTACTTGGAGTCCAGTGTTCAAGGGCAGGAAGCATCTAGCACAGGAGAAAGATGCAGGTTGGGAGGCTAGGCCAGTCTAGTCTTTTCACGTTGTTTCTTGTTTTGTTTTGTTTCTGCCTGCTTTATATTCTAGCCACTCTGGCAGCTGATTAGATGGTGCTCACCCAGATTAAGGGTGGGTCTGCCTTTCCCAGCCCACCGACTCAAATGTTAATCTTTGGCAAGATCCTCCCAGACACACCCAGGATCAATACTTTGCATCCTTCAATCCAATCAGGTTGACAGTATTAATCACCTCAAGGAGGTTGGACTAGATTATTTCAACTGTCTTTTTCCATATTCCAAAAGTATGTAGTTAAAGTGTAAAAGTTAACAAAACCCTGAGCCCCATTTAAATTTGCTTCTGGAGTTGGCCATGAGCTGTTATTACTGCAATTTCTCCTGGTCATACCACATCTATTCTCTTCTTCCTGTCCCTCCATCAGGCAAAGAAAACATAAAGAACTGCATGTAAACTTCTGCCGTATACATTATTTAAAAAGTTACTGGAAAGAAAAAAGAAATTGCACAGAATTTCCTTTAGTGCAGCTGTTTTAGGTCCTTCATGCCTGGCCTTTGAGCTTGCCATCCAGTAGAGATATGTAATGCTCTTTTAGTGAGTGAAGTATAGTTAAAATTTTCATTCAATTAGTCATACATACTTCACTTTGAACTTCCTGTGTATATTATTCTGTGCTCAATTAAACTATTCCTTCCCCCAAATTCCATTCCCAGACTTCTTATTCATACATAAAATCTTGTAAAAGTTTTTATTCCTCTCCCTAATAGTTTTTTGTTTAAGATGTAAGTTTATATACACACATTTTGATGGTTTAGATAACTTGATCAGATGATTATGTCAGTGGAGTCTGAGTGCTGAGCTTAGCCTAATTTTCAACTTTCTTACTTAGTATGCCATTATTTTCATGCAGTGGTTTAAGTATTTACTACAAATAAATGAATGATTCTTTGACTTTCATGCAGGGTTAAAATAACACATATTGCATATTAGCCAGATGTGGAGTAAGCAACTGACTAGCAAAGTGTATATATTCTGAGTCATATGGCCACTTTGAATGAAGATTACTTATAAGCCAGAAAAAGGGCTTATTCCTTTTTTTTAAATCTCAGTAATCTTTGAACACAAATCAAGCTTAATTGGAAGACCTTATAAACTTGAGTGTATGTGCTTATTATGTCAGCCAGTGTATTATTTCAAAACAGAAGATATTGTTTTAAGCCATAACACTTGAGTTAGTTCTTAATTCCTTAATTCTTTTAACTCATTAATTCTTTTAGAAGTTATAAATTTGAAATGTCTGATTAACTTGAAATGTCAACCAAACACTTGAAATTGAGCACATATTTTTTTGGAGCCAAATAAAATGTAAAGAAGTGTTAAGAAATGTTGAATATGTTTTTCAAATTGTGTTTTTCCTGTTCTTAAGCTTTGAGAATTGTCTGTGTTGACATGATAGTCTTGTTGCTAATTACTCAGTAGCTAATAGCTCTTCTATGAATCATCCCTAGAGTAAAAGTCATTGCAGAAGATAGAAATACATTTCATTTTATCATAAAGCTTGCTTTATCATTAATATAAAAACCAGAGTGGGGATGGGGTTGAATATCGATATAGAAATAACTTAGCATATAATTATTTATCCAACTCTCTTTGATGATTTGATTGAAGAACAACCAAAAAATGCTTTGGTTATGTTAGCTATGTAGAGCTGTGAGCCACAGAGCCCAGCTGCCTCTTCCTTTTGGATGTAGATTATGTGTAGGTTATATTTATAAAAAATCTGGCTGGGTGTGGTGGCTTACACCTATAATCCCAGGTGAGTGGATCCATGTGAGTAGAGGCTGAGGTGAGTGGATTGCTTGAGTTTGAGACCAGCCTGGGCAATATGGCAAAACCCCATTCTACAAAAAAGTACAAAAATTAGCCAGGCATGGTGGTGTGCACCTGTAGTCCCAGCTACTTGGGAGGTTGAGGCAGGAAGATTGCTTGATCCTGGGAGGTCGAGGGTGCAGTAAGCTGTGTTGTGCCATGGCACTCCAGCCTGAGTGACAAAGCAAGACCCTGTCTTCTAAAAAAAAAAATTAAAAAAAAAAAAGGAAAAGAAAAAGAAATTTCCTAAACATACGCGATTTATAAATAATGTTAAAGACTCCAAAAATAAGAGGGTGTTTAAACAAAAAGTATATTAGAGAATAATCTATACAACATGCATCAATCTCTGCATGAATGCAGATGCATAAATATATTCCTGTCTTCAAGTACCTCATAGGTTAGAGAATGCTTTTTCTAGACCATCTGATTTTCATAATTTCTGATCTTCCTTAAATGTCCTCAAGATTATTCTGAGAGTGGTGGTGTTTAACCTTTTGAGTCACCCTTTGTGCCTCATAAAAGCTTTGTTTACACTTTCCAGTAAAAAGGTGTGTACATATTTTTAATGGGCTCATAGAACCCTGGCTTTAAAACCTCACTTTTCAATTTTTAAAAAAAAGACTTTATTTTTTAGAGCAGTTTTATATTTTCAGCAAAACCCAGCAGAACTTACAGACATTTGCCATATTCCTTCTGCCCCTGCACATGCGTAGGCTCCCCTCATTATCAACATTCTCCACCAGAGCAGTACAATTGTTACAATTGCTAAACCTCCACCGACACATCGTCATCACCTAGAGCCCATGTCCAAAAGTTTTTTGATTGCTTATCCCTTTAATAAAATTATTAGAGCATGCATTTCCTTTGTAGATATATGATATATAATCCATATTATTATAAATATATATAGTGTGCATGCCCAAAGAATGTATATATTTAAAATCGTGTATACATACTATGCTACTTGTGTATACATTAGAAAACATATGTTGAGAAACTGAAAAAGAAAATAAACAATTAAAAACGAGTATGAAAGGGGTCTAATTTTTTTCTGCACAGTCCAGCAGATTGTGTTGTGTACCATCTGGGATACATGTATCCCTATTAGACACCTCTGGTCTGTACGTGTGCCAACTTTTGACTCTTTAATCTCCACATTAGTCTTGTTTTCTATGAAAAATTGAAGAAAAGAAGAGCTTCCTTTCCTTTCCTTTCCTTTCTTTCTTTTTTTATTTTTATCTTTATTTTTATTTTTTGACAGAGTTTCACCCTTGTCGCCCAGGGTGGAGTGCAATGGCACAATCTCGGCTCACTGCAACCTCCATCTCAAGCAATTCTCCTGTCTCAGCCTCCCAAGTAGCTGGGACTACAGGTGCCCACCACCACGCCCAGCTAACTTTTGTATTTTTAGTAGAGACGGGGTTTCACCATGTTGGCCAGGCTGGTCTCAAACTCCTGACCTCAGGTGATCCCCCCTCCTCAGCCTCCCAAAGTGCTGGGATTACATGCATGAGCCACCCACCACGCCTGGCCAAGAAGAATTTTCTTGTAACGCTATGTTACACCTTTGGACTGCAGATTATGTTTAGGTTATTTACTGAGTTGTTTTTGTACTTCCTTCTCCATTTTAAAGCCACCCAGTGTGGGTTTAACGCAAGAATTCTTACCTCCACAGAGAAGTCTAAAACTGAGGGTGAAATAAATGCTGCCTTTTCGATTCCCTCTAACAGTCACGTTCTGGGATTTAACTCCAAAAGATAGTGTTATGTTCTAACCCTGGTCAATATTGTAACTGGAAAGATATCTTGGACCAACTGCTTTTAATAAATGTTTCTTCACATTAAGAAGGTGGTAGTTATCTCAGTGTGTCTTGTTTTCATTCACTTTTCTCCAAAGGATGCTGACCTGTTGGATGTTGAAAGCAAACACTTTGAAGACCTGGAGTTCCAGCAGCTTGAACATGAGAGCCGTCTAGATGAAGAAAAGGAGAACTTGACTCAACAGCTCCTGCGTGAAGTTGCTGAATATCAACGGAACATCGTTTCTAGAAAGGTACTTTTTCCAGGTGTCATTCAATGTGAAAAATCAAAATATATTTCTGCTTAACATAGCTATGACATATGTCTGTCTGAATATCACATTTGACAGATTACGTAGTCTGCCATGTATGTGGCAAATGGTGTTCCAAATTAGACAAATTGAGACATATTACAGTTGTTACATAATGCTGTAGATGCATTTATGAATAGTACCTAATTGTTTCATTCACGTGAAAACCAAGGCATAGAAAATCAGGAATTCAGATATTGGTTTTAAACTATTTCTTTTTGCAATCATAGTAACTGGGTTCAGAATAATTCTATGAACAAAGTCTATTTTGGATTTTTCTCTGTTTTCATTGCTCAGTAGTTCTCAAAACTGGCTGATAGCTTATTACCATTAGAAGTAGAATGCCATGTGGATTACTACTGACTCCACCCAACCCCTAGCACTTAGATATCCAGCCCAGAATTCAACTTTGTTCCAGAATTTAGAATCATACCCAGGGCTCTGTACTAAACCAATAAAATTGAGGAAAGGAAAGACAAGAGAAGGTGTTTTCTTAAACTCTCAGTTTAAATAAGAAATTCCATTGTTTTTTTCTCATGAGGCGTACCCAAGATGTTGTAAAAAATTCATCGATAGCCTAAAACTAGATTTCCTGTTGACTTCTGGGTTCTTCAAGATAGGTTTTTAATCAGTCGATCTATATTAGCCTTCAGTAAAGAAAGTATTGAGGCTGACAGGTCAAAGAAATGCCTCACAGTCTCTTGGTAATAATCACTGCCCACCATCAACTAAAATGTAGTCACTGTTATTCCAGTGGTGAAAATTTTTTTCTCCCTTTTCTAGGACAGACTAGCAAACCTTTGAGTGTCTAATGTACATCTTCCTATGATCATCTCTTTTCCTCCAGGAAAAAATTTCTGCATTGAAAAAGCAAGCCAATCACATTGTTCAGCAGGCTCAGAGAGAGCAAGATCATTTTGTGAAAGAAAAGAATAATTTAATAATGATGTTGCAAAGAGTAAGTATTTCCTTTTCAGCACTGGCTACAGTAAAACATAGGTTCCAAATTCAGGGAAATTGCCCCCTTTAAAGTAAACACCTTTTAATAGTGAATGTCTATACAATTTAAGGAAGATTTTTATATACTTTTTTATTTAATCCTCCACATTCATAAGCTGATACTCTGAACTATTAACTAGCATTCAGAAAATAAGCAAGGATGTTTTCTTCATGCTTTTTTCACATTGTAAAAATCTTAACGATGGAAAGTCTGTATTTTTAAATGATTGTTTTCCTCTTTTTTAAAAAAGTCATACCATTCATCAAATAGTTAAAATGCATTCTAACACCAATTTAGGGTGGACTTAAGGAAAAATGTCCTTTTTACTACTGTCAAATATTTTGGCCCAGCTGATCTGGTGTTTTGAACTCTAGTTATTTGTTCATGGGTCTTTCTAGCAAATGTCACATTGCATTTAGTTTGAATTAATTGGGTAGGTAGAAACTCCATATGGTATGGTCAAGGGGTGGCAAGATCATCCTCACCAAAGAGACTATGTCCTCTTCTGGTCCAACACCTAAAGTGACTACCTGTAAAGGGATTTCTTTGCCCAAAGACATTGAAAAGCAAGCCGTAGCCTAACTCTCTGACATGACCCCGGTATCATTTCAGCAATAAGACACCAAACATTAAAGTTAATGGGGCTAGTCTCAGATCTGAACCCTGCATTTATGCCACTGCATTAGCAATATGACACTTGGGACCATGAGAATGGCATGCAGAGAAAGACCAAATCCAGAAGGAAGTATTAAAGGATGAAGCTGTACCATAGTCCCACCTAAAATAAATGAGTATTCATTCCCTTCTTAGCTATTTTAGGTTAAGAGGAAAGGGGAAGGCCTGACACCATGGCTCATGCCTACAATCCCAGCATTTTGGGAGGTTGAAGCAGGCAGATCACTTGAGGCCAGGAGTTCAAGACCAGTCTGGCCAACATGGAAAAACTCTATGTCTACCAAAAATACAAAAAATTAGCTGGGCATGGTAGCACACACCTTGATCCCAGCTACTCAGAAGGCTGAGGCAGGAGAATCACTTGAATCTGGGAGGCAGAGGTTTCAGTAAGCCAAGATCATGCCACTGCACTCCAGCCTGAGCAACAGAGTGAGACCCTGTCTCAAAAAAACAAAACAAAACAAAACAAAACAAAAGGAGAAGAGAGAGGAAATAGATCCTTCACATAGAATTATAAGCCCATTTGGGGTGCCCCAGCAGCCCGCACATATTTCTGACAACTTCCATCTTCCTCTTTTTCCCACCTCGAAGTCTCTGAATGGAGTTGTATTTTCCCTCTCTATCCCTTGCTCTGGGGATGAAATCTGTTTCCATTAGCATCCTCACTACTATTTTACCTTTGGAACACAATATTCAAAGTCACAGGTTAACTTAGATAGTGTAATATGTAGTATTTAATATTTAAAATTTTAGCCAAAATAGAGAAAAACTCCCAGTGATAGATTTTATAAAATGGGTAAGCACAATCACAGATATAATATTTTCCTATTAAAATATATAAGATACAATTAGATTGTAAAAATTGTGGTCTATAAGTATTAAGATTTTTATTTTTCTAAACTGATCTATAGATACATTTTAATCCCAATCAAAATCCCAACAGACTTTTTTCTAGAAATTGACAAGTTGATGCTAAAATTTACAGTTGATCTTCATTATTCAGGGATTCTATGTTTGTGATTATGTCTACTTGCTAAAATGTATTTGTAACCTCTAAATTGATACTTGTGGCACTTTTGCAGTCATTCACAGAAATACCTGGAGTGGTGAAAATTTTGAGTTGGCCAATATGCACATTCCCAGCTGAGGTTGAACAAGGGAGCATCCCGCCTTCTTGTTTTCTCTCTCATACTGTAAATGAGTGTTATTTTTGTGGATTATTTAATGCCATGTTTTTACGTTTTTGTTTTTTGTTGGTGATTTGCTGCATAAAATGCCTCCCAAGCATAGTGACTAAGTGCAGTGAAGTGCTTCTAAATGCAAGAAGGCTGTGAAGGGCCTTATGGAGAAAATACGTGTCTTAGATGAACTTCATTCACGCTGTTATAGTGTTGCTGACTGTCAGTTCAAGGTTAATGAATCAGCAATATATATCTTAATATACAAATAATAATATATAGTATAATATGTTAATATTAATATATAATGGTATATAATATGTAATATTAAGTAAGTGTCTTCAAACGGAAACACACATGAAACAAAGTTCAGTATTGATCAGTTGATGAAAATATTGTGACTAGAGGCTTGCAGGAACCCAACCCTGTATTGTTTTAGGGGCAGTGGTTCAGTATTCACTAATTTCAGTGTTCGTGGCAAAATTATATAACATAGTTACCACCAATAATCAACTGCATATGAAAATGCAAAGAGCCTAGAACAGCCAAAACAACTTTGAACGAGAACAAAGTTGGAGGATTTGTACTCTTATTTCAAGGTTTACTCTGGAGCCATTTAAGGCAGGGTGGTACTGCCATACAAATACATGTATATTAAATAGATCAATGAAACTGAACTATAAGTCCAAAAATGGACCCATACATATATACTGTCTTTTGATTTTTGACAAAGGCACCAAAACAATTCTTTCAAAGAAATGATGCTGGATCAACTGAGTCAACATGGAAAAAAAAGTAAACCTCAATATTGTCATATGATATATGTAAATTCATTCAAGATATATCAGAGACCTCAATATAAAAATTAAAATGATAAAGCTTCCAGAACAAAATATAAGAGTGAAAGTTTACTTTTATAGCCTTGAGTAAGCAAAAATTTTTAAAAGAAATGACAAAAGACTTGTATCCACAACATATTAAGAACCTGTACACATCAATAATAATAGCAATACATCAATAAATTTTTTTAAAAAACAGGCAAAAGTCTTGAATAAAGATTTTACCAAAGAACGTATATGAAGAACCGAAAAGTTACATGGGAAAATACTCATCATTAGTCATCAAGGCAATATGAATTAGAACAACAATTTAATTCCATCTCATAAACTAAAATGACTAAAGAAGTGAAAATCTCAAATGTTGACAAGAATATGAAGCAACTAGAACTTTCATACATTGCTGACTTGAGTGTAAAATATACAGTCCTTTCACAGAACTTTATAGAAGTTTATTTTAACATCCATCTATGACCCAGCAACTCCACTTCTAGATATTTACACAATATAAATGAAAACATGTCTTCATATAAAACTTCTTCAAGACTGTTTAAAGTAGTTTTTTCCATAATAGTAAACAAAACAAAACAAAACTAGAAAACCTAAATATCCATCAATAGGAGCATGGATAAGCAAATTGTTAGGTATATTTATATAATACAGGACTCCTCAACAATAAAAAACAGTGAACTACTGATGCCTGTAACATGGAGTGAAAGAGGGCTGACACAAAAGAATGCATATTGTATGATTCCATTTATATAAAGTGGTTACATTTTATAAGTAGGCAAACACTTTATAACACAGGCAAAACTAGTGTTAAGGCCGTGGAAATCAGAACAATGCTTGCTCATAAGGGTGGAAGTTGACAGGTAGGGGCATGAGGAAATGATTGGGGTGACAGAAATGCTCTTTATCTTGTCTAGGATATTATTCCATTTGTTCAAACTCATAAATTTATATACTTAAGATCTATGCATTTCACTGAATGCACTTTTTTTTTTAATTAAAAATATTTTAGCCCCAGCCATGGCAAGGACACATATACAAATTATAGCACAATAAAAAAGTGACCCATAAATGTTGCTTAATACCAAATTAATTCAAGATGAATCATAGACAAATGTAAAAGCTAACACCATAAAGTTCCCAAAAGAAAATATATCACTGGGTTGTGATATTACATCATCAGATATTATGTCATCAACAACATCATGTGATATTACATCATCAACAATTATGTGTTATTTGGAAGGATTAAAAGAAAAAGACATTAGAAAATAATTTTTGTTGGTTTTTTTTTTGTTTGTTTTGTTTTTTCTTAGACAGAATCTTGCTCTGTCTCCCAGGCTGCAGTGCAGTGGCGCGATCTCGGCTCACTGCAACCTCCGCCTCATGCCATTCTCCTGCCTCAGCCTCCTGAGTAGCTGGGACTACAGG
Organism: Homo sapiens; assembly: GCF_000001405.40. Taxonomy (NCBI): domain Eukaryota; kingdom Metazoa; phylum Chordata; class Mammalia; order Primates; family Hominidae; genus Homo; species Homo sapiens. Next base: position 111,944,817 of record NC_000003.12, read on the forward strand.
TGCCTGCCACCACGCCTGGCTAATTTTTTTGTATTTTTAGTAGAGACAAGGTTTCACCATGTTAGCCAGGATGGTCTCAATCTCGACCTCATGATCTGCCCGCCTCAGCCTCCCAAAGTGCTGGGGATTACAGGCGTGAGCCATCACACCTGGCTGAAAATAATGTTTTTAAAATTTTATTTTAAACACATTTTTAAATGACTCTATAAAATTTATTAGGAATTAAAGGTTATATTGCTAAGTATGTTTGGAAACAACTCATGCAGCATATCAGCTAGCAGAAGATGACCTCTAGTATACAGATTTGAAATTTTGACTGAGTATGATGAGAGGAAATAGAAATGGGGGAAATATGTGAGAATCTGATGTTAGTCTCTAATGCAAAGTCACCATGCTTCTCAGTTGCATCGAAGGTTGACTTTTAAGTTTAATAGGTTTTGTATTCCTTCAGGAAAAGGAGAATCTTTGTAATTTGGAAAAGAAATACTCCAGCCTCTCTGGGGGGAAAGGGTTTCCCGTTAACCCCAATACTTTAAAAGAGGTAAGCTATGATTTTACATGTCGCTTTATGTTGCCTTAGAAATCAGGAGATGTATTTCAGCTTTATTTGATTAGCTGAATAATAAAAATATTAACTCAAAGGACCTGTGAAAGCACTCAATGCTTGGATGGTTTCCCTGCCTTTCATTATGTATGCTTTGAGGATTTCAGAGATTATCCTTGTGTCTAATGCAGATGCACATTGTGTGTGTGTATGTGTATGTGTGTGTTTGTGTGTGTGTGTCTACTTTGCTGGGTGGTGACATTGTGGGTTAATCTGGGGTTTCAAAAACTTGAAGATCCAGACCAAGATGAGTCTTAAATTCTCCTTTTTCCTTCCTGAGTCTCCTTTCTCCCTCCCCTCTCTTATTTTGCTTCTCCTTCTCCTGAGTCTTACAGAACATGAAAATGCCTGCAAACATTTTAGAAGGTGGTCTGGTTTCTTTCTTTTCCCTATTTCCCCACCCCCGCAACTGTTGTTTCTGCCATTTTCCCCTCTAAACTGGAAAGTCCTATTTACAGTAAACTGTACATACTCTTTATCTCCAATATCCACCTTTCCCCAGTCCCCATCACCACTTTGCCCACCAGATATCTTAAGGAACTACACTGCCACACTGGGAGAATATTTTAACTCTAATTTGGAAAATTATAACTGAGAAAAAAAATAGTTTATATATATATATATTTTTTGAGACAGAGTCTTACTGTGTTGCCCAGGCTGGCATGATCTCAGCTCACTGCAACCTCCGCTTCCTGGGTTCAAGCAATTCTCCTGTCTCAGCCTCCTGAGTAGCTGGGACTACAGGTACCCGCCACCACACCCAGCTGATTTTTGTATTTTTAGTAGAGACGGGGTTTCGCCATATTGGTCAGGCCAGTCTCAAACTCCTGATCTCAGGTGATCTGCCTGCCTTGGCCTCCCAAAGTGCTGGGATTACAGGCGTGAGCCACTGTGCCCAGCCTATATTTATATTCCTTATACTTATTGTTTTTCTAAAAAGCTAAAAGAAAAGCTTGCTTCTACTTACGTGTTTGCACAATCAAAAAAAACCCTTTAGACAGTGGAGTTTGGACTCTTACATAGAAAATATTTTTGTGTGTGTAAGTATATGAAACAAAATGCTCATCACAATATTAAGTGTGACTATATGTGTACCTCAGAAGCATTTTGTGAAATATTTCTTCCAAAGCTTTATTAGATCATTCAGTTTCATAGTTTCTTTTCATTATTCGGAACGTGGAACTGTCAGGTTCAATGAACAAAGCGTGGTTGTGAATGGAATGTCATGGCCTAAGACAATGTTAGCAAGGTGGGTAAGGGTGCAGGTCTTGTGAGTCTGTTAAAGAAATATGGTCTACTGCATGTGTAATGGGAGGCCTTTAAGTGGTTTTAAGCAGGGAGGTGACATTTGCTATCCATTTGTTAAAGATCACTCTGGGCTGCTCTGTGACTACTGGATCATAAAAAGTAAGAGAGGGAGATGCAGGGAAATTGTTGTGGAGATTACTGCAGTAGCATAGGCTAGAGATGCTGGTGGCTTGAATTGGAGGATGGCAGAGAGATAGAAGGAGTTAGCTGGATTAGCAGGTATTTTGGAGGTAGAGTTGACAGTTCACAGTTCTTGCTGATAGATTGGATGTTGGGATGAAGTAAATAAAGGAAGGTGTCCGGAATCATGCCATTATTCCAGTTTGAATAATGAAGTAGATGGTAAGCACCTTTTAGTGAGATAGGGAAAACTGGGGAAGGAATTGTTTAAGAGGGAAGATTTGGAGTTGACTCTGGACATACAGAGTTTGAAGAGCTTGTGGCATCCAGATGAATTGGATGGGCTCTAAAGTCTTTTCGTCTCCTAATAGAAGAATGAAGTCTTTCCTTTTCTGTTAATGAGTTGCTCTTTATTTCCTGCAGACATTCTGATGTCAAAAGCACATTTAGTTTGTTTTACTATTGTTGTGTATCTGCAACTCTTCTGCTTGTTGAGTACAACAATGAGTTGCTATGAGAACACATGGCAATTCTTGTGCTGTGTGTTCACTTTCCTGTACAAAGCAGACTTGACTCACAAGATGTTTTTCTTTTTTTCTTCTGCTCTCTCTTTCATTCTCTCTCCTTTTTCTTTTTTAAAGGGGTGATTGATTTATAACCTCTTTTAAAGACCTCCCAGGTTTTAAAGCAGTTTACATTTTTGAAGCAATTAATTAAATTGTATGGTTTATGACTCATATAAATAATTAAAACTTGGCTTCAAAACAGTCGACTATTAACTGAGCAAAAGAAAAACTCAAAATTGTTCATTTTCTTTCTGATTCAGTATTACATATTGAATGAACTTGACCTAGTTGACTACTTCTTTTCTTCAGTTTAACATTATAAAACTTTACGTGATATCTATCCTGCCTTCTGAAGTGCAAGTCTCTGACACATCCAATTTATAAACAATCAACTCTAGCATTCTCCACTTTGTTATCAACCCTTTCAAGGTTTTTACCAAAAATCAAGGTTTTTTATTTTTCAGCCTAAAATTTGTAAAAGGATTGATGGAGGCATGGAAGAATCTTTATGTCAAATTTAACTCAATTTCAGCTTTAAAAGAGAGGTGTTATTTTATATAGCTTTTTCACACTGTTTTATTGGGGTGGTGAAAATCATGATTGGTCTGTATAATTACTTTCCATGAAAATTGACAAGTGCCTTTTCCACAGATTCGGGAGTTCTGCTTCTCAGATATTTTGATCCGTGGGTATTTTCTCTAAGCTGAAGCCAGAACTGAATTATTGAGTTCAAAAGTAACTGGAAATTCTCTGTCCTATGGGTAGAGATGGGGGTTAGGGAGGCTGCCTTGAATTGAAACATACCCTGGTTGCAACTCTACCTTAGGACTCCGTGTGTGTGTGTGTGTGTGCATGTGTGTCTGTGTGTTTGTGCATGCACACATTTGTTTTGTTAGGGAAGACTCACCTGCATGAAAGGACAGTGTTATTTTTATTCTCATTTGGTTGAGATGCCCAAAAGCTAGAACCCACTGTAAATAATTACTGTTTTAAAAATGTTTTCTTAGTGTAAAACCCAGTAGCCCTCAGCCCATTTTCCTCACACTTTAATTCATCAGGAAACAGAAACGGTGAAAATCTAAGAATGAAGATTTGTCGGAAAGGCTCTTTAATTAGGGAATGAGTGATTGCATTGTCAATTTTACATCTTGGTGTACTATTACATCTTGGTGTGCTATTACTTTAAATGTATATGTTGTTGACAACCTTAATCCATCAACAGAATGAATGCTGATACTTCTGGATATTTTAAAATAGAAGATTTTGGGTTATTTATACTACAGTTATCTTGATTTCATCAGAAAAATTATGTTTAATACTTAGAATGCCAATTTTCAAGATTAAGCAATGTAAATCCATTTTAATTGCTGATTATTCCTTTAATGAAACATTTGATAATACCACAGATATCTGGCTGTGCCGCTCTAAGCTAACTTCATTGTACTGGGAACATTAATACTCTCGCATGCCTCAGCTTTTGCTTTCTTTGTGTTTAACTTCTGAATTCCTCCTTTTAGGGCTATATCAGTGTAAATGAGATTAATGAGCCGTGTGGCAATTCCACGAATCTATCCCCTTCCACTCAGTTTCCTGCTGATGCTGATGCTGTTGCCACTGAGCCTGCCACAGCTGTGCTGGCGAGCCAGCCACAGAGTAAAGAGGTGTGTAGGCATGACGTTTCATTCATTCACTGCTTTTCTTCATGTCAGAAATTAACCCACGGCCAACTGAAAATGAGGTCCACGAGAACGTGCATGACAAATGTATATCTGTTTGGCCAGAGGGGTAGGGTAAGGCTGAGTTTATAAAGTATACCAATTTGGGGGTAATGCTCTGCCAATAAAAAATTCTAGAAACCATGAAATTTATGCTACGGAGTGGAGTACTAGGAGAAGTAAGTCAAAGAAATATGTTCTATGTCTTAGCACTCTAACTCAACTTAGTTTTCTTATAAATTAAAAAGCCTTTCTAAAATTGTTGATTTGAGTTGCCTTTTCAGTTTGACTTTGTTTTCGATTTTGTTTTGTAACATGGATGCTTTTAAATATTAGGCCTTTTAAAAGCCTTCTAGGGGAGGGGTCAATAATAATAAATTAAAATACCTTCAGTGATCCAAGTCGCTTACAGTGTGGGATTTTAATAAGAGGCTAAATTGAAAGATATTGCCCATCAATTGTAACTTCTTAATTAAAATATAACAAAACAGAACAAACTATCAATTTCATTTCTATGTCTTATTCTTTCATTTCATGTGGACACATATATACCTTTTCTTTCTCCTATAAAGCAAAGATCACCTGTCTATTCTGGATTTGTGTTTCCTTCCGCTCTTTCTCCTCATCCTATCACTCAACATACATCAGCCCCATGGCCTGAATTCATGGCTACATCTGTCGATCCTTTACCTTTAAATGACACACCTCCTCCTTTACCAGCTAAGAAACACAGAAGGCAGCAGCAGCAGCAGGAGCAACAGGTAATTAGGAACTGGAATTTAGAGTTTGGGAATGTTATTTTGACAACGAAATTACTTATGTGAAATCTTTTCTTCTACTTTCCCAAAGGCATTTTTAAAAAGGCAAGTTGCATACTTCTCTGATTTTTTTTTTCCTCTTAAGAACATTTAGTGTGTTCTAAGAGTGTTAGAATTGTTGTAAGGTTTTGATACCTTGAGTGTTCCCTACTGGCTTTTATATGTTTGAGCACTTTTTATACCCTCATCCTTCAGTTACCATTCAACCAAAATATTGCAACTTATCTCAGATAGTTCTCAAAATACTAGCAAGCATTTCTATAAAATCCATAGTATAAAGAGTTATCTTATCAACACAAAATATTTTTATTATACATAGTTGAAACCATAATAGACATCATTCCCTTGTTACTGTGTCAGAATTTGTTAAACGTTTTACTCCCTTAATCAGAGTACCTTTGTTTTAATCTGTTTTATAAATTTGTGTATCTCTTTACATCCTTCTAATGATCCCATGAAGTAAAAATTATCTCCATATTAAAGTTTTGGGAACTGAGGCTCAGTGAGGTTAAGTAGCTTGTCCAAGGTCACACCACAAATAGTGCATTTGGTCCATAAATCTAGTTTTTATTCACCAGATTTTTAAATAAATAATTTTTTATTCTAAGTGTTGCCTTCCTTTTAGAACACTCAGAGTACATTGATGCTTGGGTATTCAAAAAAAAAATTTGTTTTGAGACTTCCTTTCGATTATAATCAAATACCTACAGGAATTTGGTGCCAAAAGATCCTAAGGAGTCATTGCACTGATGTAGGCGAGCTCTGGTTGGTCATGCTTAGCCCTTATGTTTCTTGAAGGTACCTTTACCATCAATTACCATTTGTTAAAGGACTATATCTCTCACTGCCTTAAGGTTACTGCCACCTGGGCTGATATGAAAGGATATTGGTGAAAGGTGGATGAAGTAAGTTATGTATACAAGGAAGAAACAAGGAGAATGGAAGACCTAAATGCCTTCAATTTTGATGTTAGGTTTATTTCTTTAACAACTTCATTCAAGAAATCTCTAGTAGCAAAACAATCACAGTTTACAAACCTGCTGTTTTCTGTCAAATTTCAGTTAGACTGTGTTTTCATTGGGGTTTCTTTTCTATTTTATTAAGCTATCATTATGGAATGTTGGAAAGTTATGAATTTCAGAATTTATAATATTTGGTCATAGTGGGAGCTAGATTGAAGTGTTCTGATGTCATTTTACTATCTACAAGGAGCATTAATCAGCCAAACTGCAAAGTATTATTATCATCTTAGTATGGACTACCTGGCCATGAATTCTAGCTCTGCCGCTGTCCAGCTACATGACTTTGGCCAAGTTTATTTCACCTCTCTGCCCCCTAGATTTCTCATCTGTAATATAGAGATAGTAATAGTACCTACCTCACAGGATTATTATAATAATTTAATGAGATAACGTATATAAACCATCATACCTGGCACATAGCTCTTAATTAATTGATTAGCTAGTATAAACAGTTAATTATAAAGTTAAAATGCAGATTTTTATGATTGGCATATTTGAAGACTGTTTATAAATTTGCTAATTCAAATTTGCATTAATTTTTGTGCATTTCAAAAGCATGAGCTTTTAAAATGACTTCAAAATGATCAGACCTAAAAAATCTTTAATTAAGAAATCACTTTACTATATATATTTATGTTTTATTTCTTTAAAAAAATAAAGCAATGTTAAGATTTTGTGAAGCTAAGTGGTGGGAATATGAATATCTCTTAAATTATCCTCTATTCTTATCTATATGTTTCAAATATATTTCAGCAAAAATTTTTTTGAGCTCATTTTTGTGTTTTTTCTTTCTTTTTTTATTTTCATAGTTTTGGGGGGAACAGGTAGGGTTTGGTTACGTGGATAAGTTCTCTAGTGGTGATTTCTGAGATTTTGGTGCACCCATCACTTGAACAGGAAATCGTTTTACTGTTAAAGACATTTCTAGGGTGAGGCCAAGAAAAATTTGAGTAAGTTTCAAGTGGACAAAAATCTTGCTTTAGAAATCTGAAAAAAATTAAATAGTCCATTAGAGGATTTTTAAATATGAGAGATTACTGTAGGGGCTCCTTGGCCAAGATCTTTTTAAAAAGTAACCTAGAATGATGCCTTTTAGGGAAACTTTATGTGGATTTGGAGTGTGTTTATGTGACTGAAATATTATTACAACTTTCAAACAACTTCCCTGTTTACTCGCTTTTTCTCTTTTTCTCCTTTTCCCCCTTTCTTGTCCTCTTCTCACTGGTATCTGTGTCATCACACAGAACTGCCCGGAAGGGGAGAAAGTGCTTACGTGCTTTGTCCACTGGCTGTTCTGCCATCCACATGGCGACCATCATAATAATTTGTAAGTTGTCCTGAGGCCCCAAGGCCGCAGGCACTACAGAAGTGAAAGGTGGAATTTTTTAAAGATTTCTAGGTTCAGCATAAATTCCTACAGTGTTTAGTATCTAATCAAATACTAGCTCAAATCTATCAGTGAACACAATATATGTTGAATAACTTTAAGAAAAATTCTGTTAAAATTCCAGTTTTTTTTGTAAGTGCATAATTCTTCATTTCTTCAGTCACCTATTACAGTTAGTCAAGTTTTGCTATTTTGCTTTGCATTTGCATTTAAAGCACTTTAGAAGTCTGGAAGAAAGGAAAAAACAGCATAAAGAAGGCCTCTATCTGAGTGATACTTTGCCTCGAAAGAAAACCACATCTTCCATCTCCCCACATTTCAGCAGTGCTACTATGGGGAGAAGCATCACCCCAAAGGTAGGACCTGGGAGAAACCACGGGCTTCCCATTCCATGAGTCTTCTTGTCATTATATTCACTGATGTGTAAAGGCCTTTAAAGAAAAGTGCTAAATAATAAATCATTACATTTACTTGTTAGGCAGACATCAGGACTAAATCTCATTTTCTACCTGTTCAGAGGACATCTGAAACTGTATGCTCTGGGGCCAAAGAACATGCTTCAGGGTATTTTCTACCAGCACAACCCAGGCGATGAGTGGCATTCACTTACATGATGGACTTCCGTGGCTGCATCCCACATCTGGAGATAAGATAGGATGTAGCCTCTGTGTTCCAGGAATAACAGCAACAAATATTTATTCAGACATTTTCATGTAGCTGACGCTGGGTTGAGCCTTTTATGTGGATTGCTTCATTTGAAAATCCAGCAGCACTGGGTAGTAGACTACTGATTATTATTCCAGTTGTATGTATGGATAAACTGAGGTGTATAAGGCTAAGTGACTAACCAAGGAGCCCTCAGCTGGTATGTAGTGGAGTGGAATGTGAACCTATGCGACCTGATGCCCGCCCAAGCTCTCCCTCAGGTTCTGCCGACATGCCTGAGGGGATCATTGTGGCAAGAGAAGAGGCAGGTGTGAAGGAGGTTCTGAATGAGACAGACTTTTGAGCCCTTCCCCTGCCCTTAATCAGAGTAACTTTGTTTTAATCTGTTTTATAAATTTGTGTTTCAAGTACATTTTATCTACATGAAGGATTTTGCTATTTTTAAAAAATGCTAAAACCATTAGGGTGTTAATAGATTTCTTCAGTTTCAACCCACCGCATAACAGGGGATAAATAAAAATGGGTGCATTTGTAACAAGAGTAGCTCTTCCCTGTTCTTTTGCATGGTGCGCATGCATTCTTGGCCCTGCATCTGCCCTCTGCTCCTTATGCATGAAGAACTTTCAGCCATTCTTTCAGGTGATTTTGGACAGTGTCTTCCCCAGCTGTCTTCACTTTTGGAATTGCTGCTGTTGGAGGAAGTGCTTTGATATTGCGACTACCCTGGAACTTCTCGGGAGGGCCAGTAACTGGCCTTTACCACTTAGCATCAACAAATGAAATGCAAAGACTTACCTTCTCTGCCCTGTACACTTAGATAGGAGCTTTGGAAACAGGGATGTGGCCATTTCCTAAAGGTCCATTCAGCCTGCAGCTTGCCTGAAGTACTCCCTCCTGCTTCCCGCAGGCCCATCTGCCCCTAGGACAGAGTAACAGCTGTGGAAGTGTGCTCCCTCCCTCACTGGCAGCCATGGCCAAAGACTCAGAATCTCGGAGGATGCTCAGAGGTACGTACCTTTTAAATCAAGTGTCATGGCCTTTTGTTAAGCATTAGAATTCTTCAGGGGGAGGAAGTGAGAACAGGGGTAGGGATGATTAGAGGAGGGATCAACCAAAGGCCTAATTTTACTCTTAATGTGTTCTCTTTCGGGAGGGATATATAACTTTTCCTATTTATACATATAGCTGGTATATTTTAAACATTCCCGTTGTACTTTATAGATTTGATAGAACTCTGAAACCAGAAAGACCCCTAGAGAATTACTAACCTTCCCATTCGATTAATAGAAAGAAAAGAGAGACCAGTGAGATCCAAGGAGATTACCAGGGCACTTAACCAAGATCACTCACCTGGGTTGTGTCTGAGCCACTATGTCGAATGAACCTTGTGCTAAAGAATCATTGAGCTGACACAGCAAATATAGCATTAGTGGCCCAGAACAGAATTCTTATAGGCCTTTTAATGTAGATTTGAGCTTTTATACTTCATAGTTGTTATGTTTCAGGTAGACTTTGACTCTCAGCATTTTTTTTTGTAGTAATACATTACATTTATAATGGGATTCTCAGATAGTCTTCATGGGGCTAGAAGAAATTACTGTAATGTAGTTCCAGGGCTAAGCTTCCTGTTGAGAGGATTAGATTTCTTGTGTTAACACAATAGTTTAAGTCAACAAGTTACATTGCCCTAACTTTTGAGCAGGCACGATGCTAGGTGCCAAGAATGCAAATGAATGATAGGAAGCTTGCCTTTGAAATGTTTATAGTCTATTGAGGAAGAAAGACACAGAACAGATGATTTCAATAAAATGTGGTAAATGAAATAATGGCGGTATGCCCAGGATATAAATGGAAATGCTTTGGGGATGGCAGGCATTTGGCCTTCAAATACATTCATGCAGTGATGGGATTCAAATCCTCCCCTCTAAGCAGGCTGGAATTCGATTCTAGCTCTTTGGCCTCTCTGCCAATGGTACTGAGAGATAACACTGGTTTTCCATCAGGGGAAAATATATATATACACACACACACACACGCACATATATGTAATACATATATGCTACATATACATACATAAATTTATATATATGTGCACATAATGTGTATTGTGTATGTATATATGATATATATATATATATCTCTCACTGGAACGAGGTTTTCAAATCATTACTAAAGGCGATTTAAAAATTAGAGGGTATAGTATTCATAATAGGTTTATAATGTGTAAGAGACATTTGCAGTGGTAATATTTGAATCAAATAAACTGATTGAACTATTTTATTTTCTTTGCCATAATTTCTTAATAAGCTAAACATATTCTTTTGATGTTTATAAATAATAAACATAAATCCATCTATTTTGGCTCTCATTTATCACTGTTAAGTTGTGGGTCAAGTCTATTTGCTGTTGAAACATTTTTCTGTAATATTTACATATAAATATTTGAGACAAGGTCTCACTCTGTTGTCCAGGCTGGAATGCAGTGGTGTGTGATTATAGCTCACTGCAAACTCTGCCACCTGGGTTCAAGTGATCCTCCCACCTCAGCCTCTCGAGTAAGCTGGAACTATAGGTGTGTGCTACCACACCTGGCTGATTTTTGTATTTTTTGGCAGAGATGGGTTTTTGTCATGTTTCCCAGGATGGTCTCGACCTCCTGGGCTCCAGTGATCTCCCACCTTGGCCTCCCAAAGTGCTGGGATTACAGGCATGTATTAGACTTCTTTTTAAATATATTTTTCCCACCGTCGGAAGACATCAAAGCTTAGATTGGCCACAACACCAACAAAGACCATTAAGCATTTTCATGTACTTCAGGTGTTTAATTGAAAGAGCAAGCATTTGGGAAAGAGGGTGGGATCACAAATTACTATACTCCATGTTAAAAGCATTTTCTTGCCAGGTGTGGTGGCTCATGCCTCTACTCTCAGCACCTTGGGAGGCTGAGGAGGGAAGATTGCTTAAGAATTTGAGACCAGCCTGGGCAACATAGTGAGATCCCATCTCTACAAGTAATTTAAAAATTAGCCAGGCATGGTGGCATGCACCTGTGGTCCCCACCACTCAGGAGGCTGAGGTAGGAGGATCGCTTGAGCCTGGGAGTCAAGGCTGTAGTGAGCTGCCATCATGCCACTACACTACAGCCTAGGCAACAGAGCAAGACCCTGTCTCAAAAAATAAATTAATAAATAAAAGTATTTTCTCAAAGAGTAAGAAAAACTAGAACTTTATAGTAAATAAATAGATTAGCAAAACTCAAGAGCCATTAACATTACCATTTAAGAGGATTTTGTGAGAATATGGTGAAACCGAGGGAAGGTTTGATCTCAGTTATTCTAATCTGTTTTCCCCTGAAGTAATGGGAATCCCATGCCAGTTTCATAGAGGAAAACTGAGCTAATTCCCTTAGGCCACATTACTGATGTTCCCGTTGCAAAATCAAATCTGTCTTTGATTTATCTTTAGTGCTCTTGTTCTTTATTGATACGTCCTTTATGCAGCTCAGAAGACTGCAACTTCAGTCTTTCTCTGCTGTAACTGTGAAGTGCTCTTCCTCTTGAAGAGTTTCATGTAATTCTGATGGGGCAGCTTCTGAGGAAATAAAGAACCATTATATGCGTGTTGGTCCAAGGAGATGTGTTCTGAAAAGACAGCCTGCTGCCTTTGGCTCCCCTACCCAGAGGAGGAGAAGTCAGGGTCTATAGTTCTTAGAACCCCAGCAGACTGTAAAACTGGCAGGATTTTCTACACAGCCCAAACTGGTGGTTCACAAAAAACCCAGGAGGGATGGATCATAATTTCATTTAGAATTGTTTGACTAGCACTTGTTAACTTTATTAAAATAGCAAATACAAGTAAAATTCTATGGATTTGAAAAAAATTATACCTGGCATATTTTCACTAACTCACATTTAGTAGACTTTAATCATCTTTTAAACTTACACAATTAACTTAAATACACCTTTTTTTGCTGCTATTCGTAATGGATACATCAAGGATGATGGTGTAAGTATAAGCCTTAATCAGCACTGTTAATAGAACTGACAGCGTGAGTCGTGCAAAGAACTTTGAGAGGAGAGTTTAAAACAGAGAGCTGAGAAACTCAGCTTCTGAAGTTGGAATGGTTATTGGCTTTTGAACAACTTGTGAACTATTCCTTTGTCAGCTTTAGAATGAATGAAATCTTTGTCCTTTTGTTTTTTGTTAAATACAGGAAAGTCCAAGAAAGGTATGACAACCTCCTTGTGTGGTGTTTTTGTTTCCAGCAAATATTGAAAGGTCATTGTCAAGTCATGTTTAAGAAATGATCAGATTTAACACTGTGCAGTGGTGGATTTTTAGTCTAATGATTATTTCTTTTACACAATAGAGAAAAATTGTTGCACATTTGCAAGAAACACAATGCTGGGTGCAGCTGCTGTTCATTCACTGGCAGCTGCATGACCCTCTTTGTTTTGGCTTTTAATCGCAAGGTCAGACCCTGCAGGAAACATGAGTGCTGTGGAAGCATTGTTTTGTAAGATTCAGGATCTATATAAAGAGAATAGAGGGTATTGTGATGTATATGAGCTAAGTGTAAACCATGATTCTCCTTTAAAAAGGACAGGTATAAATAAGTCAGGCTACAGTCAAAGGATGAAAGGATTTAGGAAGCTCCTACTTATTCATTTCATTGGAGCCTGTTTTCTAAGAAAGACTTAGTGGAGAGTGAAGTATAGTTTAAATGATTGGCTTGAATAAGTAAGATGGTTATTTCCTGTGGCTAGGTGGTAGAGATGTAGGATGTTAGACGATGTGTTATAAAACTTGATGAACTGTGCTTCAAATAATTGAATGGCATTTTACAAACTTGAGCTCTTAAAAACTATTTGCTATTGTCTGTTTGGAAAAAGAATTGTTTGATAGATATAATCTGTTTTTATTCTTCCTATTTTCTGGTTGATGAATATGTGTGAAAGATTTATTTGTCTTGTAACAGTCTTTTTTGACTATGCATGTATCAATTTTTTTTAAGGTTTCTTGAGTTTTTCTCTGTAAACTTGGATTTAATCTGAAACTGTGAACATCATACCTTGTTAATTTGCTATTGTAACTAACACCATCAATGAGTGCATGTTGGAAGTGTTGTATGTTTTTCCTGCCCCCTTGTCATCCTTTTTGATCTTGTATCTTTTTCCCTTTCTACAATCATTCTCCCTCTTCATTCCTGACTTGTCCTGTGCCCTCTTCTTCTGGCTGTGGACTGTCATTAGGAAGAATGAATTCCTCAGCAGGTGAGCTATGACAGGCTGAATTGTTAGAAATACTGGTTAATTTTATCCTCTTAACCCCAGGTTATACTTTAAGTCATCTTACTTTCTATATTACAGCCCAGATAGCCATGTAAAAGTATATACCACATATTGGGAATGTATTGGCAGGACTCTACACATTGTGTAATCGTTAACTCACAAGAGACTTTTCAGGTCCAATTAGCCAGAATTAATAGAGACTGGCATTAAAAATAATAATAATAAATGGGCCTTGCACATTTGGTCCCTTGGCTGTCCCAGGCAGTGAAGAGCTGAACTGGTTTGGGTTCCTTGTGTGGCTATGATTAGAAACAAGCCTCAATTAGGTCTTGCTTTATACACCTTATAAACTACCCCTTCAAACAGCTATTTCTCTCTGGATAGGAAGGATTTAGAGCATTTTCAAGGCCCTTTTTACTGTTTTAGTTGCTTTCCCACTGATTAATGTTATTCTTGCTACATAATTAAAAAACAGAAACCAAATAGTCTCAGGGGTTGGGAAAGTCTCATTTTTCCCAATCTTGTTTCTTTGCTCCCCCTCAAAAAGTAGATGCATTCCACTTCCTTATTTGACTATTTATATAGAATATATAGATGAAAAGATAAATTCATTCAGTGACTGTTTATCTTATGACATCCACATGCCAAATAAATGGAGGTAAACTGTGGTGCACAGGACATCTGCATCCCCTTTCCTGATAAAGCTTCAATGAGAGTGGAGGCCTAGGCCAGTTTACTGCCATTCTAGTGTTCCTTCACTGCACCAGCATCTCTCCTTGGGCCTCCTACCAGGTTACCCAGCCCCGTCCCCTGATCTTCTATGACGTTTCCTCTGTTTAAAATATCTATGCCTTTGGATGGCCAGGCCAGAGCCTGAATCCCAAAATGAGCTCTTTGGAATCACACTGGTTCAATTGCAGGATCACAGGAGAGGGGCCCATGCCCGTATTGATAATTGCAGGGGTTACCTGTTTTTGGGGGATTTGTTCAGCAGGGAGGAAGCTAGGCCAGGTGACAGTGGGGTTCACTGAGGTCAGTAAAGTGTTGCCAGTAGGCAGAAATGAGTAGCTCCATGAGGTGAACTTTTCCACTCACTTTGGATTCATGGGAAATAAAAATCATGGGTTGGGAAAAAGATGCTTATTATTGGCCTCATGCTTTTTCGTTTAAGTTGCCATGAAAATGTAAAATGCTTATCCTACCACCAGAATGACTGGGAGATTCAGTCGTAGAGTCAAACCTCAACAACTTGTGAGTTGGTCTGGGGAATTAATATTCACAACCCTTAGCACAGTACAAATTGTAATGTAGCTGGCCCTTCTACATTCACCTGAAACATCTGAGTCATTTTAGTTTACTATCTCCTTCACCTGTAAGTTCTATTTTGTTATTCTGTGTTACTTTTGGAAAAGTAGCCGAAAAACAACAACAACAAAAAACACAACCTTGGAAGATCTGAGGAGCAAGACATACAGTTCCCTTAAGAAACATGCTCACCTTCTTTCCTGCTTTTCCAAGATGGTGGTAATTGCTTCATATGGGTTGGTTTTTCCTCAATGTGAAAACTCAGGGAGAGGAAGAGGTTGTGGCAATGTCACTCATTGCCAGAGAGATAATTCTTGTATGTTTTAAATTACATGGCTGTCCTTTAGGGATTTGTTTTTCATACTACAAGGAAATATCGTCCATGTAGTTGGTGCCAATGTGAAACTTTTCTATGCCACAAGCCTTTTTTTGAAATCATAAGAAAATATACGTGTGTGAGCTTTTCAAATAATTTCTGTTGTTTTTTTGTCATTTGCATAATAAATAATTGGAAACAACTTAAAAGGAGCAATTAGTAATTCCAAAAGTTCAAGTATCAAAGGTAAATATTTGAGTAATGAATTATTTCGCCTTCCTTAAAAAAAGACGCAGCTTCACGCATGTGACTATACCAGCTTCATTTAATGCTGTGTGGATTGATCATTATAATTCATGACATTCTATTTAGTCTTGTGGTGTGCTTTTATGTTTTCCATCTTCCCTTAGCTAAATGCTATATGGCTTTAAAAAATACATATGTATTTATAATTTATAATGGCAGATTATATTAAAGTAACTTATTTTCCCAGAAATGTCTGAATCTGAAATAACCTATTTTCACTTAAATATCTAAAACCACTCCAAATACTAATGGTGTGAATACTCTGCATGAAACTAAAACCATTTTACAGAAATTTTGACATACAATGCTTTGTTAAGGCATCATGGATGTGGCTTCTATTTTTAAATGGAAATGTTTAATCAATAGCTGAGAAAGCCATTGAGAATTACTTCTCTTCTTTCATCCTCTTGCCTACTATTGACCATTTCATTATTACTAAAACTTTCATTGAAAGGTAGGTAGAGCACACAAAAAAGAGGAAATTCAAATGGTCCAGTTGTGAACTCTGAATAGCTCTGGTAATAACTCCCTGGGTAATGGAAACTATTCGAGTAGACATTCTCTTATCAGGGAGAAAGAGATTACAAACTCTAGTACTGGCTAGAGAAAAGTTTTTTAATGAATGGAGGAATTTGTTAATCAATATGATGCCTGCTTCTGAGTCTATGATAAATAGAGAATTGAAAAGAAAATTTGACTTGTAATGCCCTAAATCAGCGATCAGAGAGCAAGCCATAGCAGTAACACAAGGTAAAGCCAGTAACCTAAAGTGCCAGGTGACCGAGCACCAGGGTAAAGAAAAGACCTCTTGGCCGGGCACGGTGGCTCACGCCTGTAATCCCAGCACTTTGGGAGGCCGAGGCAGGCAGATCACAAGGTCAAGAGATCAGGATAATCCTGGCCAACATGGTGAAACCCCGTCTCTACTAAAAATACAAAAGTTAGCTGAGTATGGTGGTGCACTCCTGTAGTCCCAGCTACTTGGGAGGCTGAGGCAGGAGAATTGCTTGAACCCAGGAGGTGGAGGTTGCAGTGAGCTGAGATTGTGCCACTGCACTCCAGCCTGGTGACAGAGCATGACTCCGTCTCAAAAAATAAAAATAAAAAATAAAGACCTCTTATTTATGGTGCTTTTCGTCCTACTGATGCCTACATTTTCAAATGGTTGTTATCAACAGCTTGTGGAAGGCTGATTGTTATGATGGGAAAAGAAGAGAGCTAGGGTAATTACGAGGAGCACAGTCATTGGAAGGAATGTTGACTCTGAATTAAATAAGTAATTGACAGACAAGAACAACTGAAAAAGAGAGAGAGAGAAAATGGGAAAAATGTGTAGTTTGGATCTTAACAAGATTAAAAGTGTCAGTGATGATATGAGATACGAGTTTCTGAAATCCTACACTTGAAAGATTCCACCTGCTTTTTTATGACCAGACTGAGTGCTCCTTAAGTTGAATACCATTGAAGAAGTGCCTGCCCTAAAACCCTGGTTTTGCTTGTCACTAGGAGGCATCTTATTTTCACTTGAACACAGCTATTTCTAGAGGATTCAGGGCCTTTGATTGTGTTTCTGTTTGGTTTCTTTTGTGTTTGTGTGTTGCTGGTTGTGCTGAGATGTAGGAATGCCATAGGAAAGTGTCAAGTGATCCTGCTGAGGGGTAAGAGACTCAGCAGACCACTTCATTCAAACTGTTGCTTGCACTGAGCACGGTGCTCTTTCTTTGATCTTCTTGGCTTCAAAACAAATTAGACCAAGGCCCAAGCTTCATAGGCAGATGTTTCTGGTTGCTGGCTTGTGTCTGTAGATGTTTAAGATTCAAAGACTGAAAAATGAGGCAAACTAACATATTTATGGCTCCTTCCTTAGGTTATAATCACCAACAGATGAGTGAAGGACACAGGCAGAAATCTGAATTTTATAACCGCACAGCATCTGAATCAAATGTCTACTTGAATAGTTTCCATTATCCAGATCACAGCTACAAGGACCAGGCCTTTGATACTCTGAGCCTCGATAGCTCTGATAGCATGGAGACCAGCATCTCTGCTTGCTCACCAGACAACATCTCTAGGTAAGATTTATTTATGGGTAAGGTTTCTGGTTTGGAAAAGAGCCTACTGCTCACAAAAAGTAAAGCCATCAATTTGGGAACTGTATATGCACAAGCCCAAATTTTTGAGACATAAAGGGTCTGTAATGCAGAAGAGGGTTGGTATCATGATGGCCTTTGAAAGTAGTTTCTCTTATCTTGTGTAACTTAGCTAGTCAGGCATCATATAATCTGTTTCCACCTTTATCCTGTTTTTCTCCACTTGAGCTCAAATTTACACTGTGCTTTAAAATTGATTTCCTTCTGTTGGTTAGCTCTAAGCTTCACTTACACTGCTTTTGATTTAAAAAAGAGGGCCCAGGCACAGTGGCGCATGCCTGTAATCCCAGCTACTTTGGGAGGCCAAGGTGAGTGGATCACCTGAGGTCAGGAGTTCAAGACCAGCCAGACCAACATGGTGAAACCCTGTCTCTACTAAATACAAAAAATTAGCTGGGCATGGTGGCGCATGCCTGTAATCTCAGCTACTCAGGAGGCTGAGGCAGGAGAATCCCTTAAACCCGGGAGGCGGAGGTTACAGTGAGCCAAAACTGTGCCATTGCACTCCGGCCTGGGCAACAAGAGTGAAACTCCATCTCAAAAAAAAAAAAAAAAAAAAGAAAGAAAGAAAAAGAAAAGGAATGATTTCCAACAGCAGTCAGAACTTTGGAGGATTTCTTACCCTTGTATTTGTTAAAAGGAAGCTTTTTGCTATTCTGTATGTTAAAATTTTTGTAAGGATTTAAGTGTTCACGTTTGTATTTATACTTTGAGACAAGCAAAGGTGGTCTTAACATATAAATCTGGCCATGGTGCTCCTCCTTTTCTAAAGTTTTGATGTCCCACTACCTACTGTCAGATCCCGGAACCTGGCACTCTAGGTCCAGCCCAACTCCCGTTCATTCTCCCGATAAACCTCACAGAGCTTAATGATTGAGAGGATGAAGAACTCTCCCATCTCTGTGCCTTTGACTGTACTGGTTCTTAACATTTTCTCAAAGGATAGGCACAAAGTCAGGGCTTAGTAAGTTAATAATGATAATAGTAATAATAAGTATCTGTGTAGGTAGTATTCAGAATACTCTTCTATAAGCCAGTTTAATAATTTTAGCAGAATGGAGATTGTATGCAGAATTAACTCTCAATTGTCTGTTTTCTGTGACCCAAGACCTATTTTCTGAGCATTATGTTTGTCTACACTGTAAATAATGATATTGAAAGAGCAAAAACATTGTCTGACTCATGTAACTTTCTGGTAGTCATAAAGTGATGTCTCAACAAAAAGTGAAGGGCAAATGTACCCACAACTCTGAGTAATCCTATCATCCTACAAATATTTTTTTGTGACATAATAAACCACGAGACCAAGTTTGTGTGACTAGAATTTCAGCATGGAATTACCTCATTAATAGGCTTATAATTTGGGAATATTTTAGTACATAAGTTAAAAACAAATCTTAAGCAGAAAAGATTTTTTAGTTTTTTACTCTTCTTTCTACCAATGTTCAAAAAATTTCCAATTAAGGATGCTTTATCAAAATACACATTCCAAACATTGGTTCCTCATTACCTGCTTCCCTGATGTTTATCACTTATTTTCCATCATAATAATGGGTAAGAGCTTATCTTAGAGTATCATAAATTTTGTTTTAAAGTTGATGGTAGTACAGAAGAGAAATGCCTGTTTTTCTCTCCCCTTTGCACTCCACCTTTTACAGGCATCTTCTACTTTGGCTCCAATTTTTTGACATTC
The DNA here is from genome assembly GCF_000001405.40 of Homo sapiens. Classification (NCBI taxonomy): domain Eukaryota; kingdom Metazoa; phylum Chordata; class Mammalia; order Primates; family Hominidae; genus Homo; species Homo sapiens. Next base: position 111,964,084 of record NC_000003.12, read on the forward strand.
AGAAGATCTCATAAGACAATGACATTAAATACTATTAGTAGTTTCTGACCATGGGGATTAGTTATCTGCAGTTGCCAGCACCACAGAGTCAGTTTTGTGTAAAGCAACTGTGGAAAATGATCATGGCCACACGTAACTACTTGTCAGGAATTACCATCCTGCAATAGTGCTATCATAGAATTAAGGGACAAATGTGTCTCACCACACACACACACACACACAAAAGGTAACTACATGAGGTGATAAATGTGTTGGTATTATTATTATTATTTTTGAGACAGAGTCTCACTGTGTTGCCCAGGCTGGTGTGCAATGGTGCAATTTCAGCTCACTGCAACCTCTGTCTTGCAGGTTCAAGCAATTCTCTCGTCTCAGCCTCATGAGTAACTGAGATTACAGGTACCCACCACTACACCTGGCTAATTTTTTTTTTTTTTTAGTAGAGAAGGGGTTTCACCATGTTGGCCAGGCTGGTCTTGAACTCCTGACCTCAGGTAATCCACCCAACTTGGCCTCCCAAAGTGCTGGGATTACAGGCGTGAGCCACGTTAATTAGCTTGATTGTAGTAATCATTGCACAATGTATGCATACATCAAAACATCATGTTATATACCATAAATATATGCAAATTTAATTTGTCAAGTATATGTATGCTCAATAAATCTCATGGTGGGGGCAGGAGGGAAGACATGTAAGCAAAGAAAATGGTAAACAGTGAAATCTAAATAAACATTGACTATATGAAAAAAAGGGATAAATGGGGATTAGGCTATTGGTGAGTTTGTTTTGACTAACTGGTGAGTTTTCAAGACCTGAAACTTAGTGAAATTCAAATTATTTTCAAATTAATGAGAGATATAAAACATACATATTTGATGTCACAAACTACACTATAGAATATAAATATAATTTTATGCCCTTATACGTCCTGCATGCCTGTCTTTGGCTTTCTCAGTTGGGGCAATGAAGTTTATCCCTTTCCACCCATGAAGTCAGGTATTCACAATGAAGGAGAATAAGAATTCCTGTACAAAAATTAAAAGATTTCTTTCCCTTGGATTCTTGCTAGCTGAAGAGAACAGAACTTACTCTTTTGTATCTCCTCACTGGCTAATGGAAATAATGAGAAGATACTGCCATGTTCTTCTCTTTCATGTGGGAGAAAACACCTGGCTAAAAAGTGGTTCAAGGTTACTCTGCAAAGTGCAGCCTAATTGTTAAGCTTATAAGGATCCGGTATTCCTAAGACAGTTCACTCCTTAATGGATGTGTTTTGTAATGGGGCTGTCAGTACTGATTATAGAATAAACTGTATGCCCTGTGTTCTCTTCAACAGAACTCTTAGCCCTAGATTTAAACCATCCTAGGTTTGATTTACAAAAATATAATTTGAGAATACTATATTAATAAGTATCTATAACCAAGAGGTCTCTGATTCTTCATTTTTATATGAATTTTTAATGAATTTATTTTTATATGAATGTGTCTAACAAACATGTATCCCTACTCTATGCCAGGTTCTATGCTACAGGGATACAGGCACGAAAGTCTGTCTGTATGTCCTCAAGAGAGTCTAGTAAAGAAGGCAGGTACTTAAATGAGTACAAAAGTACACATGCATTACAAATAGCATATGGTTTCCATAGCTGAAACAGCAAAGTAAATAAGTTTTGACCTAGGTTATAGTCTCTCTTTTCCAGAACAGTCAAATAGAATGTAAGCGGTGGAAAATAAAATTTCCTGTTTTGTGTTAAACATTTTCAAGTTTTCACTTTGTCTGTTAGTTACCCTGACTGTTCTTGCACCTTTCACTCCCTTTGGTTTCATCTTTCACTTGAGTGATGTCTTTTCCATCATTTCTTTTGAAGCTCTTAAATCTCTTTATACAGTTTTCTCATTGGTATCATGAGGGGGTACTCTTCACAAAACTGGCCACTATCCATCCATTGCACCTATAGGAGAAGTCATGTTTTAATTGGCATCATGATTTAATAAATAAAGTGTCCACACATATAAAGGGACAACAAAAAGTAGCTCATAATACATATTCCACAACTGAATAAAGTGACTCCAAACATTAGGTGTCATTTATATAGAACGTTGGTGATAGTCTTGTTGGTCTGATATCTTTAAGTCATTAAACTAATGGGAAGGACTCTCATGGGTCATTATTTTTAGACTTTGGAGGAAGCATTTAGAAGTCACACTTTGTAAGATTTGGTTTTGGTTTATTTACCTATGAGTAAAGCATTAGCATTATTTTGCTTGCCTATATTTTGTCTTCTAAACTGAGGTAAGTCAGTGTCACCTACAATTCTCAGAGTTGAATTGATTTGCCTCTTCGGTCCAATGACTCGTAAGTAACATTCTTTAAATTATATATGCTTGGATTTTGTTATGCACCTCCCTTGACCCCATGTGTGTGTGTGTGTGTGTGTCTGGGGTGTGTGTGTGTGTGTGTGTGTATGTATTAGAGAGACTTCTCAGTCTAAACCAATATTCTCAAAAGGCTTTGGTGTTTCATTCAGTGCCAGCACTTCAAATATTGCTAGAATAGAAGAAATGGAGAGACTTTTGAAGCAGGCTCATGCAGAAAAGACGCGGCTGCTCGAATCCAGGGTAAGCTTCATATTTTCATGCCGGAGGTCTGTGATACCGTGGTGCAGGAGCCCTGCGCTTGGCATCAGACAATACTCCTCCTTAAGGAGCCGTGTGTTCCTGGAATAAATCACTCAACCTTTCTCAGTCTCATTTTCTTATCTGAAAAATAAAGGTGTTAGATGATTTCTAAGGCTCTCTACTGCAGTGGATTTTCCATAACTTGAAATATATATATAGTATTGACATAGACCGAAATGAACACTTTGTGTTTTTTTGTGTGTGTTTTTTTTTTGTTTTTTGTTTTTGTTTTTTGTCTTTTGATGGCTGTTTTGTGTTCCTGCCAAGGAGCAGGGAGGAATGTCATGTCTTTATGCATTATTTCTTCCTTCCCAGCTTGTGCTAACTGCACTATTTTAATATTTAAAATCCCACGTTTTTATGACTGTATTTCAAGTCAGAATCTGACTTCCTTAGGAATCCCCCAAAATGCCTTTGCATCCTGCCCTGAAGGGCACCTCCTTTCCTTTTCTAACTTCCCCACGTGCTTCCTCTGTGACCTTCAGCCAGGAAACTACAGAGCAACAACAGGAATTAGAGGGACCATGGCCTTCAGTTAGAAGACAGTAGTCAAAAGACAGGCTAAATCACGTGATAAGTGCTAAAGTACAGTTTGTGAGGCTTTTTATTTAAAATGGGAGAGTTGCTGGTTGATATGAAATGATGAAATGACTGAATATATTAACAAGCTGGATTTTCACTGAAGACCACAATTTAATTGTTAATTAAATTTAGTGGTTGCATTTCTGCAGATGATGATTTTGGAAGCTATACCAGGCATGGTTATGAGTTGTTTTCTTGTAGGTTATGTATTATAAGAGACTAGTCTACAAACCAAGATTTGTCTAGTAAGAATTGTCTTTTTTATATTGATTGGAACCATTCAAGTATAACCAGTATGTTTTAAAATAATCATTGTTATGCATAATGTTTAGGAACGGGAAATGGAAGCCAAAAAACGAGCCCTGGAAGAAGAAAAACGACGCCGGGAAATCCTGGAAAAACGATTACAGGAAGAAACTAGCCAGAGGCAGAAGTTAATAGAAAAGGAAGTAAAAATAAGGGAGAGACAAAGGGCACAGGTTGGTCGGTCAATCTGAATGCATATGGGCAGGTTGCCCCCTGGTGGCAGTTCCTAGAAGACAGCTGTTCTGTGTCTGAGGATGCTTTCCTGGGCACTGAGCATTAGCACTTGACATGTAAGGGTTAAGAGAAGAGTGTGCATTCCTGTGCAAAAAAAAAAAAAAAAAAAAAAAATGTGAGTTCATTTCAAAACTCTTAGGGAACCACCAACCAAATGACACTTTTCTTTAGTCATGCATGGAACGTTTTGCCAGGAGCAGCACTTTTTCTTCCACCCATTCCTTGGAGTACATTTTAAAAAGAGAATCTTTTTTGAGCAGCTTTTAAAAATGCACCTGGATTTGCTGCTGAAAACAAATACAACATTTGAACTGAAACCTTTGCTTGGGGAATGGAAGAGGTCCTACTAAGCCATCTTTTACAAGCAAACAGTCTAGAGCAGTGTAATTTTTCACCAAGTCCAGTGTCTTTGTCATGGTGGTAGTGTTTTGTCTTTTTTCTGAGCACTGTATTGTCACATGTGTTCCCTTTGCTACAGTAGTCCTCAACACCTGTGCACAAGCTTGTTGTATTCAAGCAAAGTTTGGAGAAACCACACATTTTATTTAATGTCTTATCTTGGTCATCATAGAATTTGAATCTCTGTTCTTGTCACTATAGCTGCTTACATAATATGTTTTCTGAGCAACTAACATAAAGTTTTGTTAAGTACTATGTAATTTAAAGCTGAACTCTATTTTATCAAGATTCACTAGACTCAAAGGCAAAAGATACCATTACTTTTATTCTTTGTGGTTGCTGGCCATTTGATAGTATAGCAGTTAGAGACTATCTTTAAGACTTTGTATGCTTTGAGGTATCAGTAAGCCTGCAGCATCTGTTACAACCAAAGTACCACATAATCAAACGTTAAGTATTGAAGGAAAAGTAGAAAGTAAAATTTGTTTATTTTATTTCATCATGCCCAACGCTCTGCCAAATTTTGACTTGCAGTGAAAGTCATCCATGCGTGTTTACTATCTGAAGCCAAACCAAAAAGCACAATTCTATTTTAATCCTGATTATAAGTGTTGCCTCCAAGTATATAATTAGGTCATTTCCCCGAGGCAAAGAGGTGGGGTTATTTAACAGCATAAAATAAGACACCATTTTAGAACTATCACCCATGGTGATATATGCTTCCTAGATTGGACGGGCTTTCATACCAGCCATCAGTAACATAAAAGACATCTAAATACATCCCTTTGGCATCTGGTCCTGGACAGTTCATTACATTAGGTCCAGTTTTGATTCCACTTCTGTCTTTATGTTAGCTTTACTTTTCAAAATATAAATCTCTGCCTTCAATTTCTATCGGAATATATGTAAACTGACAAGTACAGCTTTGTGGGATCCTGTGGGGGCCGTACTTACTAAATAGTGTTCAATCAATCATGTCATGCTTGAGATTACTTGAGAATGATTGTTAAGCTGTGGCAGGGACAACTTCTGGAAACTTAACAGTGGAGCAGTCCTCATCTGCAAGGAGCAGCCCAGAAAACTTCATGCTTCATTACAAGAGCAAAGTACATCTTTTAAACTAAGATAAATGACCATTTTTCATTTTCTCAACTGCCCATCTTAAGGAATAGAATAAATTGTCCTGAGTTTATCTGCCTCTCCCCTACATATTACAGCATCTTTCTGAAAATACTATCCACTTTTTAGACTCCAAATCATAAGTGCTTTGTTTATCTTAAGCTCTTTTAATCATATAGGCATTTTAAAGCTTAGGTTTTACAGTTAATTTCTGCTTCTAAACATCTGTGACCTAAAACAAAACAAATAATTAGCTATAGATGCAATGGGTTTTGCACTTTTCCAGGCTCGTCCTTTGACACGCTACCTGCCTGTCCGGAAGGAAGACTTTGATTTGCGGAGCCATGTAGAGACTGCTGGCCACAATATTGACACCTGTTACCATGTATCAATCACAGAGAAGACCTGCCGAGGATTCCTCATCAAAATGGGTGGGAAAATTAAAACGTGGAAAAAACGTTGGTTTGTTTTTGATCGGAACAAGCGAACATTCTCTTATTATGCAGGTGGGTGATAAAAACAATTTAAGCCATATACTCAAATCAAGAACCCCCTGTTAAAGAGCAAAGGCAATTGAAATTCAGTGTAAATAGGTAGGTTGATACATAACAGAATTAATGGCAATATTAGATTTGTAGGTGTACATTATTTTATATTTAGATTATATAGTCCATATGATATGAATTTCCTTTCTAGAAATAATAAACTTTATATGTTACTTTAAAAAGTGGGAAGTGGTCTATGTTACTTCTGAAGTAAACTCAGGTCCCAATAAATATTAAGTAAAATTTATTCTTTAGATCAAAATATTTCCTTTTATTTGTTTTTCTGTTTTAATCCATTCTTTATTTAGGTAACAAATTGTTTATGTTCACTGTATTTTATGAAACATCACAATATCATACTAGAAATACTATCATTATAGGGTGGGATCAGAAAAAATATTGCCTTTCAAACCACCACACCAGAAAAAAAAGGGGGTGGGGAGAGGTTTGTGATTGATTGATTGTCATACGTCCCATTTAAGTCACACACAATTAGGCAGCCGTAGCTGAAAATCATTCAACTATAGTTCATAAACTAGAATGATCTTTTAAGCACAGAGAGTAAAGCTCATTGGTAAACTAGTGATCAGTACTATTTATTAAGTGACTGAAATATTTTTGGATTCTTAAATGTTGGCTGACAAGAAACATACCCTACCAAATCTTATATAAGTGCAGGAATATTAGTGTAACTGGCATACTTATTAAGAACCTCTTATTTCCTCTTGGATCACATACGAAACATGTCTATTTTTAGTACAAGTATAGCTCTACTTTCTTTGCAGCTGCTAAAAAAGAGTGGTGTCATACCAGATATTATGAAAAAAACCCTGTTTTGGGGTGACTGTCAGTATTTATGAGCATCACCAGGAATAGTAAAATGTATCGATGCAATAAAATATAAATAACAGTCTAGTCATTTAATCAATCCAGTGAGGTCAGGTTATGTTTATAAGGAGAAGTGTGAGAAACCAAGCAGCCTGTGGAAGAAAGGAAAGAGTGGCTCAGGAGCCCCAGAAAATGGGTGAGGAGCTGGTAGGGGAATGCCTGCCTTTCACCGAGGAGCTCTTTGGGTGAGGTTCCAGTTACTGGAGAAATTAGTGGCCTGAAGCCGATGGCCTGCCGGTCCTAGGTCCCCTGCTTTGCCTCTCTAAGGCTTTTTGTCATTGAGTTTTATAAACATCCAGAGCAGCTTTCTTCAGTTAATACAATTTGATGTCTGCACACTGCATAAACAAAACTGTATGATGTGGTATTGTCTTCAGAAAACCTCACCCAGAATTTTCCAAAAATACAACTTTAAAGAACTTCACACAAAACTGCTTCACTCTTCTTCTGTGCTCCTGTTCTCTGTGAGCCTTATTTCATTCTCTCATCTATCGGCCAGGTGAGTGGTTTCATGACCTGGCCAACTGCTTCAAACCTAAGCTCCAAGCTTCAGACCCATGTAAATGTGTCTTTGCAAACCAAAACTTCTGGTGACTGATTTCAATTTTAAAAAAATACCAAAACCTTCTTGGTATATGAAAAATTACCCAGAACCCTAATTTAAAAAAACAGACAAAAATTACATTTCATTTGCTTTTTAATATGTATTTATGATATAACTGGCTGGTGAGACCTAGTTGGACAAACGCTGCTCGTTCGGTTCTGTTTACGGCCATCACCTATCAGCTTTGTCCACTCCTACCCCCACCCCTGCTTCTCATACACAACAAGCACAGGAATAGACCAGTCCGCAGGCAGTCATCCAGATCGCAATTTACGCTGTACTTAACCCTACAGGAGTCATGTCCCTTCTGTCTGTCAGTGAGGGAAATGGCCGTGTACTTGTGAAGGAGCTGCAAATGTGAACACTGAGTGGCAAAGTCCCAGGACTCTGTGTTATTCATGGCCCTGGCCTTTGTCCTTGGCCTCCTGCATATTAACTGGGATCTTTAGGAGAGTCTCTAAAGAAAACCGAGGCCTAGAAAATATGTCTGCAAATTGATGGCATAATACTGAGAGAGACAGAATGTGCAGCGTTATCTCATCAATTTACAATAGCATCATTGCTTCTCTTCGCTCATAATGTGGCTGTGAGGCTTATATTTTTCAGAGTTCTTTCTCATATATGAAGTGCCCTGCAAACCAAAGTTTCCTTCTGCTTGCTTGAAACACTGGCAAGATTTGCTTTTATCTCCAGATTTTATTTTACATTTGCTTTCAGAAAACAAAGTATTATTGTATTCTCATGAATTACTGCAATATCATTTCCAGCAAATGTTTGAGAGATACATTGACCTTGTCTTTCGCAGAAACTGACTGAAACTTAACTGAACATGGTATCAGTTAAAACAGTGTTTCACAAGGAAGAGGAAAAACAAAGAAAAAAATATCGTCAATGGGCAAATAGGTTAGGATATTCTGGATTAAATGCAATTAAATAGTTTTACTCTCTGCTGAACTTTTCAGGGCCATTATTTTTTAGACTAGCTTTTTGTAGTTAAAAAGGGACATTCACCTAGTAAAAAATTCAAAATATAACAAAAATTTGTATGATGAAAGTAAGTCTCTTTATCATTACAAAAGTTCTGATCTCTCGTTTTTAAGCCTTAAATATTTCATATTTTCTCTATTCACTTCTATATATGTTTCAGTATGTATATATTTTCTTTTTTCCTCTTATACATTTGGGACTAAATTATTCATTCTATTCGTACCCTATTTCATATAATAGTATTTCAAGGGTTTTTTCCTTAGGAGCAGATACAGATCTACCTCCATCATTTCAGTAACTTTGTAGATTTCATTGTATGACTGGTCTATAATTGAATCAGTCTCCTATTAAAGCTCAAGCAGATCTTTTGCAACCTTGTGCCACAACAAACACAAATCCATGTACATTTATTTGCACACACACGAGATCTTATACAGTAAGTGGAATTGCTTAGTAAGAGGATTTTTGTGTTTTTAATTGTGTTTGTTTTACCTACTGTCTTCCAAAAGAGGCTGTCTTATTTGCACTTCCACTACTAGGGTATGATAGAGTCTCTTTCCCTGCCTCCTCATTCATGCTTTTAAAATTCTTTAATATGCTGACACGCACTGTGATCCTTGCAGAGTTTAAGTTACAAAATATTTCAAGAACTTAGTAGATCACAGAGTGGTGCTATATGTTTGAGTCATGTTTTGGTTGTTTTTGTTTTGCTTTGTTTTTATGGTAAATGTGATGAAATCTTTGAAAACAGTTTGGAAATTGTTGCATTGAAAGGACAATAAATTATTTGCTTGTAGCTCTGTTGAAAACGGGGGAAAAATCACGCACCCTGAATAAGAAATTTGATAGGAAATAAATATGGGTAGAAAATTATTTTAAATAACAAGTCAAAAAACACTTTGTAAAAATTTTATTACAACAGATCTACATATTAATATTTTCATTACAAAGACGGTCTTGGAAAATGTGGAGAAATCATTTGTATTGGTGCTGTTAGAGTTTACACTTTCCATGCTAACCTGAAAGTCAGTATGTTGGGTTATCTTTTGACTGCTAATCTGCTGGAGAGCCTTAGGCAAAGTCATCTCGTTCTTCGGTTTGCAGCTAGTAATTTTATGGCTTTTCTTTTTTTATTTTTCCAGTATAGATAGAAGGGGCCTCATGCACTAGCCCAAGTTCTCTGAATTAATCTTAGATAAATTAAATACTTTGTAAATATTTTAATGATTATAATTGTAATAAAATTATTATTTTTTCTGTTCCTCAGTGGCGATAAAGTATTTAACACTTATCTGTCTTTGCAGACAAGCATGAAACTAAATTGAAAGGAGTAATATACTTTCAAGCCATTGAAGAAGTCTATTATGATCACCTCAAGAATGCTAATAAGGTAAACATCAGTTTTCTAAATTCCTACAATTTGAATGCATAATTAAGAAGGGAAAAATATTTTTGGAGTCTAAGAAGTTTGAAATTGATGTTCTGATGTAACAGATAGATATGATCAGAATGGTGCTGGAAAAGTAAACATGAAGTAAGTGGGATGGCCGTTCTCTTTGAGGAAAAAAAATATCATAGCAAATTGAGGAAATATTCTGGACATAATGGTTTGGGAAACCCTGCGAAACGACTCTGCCAGGGTTCTAAAAAGAAGCTACCATATAGTTAAGAGGGGGATCGTGAGCAAGTCCTAGTAGGGCTAAGAATAACAGCTACTATTTATTAAACTCCTACTCTCAGCTAGGTACCCTGCTAGAGCTTTACAAACTAGCTGCTGAAATAATTTATGAGTTCTGTCTGAGATTTCCTGTTCAGAAAAATGGTCAATCCTGAAAAAGGCTCTGGGACAGGTGTGTGAGTTATAGTAGAGCAAAAGTAACGCCTTTGTAAATTTAATAAATTGAAAATTTTGAAGAAGTCATCACATGTCTGTGTTATTTAATGTTGTATTTTAAGATGTTTATTTTACATTCTTTTTCCTTTTTTGAATTTTAGAGTCCTAATCCGTTACTCACCTTTAGCGTCAAGACTCATGACAGAATCTATTATATGGTAGCCCCATCGCCAGAAGCCATGCGGATCTGGATGGATGTTATAGTTACGGGGGCAGAAGGTTACACTCACTTCTTGTTGTAGTGAACTGAGGCAACAGTCCACTTCAGGGCAGACGGCAATAATCTCTTACAAGAATGAAGCCATATTCAACCCCAGATGAGAAAACCCAACAGATCCATCCCTTGAGCTGTAAACACTCAGAACTCCTTTCATATCAAGACAAGTTATTTGTAAAAAATAAAGAAGGGGTTTTAATACAAACCTTCATAATAAATAGCAAAATAATTGAAGCTTCCATGAGAAAGAAAACACTATTTTGATAAATTGGATCACTTATAGGAACATTTCTAATAAACTGTTTTTAATCAGTTGTCGGATTTGGTGAAATAAACTAAACAGGTTACAGAATATCTGTATGTACTTGGAAATACAGAATAACTTTATCACCCAAATCACTGGCATTGACATTATTGGTAATCAACTGGCTTTTTTTAAAAAAGGTAGCATTTTGTTGACAGTTATTTTGTAAACATAAGCAAATAAGGGCTTGGAGGGAAATACATTTTAGGAGGAGTTTTGCCTTAATTTTTTAAGTACTGCACCAAAACCAAAGAGCTGACCTGACTTCTGTGGAACAGTAGTAACTGCAAGTGATGAACTGCATTTCGTATTGTTCTGTATATTTCAAAATGGTATTTTGATGCCATCAAATGCCCAGGAAATTGACTTTGCAGTGTCACCACTGGTGTAAGCTACTATATATGTATATATATATGTAGTAAACCACTTTTTGTAAAAGAAGAAAGAGCAAAAAGCTGTGTGTTTTAGAAAAAAAAGCCAGGTTACGCAACAGGCATTCTGTCATGTTGAACAATTTTAAATAAAGAGAATATCTGGTGTTAGGAGCTTGTTTTGCTGAAGATTTCTCCATTCCTGGTGCTGAGAATAAAGGCAACCAGTAGCCAATGTCCTTTAGATTGTCTGATTTCTTTTTGTTGTGGAGCACACCTGCTAACTGCTCCCTCAACATAACTATGAAATCATAGCTCTGTTTTCACCAAAGAACAGACCAATTAACATACTTATTTGCAGAAGTGGTGTAGTTCTATAAAACGGCAAATGAAGTTCAACTTAATATTCTCTATAATGTATTATTTTATTTTATTTTTTACAATTAGCCTTTTTTTTAGTTAATTTTTGTCAAATGAAACGACTTCAGGCAAGTCTCTTTTATAATGGTTTTTCAAGTGCCATTTATTCTAGTTTATCATGTTTTGCATGTTTGAAAGTATGAATGTGCTCTTTCCTAAAACATGGCAAATGAATAGATGTAGAGAATAACAATATTACTTACAAGATGAAATGATTAGATTAGAAGTGTCCCTTTATTAAACTTTGTCAGCCTGACTGGGTACAATTCTTTTGTTAATTTGCAGTGTGGTTTGTATACACGTATACGTGTTATCAATAATAAGATTTTGCAACTGGATGACACAAGATTTTACTTGAACAGTGAAGGACAAAAATCATGATTGTGGAAGATATTTTTAAAATCTGATTTTGCAGCGATCACTTTTAAACCCTGTAGTGATGTAAGACTAAAATATAATTGCTAAGATTTTGTTGGTTAATGTAAAGATATGACTTTTCTGCACTGTACTCTCTTCATAGGATTGTAAAGGTGTTCTAATCCAATTGCATGATGTAGTAAGCCTCTTAAATATGTGTGTTAAATATATTGAGTTTGGATTAAAATGTTGACATGATTTCACATTTGAAAATAAACTCATCTCTTATTTTGAAGTTACCTATCTGTAGTATGATGGAGGATGAATTAATCGCAAATGACAGTTGTAGAAACTATGTAAAGTTTGTTGTGTGCTAACATTATGATTTGTAGTGTATAAACTGAAGTATTCCAATAGAAGTATCTCTGGTTACATCCTATTGCTTACAAAATGAAATGAACCCTGAAAAACTCTGACATCATATTGTTGTCTGTTTACACAGATACATTTATTGCTGGGGATTGCAAGGAGTGTGTTTACTTATCCTTATCTTACACGAAAAAAAAATCATGTAAATGTGATATAAAGCTTTATTTGGTGGGGCATCTCATTTGTCCCCCTGAACTAAGGCAGCAGATTTCAGAGAGAGAAGCTTCCCTCAGCAGTATGTCCCTTTGCCCCCTTTATATATTGATGAAGTCAACATTGACAATAGGTACCCAGAGTGGAAACAAATTTGTCTACTTCAAGCTCATCACTGTCCGTAAAAGCATCTGTACTTGCTACTGGCCATAATTTTTTCTAATTTGTTAGACAACAAGAGTGAATACAGAAAACAATCCATGGGTTTCTCTGCTTTTCTGTGCAGTGATTTTCCCACTATGACCAGTCAGATTTTTCATCTTACTGCAAGTAAAATGCAAGAAGACTTGCAAAAATAAAGGGGAAGAAAAGGGAGAGAAGTGATTGAGAATATTTGCAATTATCCAAAACATGCAGAGAGAAGTGTTTGTTAAGATATAAGGGATGGGCCAGGTGCGGTGGCTCACACCTGTAATTCCAGCACTTTGGGAAGCCAAGGGGGGTGGATCACCTGCAGTCAGGAGTTCGAGACCAGCCTGGCCAACATGGTGAAACCCCATCTCTACTAAAAATACAAAAATTAACCAGGCATGGTGGTCGGTGCCTGTAATCCCAGCTATTCAGGAGGCTGAAGCAGGAGAATCGCTTGAACCCAGGAGGTGGAGGTTGCAGTGAGCTGAGATCGCCCCATTGCACTCCAGGCTGGGTGACAAGAGCGAGACTCAGTCTAAAACATACACACACACACACACAAAAACCCAAAAAAGAAATATAAGGGATGATGAAATGACATGCATCAGGCATCACCTTAGTGATTTAGTCCCTTAGAGTCTACAACAGGTCTAATGGAGAACGGGCAACATAGCTCAGCATCTTTTGGAGTATGTCCTGAAATCAAGTTGCTGTCCTTAACTATATGTCCTTAGTAGAGAGAGGCATCCCACCTCTCAAGAAAGAGATCTATTCAGTCTTTATTTATCTAACTGTTCCAGACTGTTCCAACAGTCCAGGTTCTCACGACTCCAAAGACATGCTGGATTCACTATATCCAAACTTTGCCTTTAATTCTGGTACCAATTACTGCCCCCCAAATTTATAACCAGGATAATAAAAGTTACTTTACTATCTTATATATACTCAAAGTATTACACAAGCCACCATAACTTTTAAATAGGAAACTACTACGTAAAACTCCATGGTTGATGCTTGAGGCCCCCAGGAATTAGTTTGAAAGGTATTTAGAGCTGGAGTCCGGAAACCCTTGTACTACAATTTATTCAACTATTTTTCTATTGTTAGCCATTCCCATTTTTTTCCTTCTCTTTGCCTCTAAAAACGGTGTAGTAGATAATATGCAGTCTTAAGAACTAGTGTTGTTTTTCTATAGGATAATCACAAATTGGTGCCACTGCGTTAAAAGGCACTGGAATGGATGCATATTTTAAAATTGTAATAGATGTGGCCATATTACTTCACAACAAATTTTAGTAATTCACCTTCCTAGCAATCATACATAAGTGCTAGTGTCTAGCATCCTTGCCAATTATTTTTCTTTTTTGCCAACTGAATGGGGGGAAAAAGGCATTATTTTTTTAATTCCAGTTTTTCATTTAGTGAGTTTGAGCATCATGTTTCCTTATATGGGCTGCCTATTTATAGCTGTTGGCCAATTTTATTTGAATTATATTTCTTATTTATAGGAGCAGGCTGAGTAGAAGTATTAATGTATCTATGCTACAAAATCCATTTTTCTAAGCTCTTAACTTGAGGTGTCTTTTGCCATTCAAAAAGTTTAAATTCGTATACAAATATATTTTTTATTTATGATGTTGGGGTTTTGAAATCTTGGTTAAGAAAGTCCCTTCTGTCCCCGGATTATATAATATTCTCCTAAAATTTATTTAATCCTCTCAGTTGTATTCTTCCGTTGAAATCTTTTTTTACTGAAATTTATTTTCGCATATAGCACGAGGAGGGGGCCAAGATAATTCAGTATTTCGTTAATCAGGCATATAGATCTAGAGCGGGGAATGTCCGATACCATTCCAGGTTATACAGGCGAGATTAATGTCAGATCTTGGGAGCATTTCCAGTACAGGTTAAAACTGTCACGCGGTCGGCGGGATTGCAGGTGATGCAGCAAGCCTGGTGTCCTCGACAGGAGACGTTTCCCATCTAGGACCGTTGGATAGGGTTCCTTTCTGAGCTTCCAGCTCTGTAGTATCTATCAGCCCGCTGATAGGGCAGCCTCCCGACGCCACTCAAAACATCTTAAAGGCCCCAAGCCAAACCCCGCTACTAGTAGAACCAACAGTCTAAACGAAAGAGCCACGACGCTCTGCGCATGTGCGCTCTTCGCAAGCTGAAAATCTTGCGGGGAGCTCTTTAGCAAGTTCCGCCTTCCAGCCTGAAGCGCATGCGCAGCCTCGGTTCCGTTGCGTAGCGTGTCCCTCAGTGGGACACTGCAGGGTGCGGGGACAACTACGAAGATGGCGGTTGCGCGCTTGGCAGCTGTGGCGGCCTGGGTACCTTGTCGGAGCTGGGGCTGGGCAGCCGTCCCCTTCGGTCCCCACCGTGGCCTCAGCGTGCTGCTTGCACGGATACCTCAGCGGGCGCCACGGTGGCTCCCAGGTCAGTGTCCGAAAGGCGGGAGTAGGATGCGTTCTTTCGAACGCCTCGGGTTCCGTCAGTTACCGTGCCTGTGCAGTGCGTCTTTGGCGCCCGGTTCAAAAATGCTCCTCCCCCTTTCTCAACACCCCAGTTCTAGGCGCTTTGTAGACTTCTGGTGAAGGCTGTGAGGAGAGCTCTGCCGCGGCCCTGCGGCATTCTGGGCACCCCGGGCCCTCGCTGGCGTTTTACACTGTGCAGTTTAAAGAGCTCCTGCTCCTTACCTGCCTCCCCTGCATTAAAGGCCAACACTAGAAAAAATTAAAATGTGCATTTAATGCATTATTATTAGTTACTTCTAGGAATTTGTAGATTGTGACTCCTAAAATGCTTAGACTGACTCTCCTTTGAGTTTAGGGAACCTAACAATGCGAGGCATGTTCTTTGTAAAAGTGTAGACGCCCTCATAAGCCTAATTTCTAGTTCTGCTTTCTTGCTGCACCCACTCAGTGAAAGAACCATAATCATTATTGCACAAAGGAAACTAGAATTTGGGCTAAAAATCAGAGAACCTCTTATATGTATATATAGTCTTTGAATTAGATCCTTTTATTTTTTTGGCTTTGTGTGTGGTTCACACCATTGCCACGTAGCTGTCAGATGATGCATGGTGCTTGGAGTGGTAATTAATGTCACGGCAGAGATCTTTTGTATGGAGATTTTTGTATCCAGTTTTTAAACTTTTATAATCAGATTAACTTGCATTTAATTGTGCGCAACCAAAAGGCATGTTACACATGCAAATACTCCTAGTAAAATGTAGTATGTCAATTCATTAACCAGAGTATAATATTATTTCATCTAGTTAGCACTTATTCATTGAGCACTTATGCACCAGGCT
Organism: Homo sapiens; assembly: GCF_000001405.40. Taxonomy (NCBI): domain Eukaryota; kingdom Metazoa; phylum Chordata; class Mammalia; order Primates; family Hominidae; genus Homo; species Homo sapiens. The sequence continues at coordinate 111,980,081 of NC_000003.12, forward strand.
TTGAATTAATCCTTATGTTCAAAGATGATTTATGAATATAATTATATGAATCTGTCTACTTAGAACTTACATTAAATAAATTATAATCATCTCGGGGAAATTATGTTTTAAGAGGTGATTTCTGGAAGAGGATAGTGAGAATTTTTTTTAGTGCTCAGCTGAGTAGATGGGAAATGAACATGAGTGGATCAGCATAACTGGTCCTTACCAAAAGTTTTAAATTTGGCATATTTCTCTATACTTTGAAACAAGCTTTTATGTAAAAAGGATAACTTTAAGGCCTTCAGTTACATCTTTAAAAAATCAACTTCTTAATTACAAAATGGGGAAAACTTTAGCAGCACACATGGATTCTCTTCTCAAGACTGAGAAGTTTTCAAAGTGGAGGACGGCTTCATTTAATATAAAAAAAGAAAATGTATTAGTCCAAAGACTCTAAGGAAGTACACAAAACTAGTGTCTTTGGAAAGAAGAGGTGGGATTATAAATGACTCTTTTAAAAAAATATCTACTTGTTTCTTAAGAGCAAGTATAGATTTTATAATGGGGGAAAATTTGAAAAAGATGAAGTAGGATAATCTTATGAAGTTCACCAATTGTACTGTTGTACTTAAATTACACTAAAATCTCTGTGTACCATTTACAGAAAGCCAAACCAACAAAACGCAAAGTGATTGCATAGGTCTATAAGAAATCTCTTTCCAAAAACGATACTATCATATGTTGTTTTTAAAGAAACTGCTCATTGAACCCACCTCAGCTGACAATAAAATTATGAGTTGTTACCATGGCTCATGATTTCTTGGTTGAGGTAGGCGGATGGGTGGGCGGGTGGATGGGAGTCAGTAATAAAAAGGGCACAGCACGTCCTCCTTTGAAACAATTTTGCAAGGGCAGACCAAACCTGTTTCTTCCCTGACCCCCAAGAAAGTAGGGGATGAAAGGCCAGGCATGGTGGCTCACACCTGTAATTTCAGCAATGGGAGGCCAAGGTGGGAGGGTCACTTGAGCCTGGGAGTTTGAGACCAGTCTGGGCAACATAGTGAGACCCTGTCTCCACAAAAAATACAAAAATTAACCAGGTGTGGTGGTACATGCGTGTAGTGCAGCTACTGGGGAGGCTGAGGTGGGACGATGGCTTGAGCCTGAGGAGTCGAGGAAGTCCAGGCTGCCGTAAGCTAGGATTGCACCACTGCACTCTAGCCTGAGTGACAAGGTGAGACCCTGTCTCAAAAAAAAAAAAAAAAAAAAAAGAAAGAAAATAAGGGATGTGAAACTTGTCAAACAAAAAATAAATTTAAAAACAAAGCCAAAAATCTCACAAGAGAGGGCTGAAACTATTGCGGGTAAATCTGAATGTTGATTGATACTGTTTAGAATACATGATAAAGCAGTAACAAGAAAATGTTTTTCGATTAGTCTCTGTCTTTTGTTGTCTTGAAATTCCTACCGCATTGTGTATTTTGGAAGAATCAAGATTGGACTTTGCTCAAAGAAGTTACTGATGTTGGCATGATTTTAAAACTGGAGATCTCATGCACAGACTTACTTAGTACTTTGAGTCTGTTCTTGTTTTTTCTATTAAATGGAAATAGTATTTAACATCAATTCATTGAGATAAGAAAGTTAAGATCGAAAATATATATGGTTTTCCAAAGACTGAGTTTACAAACCATAGTTTACTTTTTGTGTACTTTGTTTAGCTTGTAGACAAAAGACGTCACTCTCATTCCTTAATCGACCAGACCTTCCAAACCTGGCTTATAAGAAGCTAAAAGGCAAAAGTCCAGGAATTATCTTCATCCCTGGCTATCTTTCTTATATGAATGGTACAAAAGCGTTGGCGATTGAGGAGTTTTGCAAATCTCTAGGTCACGCCTGCATAAGGTAGGAACAACACATTACTGAGAAAATATTGCTACTGTTAGCATTACAGTGGAGAATTACTTCTGTTCTAATCAGTTGAAGTAAATGCCAGCATTTTTATACATTATTTTAATGGTCTGTAAACTTGCATCTTGTGATTTAGGGTAATTTTAAAAGCAACCTTTAAAAGACCTTTTTTAAAGGCCTTTGTGCCACGCTGACAACCCTGGCAGAAAAGGACATCTTAAGGGAAATATTGGTAACTAAGCTCTTTAGAGGCAATAATGTATGTGACAACAAACAGATATACTAGTTGGCTTTCATACAGTCTCTTATATTATCATTTTCCACTGGGGACTTAAGGACTTTATTTGATCACTGTTTATCTAAAAGTAATACATGTATTTAAAAGTATCATAATGCAAATTTCTGCTGAGTTTTCTCTTCCCTCTCCTGTAATCTGAATATGTATAAGCATAAATAGGGATAAGTGGTACTTAACTCAAGCTTGATTTTATAATTCCTAATTTTTCACACTGAGAGTTATTTTAGTAAATAACTTTATGTTATTATAAGGTCTACCTGTAGCAGTTATATGTTTAGTATCCACTGTCCAGAAGAGATGGTATGATTTCGTAAAAAGAAGATTAGCCTGGAATTCAAGAAACATGAGTTCTAGAATAAATTCGAGCAATAACTATGACAAGACAAGTAAGTTAATAAACATTGGACCTAAGTTTGTCATCAAAAGAAGGAGGTTGGACTAGAGATAACTTCTGAGTTATTTTCTAGCACTAACAGCCTAAAAATCTATCCATCTAAATTTTTAGAAGAGTGACTCACAAACATTCATTCAATAATTCTAGAAAATACAGCTGTATATAAAACTTTCAGACTACCTGTTCAATATATTAGCAGCAATTATGTCAATTATAAAATTAAATAAGATTTAATCTTATTTCTTTTACCAAACTAATGAATTATTTTATTTTCATACTCAGAACTATGTTAAAATCTGTTCTGACTTATTCTGAAGATTGGAGTACTTTTTGGAAATAGATTCTCTAGCACTATACTGAGTGCTGCATAATAACAAAGAATTATAAAACATTGTACTTGCCTATGAGGACCTTTCATTCAGGGTGGGGAAACACAAGATAAAATACATGTTAGAAATTTGGCAGAAATACTCATCAGAATGTGATTGTGTCAAAAGAACAGTATACTTAATTGCATAAAGTTAGAGACAGTGGGATTGAAATAGATAAAGGAACGTTGAAGAATAATTCAGATTTGGGTGGGAGGGAAGTGCTGTCCAAGGAGGGGGACTGTCCTGAGCAGAAGATCATAATATCAAAAATATTGTTATCACTTTTCTTTTTTGCCACTGAATAAATTTGAATCGAGAAATCACCATTTTACCAGTTCTAAAATTTCAGCTTTGAGACTATGAGAGTTATAACCAGTTCCTGTCTCCCTATAAGACATAATGTGGCTTTTCTGCATTTTTGGATCCTGTGTGAGTATACCTTCATAAAGAATAGTGCTTAACTACAAATATTTAGTTTGAACAAGTTCCATTTTATTTGCTCTTATCAAAGTTCATCACAGTCTAATTATTGTTAACTATTGATTGCACTTTATTATAAGAGATTTTATCTTCTATTCTCTAATTTTTCAGGTTGCTTTTGTTGGGATTTTTTGCTGTAAAATTTAGATCTTCAATGATGAAATAGTTTATTACACAAGAAATAAAACATATGACTATATGAAAATGTTTTATTAAGGTCCTATCACCATGCCTAAAATAAGACTGATTCAGATCTCAGGAATATAACATATGGTTTTAAGGCTGGTATTCTCTCATAATTATTTGTAATAGAATTTTTATTTGGGACTACATCCCAGACTATTGAGGCTGCTAAGATGGAGATGTGCTACTGTTTAAAAGTTTTAAAGTGCTGAATATGTTTGGATTATCTTTGTCTCTGGATTGGGGTTCAGTGAGAGTTAACTATATTTTTTTAATGGTACCCTGTTAGTATCACCAAGTATTTATATTTTCCTTCATGAAGGAGCTGTACAAGTATTTTGCATCCTCACCATATATTTGGAAGGCAGCTAACTGTAAAAGATGCCACATTCAGCCATATCCAATTGCCACCTATGAAGAGAGAAAAGGAGAAAATTAGTTGGTGTCTTTCCCCCTTTTTTCTTCCACCCCTTCTACCCATCTCTTACATACCCTGGATTGAGGGGGAAACAGTAACTGATTTAGACTGCACCAGTTGCCCTGTTCTATTTCCCAAGGATCCAAAATCGTTTCACTTCAAACCTAAAGAAAAATTTAATTTCTTCTCTCCCCTATTTCTCATAAATCCCTTACTTACTGTACCAGCCATTCCACCAAAAAGGTTCATTTGAACTAGGCTCTGGGAAAGGATATCAGTAAAGAAGGGAAAATATATCAGTAAAGAAGATGATGGAAGAAGGTATTCCAGGTAAAGGAATCAACAGTGTGAGATGTGAAACACATAAGAAAACATAGACCTATTTTAGGAACAGTAAGTTCATCAATTTGTCTAAAGCAGTAGTATTCCCTGATGAAGTGAGTACTACTGTAAAATTTAGTAGTAAAAAAAAATTTACTGTAAAATTTATTGTGAAATCAATCTGAAATGACCAGAATATAATGGTTCAAAAAAACAGGCCAAAGCACTAAGTGTTTATGTTGTATATCACAGGGAGCACTGAAGGTAATGCTAAAATGTTAAAGAAAAAAACTGACATGTATATAGTGACTCTATTTAAAGACAGAGTCATAGAGACACAAGATAGAAGGCTACTGTGATAGTCTAGGTCTAAGATGACAAATAAACACCTACACCAAGATACTGGACTTACCAAAGTACCAAGAAAGGGATGAACATAAGAAGAAATGAGAAAGAATGGTGATGGTATAGGGCAGGCAGTATTCTGTGGCCTGGAAAAACAAACGAATAAAACAGCCTCCTCTTAAGGAACTGACATTCTAGTCAGAGGGAGATGAATGTTTAAAAACAAACTTGATTACAATACAATATGAAAAGTGTTGAGTACATACAAAAGAAAGTGACTGGTACTAAATGGGGCATATATGTCAAGTGAAGTTCCTCAGAGGAGGTGACATGACTTAAAGGGTGACTACGAATTTGGGTTGGGGAGGAAGCTGTTCTTGGCAGCAGAACAGCATGCTAAGGCTCTAAGTTATAAAAGGGTGTAACTGGGAATTAGGAGTAGTTCAGTATGACTAGAGTTTAGGTAACCTGTGGGTGTGGTATGATACTTTATACCACCATGATTTTTTATTGATTTGATACCCTTAAGGAGAGGTAAAATTCATAGATCAGACAGATAACTGAGCCTAGATAACTAGGAAGTTGGAAGGAGAAAGGGATGGGTTGGTGATGATGAATTTTATTCTGGTCTCCTTCCCTTCCATCAATTCACTAAATATACACTAAGCACCTACCACTCGCAAGGAACTGAACTAGGCACTAGGAACGCATTGAAACAAAGCTTGTGCCCATGTGGAACTTTCATTCTAATGTGGGAGATGGACCATAAATAATCAAATATATCTCAAGTAGTAATAAGTGCTATGAAGAAAATGAAGCAGAGTAAAGAATTAGAGAATGATGAAAGCAGCACAGTTTTAATAATTGAATGGTCATGGGAGGCTTTTCTGAGGATGTAATATTTGAGCCAAAGGCCTGAATGAAGTGTGGGAGCAATCTAAATGGCTATCTGGAGGAGAGTATGCCATGTGGAGAGAAAAGCTGATGAGATGGGAGCTTCAAGAAGCAAAGCGAAGATACAGTTGGGAGGGAGGGAGGGAGAGAGAGAAAACAATGAGAAATGAGATCAGAGAGGTGATCAGGCACCAAAGTATGGTAAGGGCTCTGGATTTAAAGATTATAGAAAGCCTTTGGAGGGTTTGCAAGACATGGTTTTGTTTTAAAAGGATCACTCTACTATATAGGGAAAGACAATGAGTGTGAAAATGCAAACAGGAGACTTTTTAGGAGACTATTGCATTCAGTTAGGTTGAGAGACAGTGTGACTAGCAACAGGCTGGTAGCAGTGGAGGAGGTGAGAAAGTGATTGGACACAGGAGGTATTTGAAAGTTAATAAGCCAATAGAATTTGCTAAAATACATATTGATTGTGATGTTTCACTATAAGCATTATAGTAATGAGGAAGGTGCTATCTTTCTTAAAAATTAAAGAAGCAGATATATAGATATTTAGATATAGATTTTTTTCCCCTTTTTCCAGGTTTGATTACTCAGGAGTTGGAAGTTCAGATGGTAACTCAGAGGAAAGCACACTGGGGAAATGGAGAAAAGATGTTCTTTCTATAATTGATGACTTAGCTGATGGGCCACAGGTGACTGTTTTGTTAAGTATGATGATAATTACTGTAACCTCGTATTTAAGCTGTTTGTTTTGTTTTGTTTTGTTTTTTGAGATGGAGTCTCGTGCTGTCACCCAGCCTGGAGTGCAGTGGCGCAATCTTGGCTCACTGCAAGCTCTGCCTCCCGGGTTCACGGCATCCTCCTGCCTCAGCCTCCCAGGTAGCTGGGACTACAGGCACCCGCCACCACGCCCGGCTAATTGTTCGTATTTTTAGTAGAGATGGGGTTTCACCGTGTTGGCCAGGATGGTCTCGATCTCCTGACCTCGTGATCCGCCCGCCTGGGCCTCCCAAAGTGCTGGGATTACAGGCGTGAGCCACCACACCCGGCCTAAGCTGTTTCTTTAGATATGAAAATGTTTTTATTTAATTTAAATGTTTAATCCATTTTGATATTTGATTTAAAATGATTCTATTTTTACTTTCTAATTTTTTATTGTACATATTTTGTTTTATGTTTATAACCTGTTCTATCTTAAAGACCTAATGTTTTATTTTATTTTATTTTTAGATTCTTGTTGGATCTAGCCTTGGAGGGTGGCTTATGCTTCATGCTGCAATTGCACGACCAGAGAAGGTCGTGGCTCTTATTGGTGTAGCTACAGCTGCAGATACCTTAGTGACAAAGTTTAATCAGCTTCCTGTTGAGGTAAGTCAAAAGTCACTTTTGCCACCTCAATATATTTACCGCTTATACTTCTTCTGCTCCCTCTTTCTTTGAGGGAAGGGGGGACAGAAAACAATAATTCCTTTGACTTACTGTGCTGGCCCAACTTTTGTCTTAGCTGCCTTTCTGTACACAACCTCTTTTCTATCTTTAACTATTTGTCATCTTGTTTAAGATTTCGTTTCTTCATAGTCTCTTCAAATCATTCTGCCAAATATTTGAGACACATTAACAATATCACACTTTGAAGTTTCTTTTTTTTTAGCCACATTTTCTTTATTATTACATTTACTTATTTGAATCATACATCGTGATCTCCTTTTGGTCCTCTTACTTTGTGGCATATGGGGAGTAGTGCCTGTTCTTATGACTATGTTAGAGTGGGCTAATGAACTGAAACTGCAGTCATCCCTTGGTATCTGAAGGGGATTGCTTCCAAGACCTCCCATGGATACCAAAATCCACAGATGGTCAAGTCTCTGAGAAAAAAAATGGTGTAGTATTTGCACATAATCTTGTATAATCTAAATCATTGCCAGATTACTTAAAATACCTAGTACAATGTAAGCGCTATGTAAATTGTTGCTATACTGTATCGTTTAGGGAATACGGACAAGAAAAAAAGACTGTACACGTTCAATACAGAGGTAACCTTTTTTTTCCAGATATTTTTGATACAAAGTTAGTTGAATCCATGGATGCAGAAACCATGAATATGGAGAGCTGACTGTCTTTGTTTTAGCCTAAAAGCAGCCTCAGTTCCTCCCAACAGAACTCTCCAGACAGATATTGTCAGTCAGAGTGACAGAGACACAGAAATTAAAGAAAACAGAGCAGTAGTTAAAAAATATGGTCCCTAGGCTAGCAGCAGCAGCAGCACCTGAGAACTTGTTAGAAACCCAAATTCTTGGGTTTTACCCTGAATCAGAAACTGGGGGTATGGCCCAGCAGTCTGTGTTTTAACAAACCTCTTGTAAAGTTTGAGAACAATGCTTTAGAGAATGGGGGAAGAGGAGAAGGAGGTTCAGAAATTTAAAAAAAAAGAAGAAAAAACGTATGCAGTGTTGAATAGTAGAATGTCATTGATTTGCCTCAAGTTCTGCATTAATACCTGTGCCATATATTAACTAAGTTCATTCTTAGTTCACGTTGTTTTAAGCTCCTTAAGAAATAGCATTGTGTGTGTATTCAGGTTTCTCATATTATTTCCTATCAGAGCTGAAATTACAAAGCTGGTCTTCCTTGAACTTATCTCCTGTTTCTGAATTTTGTTCACTTTCTTGGTGGTTTCTCATACATAGTTGCTCAATGTCTTCATGTTTTTCCCACCTTTGACATTTTGTGGATCTAAATGTGGACTCCTTGCTCCATCCTCTTAACTCAATAATACAGCGCTTCTTGGGTAGGAAATTATCTCAAAGACATAGCAGATTGAAAAGGAGTTGATTTTTGGGGGTTGGGGGTTTATTGTATTTTGTAATTATTGGTAAATGACAAAACCTGTGTACATTTGTTTTGGTTTTGTTTTTATTTGGGGGGGTTTTTAGGGTATCTCTGTTGCCCAGGCTGGAGTGCAGTGGTGCAGTCATTGCTTACTGCAGCCTTGACCCCTCAGACTCAAGAGATCCTCCCACCTCAGCCTCCTGAGTAGCTGGGACCACAAGTGCACACCACTATGCCTGGCTGATTTTTGTATTTTTTGTAGCGATGGGGTCTCGCCATGTTGCCCAGGCCGGTCTTGAACTCCTAGGCTCAAGAGATTCTCCTGCCTTGGACCCCCAAAGTGCTGAGATTAGAGACACAAGCCACTGTGCCTGGCCATGTACATTTCTCTGCGTGTGTGTGTGTTCACATCAGTCAGAGTGAGCATAGGGTAGATACTTTCTAATTGAGAAGATTTATAATCTGCAAATCAAGGCATTTTTTGCTAATACTTACTCAGATAAGCAGTTGTTAACAGAAGCATGTTGAGCCCTTGGTTAACTTAAAAGCATGTATAAGGAAAGAGCACCAACACTAAGACCGCTATCTCTTCTCCACATAAACAGCTAGCCCTAACAATGTCAACGGAGCAGATGTGGAGATTTTTACTATCTTTTATAACCCTGGGAATAGTAAGCCCAGCATTTCTCATTTCTTCTCTAAGAACTTGACCATCCTCTTTAACTGACTCTAATCATTATCACCTTCTTTGGACACTAGAGGGCCTCAGACATGATGCACAGCTGTTGGGAATGTAAGCTTCTGAACCACATTGCCTTGATAAGTTTTGTTGATGTAGAACTTAATATATTGTACATTTTCTTTGGGTAATGTCTTTGCTGTTTCTGAACTTTTTGTTCTTGAGGACTTGAGACATACAACATTTTATAAAGTTAACTTTGTTCTTCAGATGGACCATTTTCATTCAATTCAGTGGCAGGTAGCAGAGCTAGTTGGGGGCCAGGGATGCTTAAAATGAAACTATTATTAATTCAGTGTCGCCTTAATTAGCAAAGCCTCCACTTCAGCTAATAACCAGTGGGACTAAGTTCTATCTGCTGAAGTATTTACAAATTCAGAAACAATCCTGAGTAGCTTGAGGATAGCTAAATGTCATCTTTACTTTAAATATTTGGTTCATATGTTGTTTTAATACAGAGAATGCCATGATATTGATATAGATTTATATACATTTTATAGTTTTGTAGAATTTCATTAATTTTAAATCATTTGGAGACATATTTAGAAGTACAGTTTTTTTTTTACTGAATTATTAAGTCTTTTTGGAATTAAAAATACATTAAAGCCTAAGTACATATAGATTATATTATGTCATACATATTTTTTAAGTTCTTGTTTTCCTTTTTACATTTGCAATAAATTAACAATTTTAAACATGGGAAAATCATAGTATATTTGTTGAAACTTTAAATTTTTCAAATATGTGTAGCTTTTCTTTCCTTATTTTTTAAAATTTTTGATAAGATGTCCATTCCATTTTTCTAGAAATGCCCTTAATATTATATGATTGTAACAGTCTTGAAACTATTCATAGCTTGATTTTTGTTTTAGTTTTAAGCTGTGATCATCTTTCCAATAATCTATTATATATAAATAAACTTTTATGCTCAAAAGTGTTCATGACAATACCACAGTATGAGATGGTCAAACTAATTAAGTCAATTATGGTGGACTGCTGTGCAGCATTTAAAACCTTTTCATAGAATTTTTTAAACCCAGAAATATATGTACTAAATAAACAGCATAGAAAACTGTATATGAATGTGTAATATGTATGTATTTTACATATTACACAAAAACCAAAACACATATAGACAAATATTGGAAGGAAATAAGCCATATATTAATGGTTTTTCTCTCCATAAGATAGGATTATGGGTGATTTATTTCTTTAATTATTTTTATGTTTTCTATAATGACTGCATGTTACTCATTATACAAAATTCTAATTTTTTTAGAAAAATTAAGATAAATTATATAAAAAATAAGAGTTCTCAAAAAGTCAAAGGACATGTATATTTCATTTTAAGGGAATAAATATACAGATATTATTGTTTGGCTTTCAGGAAGTATGTGGAAGACTTCTTTGTCATCCAGAACAAAAATCAAATTTTTTCTCTTTTATAGGACTCTGGAAGGAAAAACTATATTTCTTTACATTCAGCCTAAAATTGCATGAGTATGTGTATGATTGTTACAATGTAATTACTCTTATTTTTTTATTCTTAGTTCTGTGTTTGATTCTTTCTCTTCTTTCCCTATGCCATATCCATTTTAGCTACTTATAAGCACTTTTAGGTTTACAATTTTGAAATCTAAACAATGTTTATTCTAAGATTTGATTTTATTTAAATATGAATGATACCTGGACTGATTCCAAGAAATTGTAGTGCTTTTCTCCCTCTTCATTTTTCTTTTCAGTTGGGGTGAAGCAACATCTGATTTGAGATAGTGTATGATAAAATTAAATAAATTTAAATTTAAGTTTGAGTCTTAGCCATAACAGTTAGTAGCCTAGCCCTGAACTGTTGCACACAGTATTTCATTTATCTAAACCATAATATCCTCTTTTATAAAAATAGAATAATAACAGAATTATTATCAGAATCTTATGGAATAATATGTATAAAATACCCATCACAGTACCTTGCATGTAGTAATTATTGATAATTATTATTGTTATACTTTTGTTATCTCTATCCTCTTATTCAAGAACTGCTTTCATTAGATTACTTAAAACTATTGCATGTGTTAATGTTGCCTAAAGTCACAAATACTTTTATTTTTCTTTCTTTTTCCAATAGCTAAAAAAGGAAGTAGAGATGAAAGGTGTGTGGAGCATGCCATCAAAATACTCTGAAGAAGGAGTTTATAACGTTCAGTACAGTTTCATTAAAGAAGCTGAACATCACTGCTTGTTACATAGCCCAATTCCTGTGAACTGCCCCATAAGATTGCTCCATGGCATGAAGGATGACATTGTACCTTGGCATACATCAATGCAGGTTGCCGATCGAGTACTCAGCACAGATGTGGATGTCATCCTCCGAAAACACAGTGATCACCGAATGAGGGAAAAAGCAGACATTCAACTTCTTGTTTACACTATTGATGACTTAATTGATAAGCTCTCAACTATAGTTAACTAGTATCACATGTTTAGTTGGTATGTAAACTAATGTATCCAGAAGATTGGAAGAGGGATAAGAAATGAAAGATCCTGATACTTTAGGTTTTTCCCTTTCCTCTATTTTGTAAATATAAGATGAGTATTATTTAATGATGTATTTGCATAAGTAATGCAAATTGTGAAGAAGGACCAGCTGCTGTTTAGAAAATTTTCTCCTTCCTTCTGTCCTTGATTTTTTTTCATTAAAGTATTTCCTTTTTTTAATTCAAGAAAAGTTTACCTTTCTTATGCTTATGTTAGCTATGCCAGCTCTTAATTGCATCCTTTTCTAATTAGGATTATTAATAAAGCGTGAATATTTTGTTTTTTATTATAGACAGAAATTTGTAACATTACTTCTGATTTGAAAATGCAATTCACAAAATATAGGGAAATTTTTATTGAAGTAAATTTGAAATGATGGAGAAATTTCAGAAGCATAATAAAGTTCACAATAAGGATAATACTTTATATAATGTATAAAGTATATATAATATAATATATATGTTATATAAACTGCACATTATATTCAAACTTAAAATTGAGCTTTTTTTTTAAAGGCCCAAAATTGTACAGTGATACAAGGAGCTATTTCTAAAATTTGGCTTATGTATAATATATTTAAATGGGGAATTTCATCTAAAACAATGATGTAGTATTTTTAATATTCTGATTGGTAAAATTAAAGAGGAAATTAATCTTTATATATTATTTCTTGCAGAAACATTCATTATTTTATTAATATTGCCCTAAGTACAACTAGGCAAGTGATTGCCACCTAAATCAGAAGACGTTCTAAAGTCAGTAAGAAAGTGTGAAATGCTAGTATAAAGGTTATTTTTTTTCTTTCCTAAATAACTAAAGTGAGGTGTAGATTGAGCCTTGATATTATTTAGTTAATGTTTTTTATTAATTAATTTTGGCTGGACTTTATTTAGCTTGATTAGGTTATTATCTGTCAAACCTTTTAAGTTGACAACATGACTCATATATATACATGTGTATAAGATGAGCATGTGTCGAAGACTTATTCGACTCATTAATGAGGAAACCAGCAGATAGTAAACCTGGTTCAAAGTACAATTCAAGAAACTGAGTATTTATGGGCATTGAAGAAAAAATGTTGAGATAAAATTGCTGTGCAGAAAAAAGTGTTAATGAAGCCGACCTGACTACTTAACCTTAGAGACCTGCTTTACAAGGTTGGCCCTTGATTGGCATCTGGGAACTTGGAGTTCAGGGGGCTTCCACCATTCCCAGAACTGATCAAAGTAGCTTACTATATCTAAACTGTAAAACAATATAGTTTCTCCTGAACACCTGCTTTCCTTCTGGGAGTCTGGAATTTTGGTATGTGCCAGGCAGAGACTACCTTTGTGACCAGCTCCCAGTAAAAACCCCAGGCACTCAGTCTCTAACAAGCTTTTCTGGTTGACAGTGTTTCACAAGTGCTGTTACAACTGGTTGCTGGGAGAATTAAGCTCATCCTCTGTGATTCCACTGGCGGAGGATTCTTGGAAGCTTGCACTTAGTTTCCCCTGACTTCACCCCATGTGTCTTTTTTCCTTTGCTGATTTTGTTTTGTATCCTTTCACTGTAATAAATCATGGCCGTGAGCAGAACTGTATGTGGAGTCTTATGAGTCTTCCTAGCAAATCTTCAAATTTGGGGGTGGTGGTGAGGGCCTCTCCACAGATACAAAACTGGTTTATGTCCTACGGGGCAATTAAACTACAATCCATGGGTTATCTTTTATACTGGACAAAAATTACAAACAGCAAAGATAAATCATCTATGAGTGCCACAGTCTCTGGTGCTGGAGTGGGTTGATAGAAGATGGCACTGGCTATTCAAGGACTTACTTTGCCTAGACATTGCTAGGTGTGAGGCTTGTTAGGAACATGAAGGCAAGGGCCCTTGCCAATGATGGTTTTCTGCGCAAAATAATAAATATGATTTGAGATTTATAATACATATGTAGAGACAGTATAGCATAATGGTTAAGGTCAGAGACAAGCTTGGTTTTTAATTTTGGCTCACCATTTACTAGCTCTGTGACTGAGCAGTTAACCTCACTGAGTCTCAGTCTCTTCTGTAAAATAACATAAACCTAGATAATGCGGTGTAAGGTCTAAATAAGCACAATACATTTAGAACAATGACACAGGAGGCAGTATCTTTTTGCTTTTCATTATGTACAGAACACAGTCCCTTCAGAGACTGATGGACACAATCAATGAAGGCATAGGAAGGAAGGTGGAGGCAAGGAAGTGGGTAGGTCTTCTAAAGCTGAACTGAACTGGACTGGATTTGACCTTCCTGACCTCAAGATCCCAAATAGGAATGTTGTATGGTATTCTTTCAAATGCTAATGGTTTAAAACAAAAAAGGAGAAGGAACCTTTATTACCTAAAGTTAGGAAAATCTTTTAAAATTTAATCTAGCTTTGCAGAGGTTAACATCGCAAATTCCAAATGAGTTTGCATCCATGAGATTTAGTGTATTTTAGTGCGCTGTTAATTATTTGTTTTTTCTAGTTTTCCCCAAAGCTCCTTTCTGAAACCGTTCCATCCCATGTATTTAGTGACGTGTAAAATGGAGGAATAACTGGGAGCCCTTCAGTGCCTTAGCCCCTGGAACTTAGTCATTATTTAAAATAAGTGACACGACCCCTCTAAATCTCAGTATGCACAACAGAAAGGGATAAGGCAAATACCATTTGAAAAGAAGGCTAAGTGAAGCCACGTAATCTATTTTGCTTTTGCTACATCTGTTGAGATTAGAGGCATTTCCAGATACAAATCTAAAAAGTACACCATTCTCCAAACAGCCAATATAGAAACGTCTCTGGAGAATGAGAAGAAAAAAGCTCTGGGCAACACTGAGTTTTATAAAATATGGAGATAGAAAGCTGAAAGAATTACTTGCCACATAACTATTCCCAGGATAGTCCCCAAAGCGAATATGTCAAATACTCATTAAATTTGGAACAGTTAAATCTAAAGAATTTTTATATTCTGGGGTTGAGGTGGGTGGAATTTCAATATACCTTTTTAAGATCCTCTAAATATAGATCTCAAGTACTTCTTAGTTTAGAAACAATCGTGGAGATGTGTAATGGTTGGATGAAAAAAATGTGATGCTTTGGTGTATTTAGAGAATATACCTAGAAAATTGCAGGCAATTTTTTTTAACCAAATGTATCTTTTGGGGAAAATATACATTCCCATTTTGTCTTCCCCTTTTCCTAGGCTTTCAGGGTTTTGCAGGTAAACTTCTACTAAAGAAGAAGCTCAAAAGTCAGTCTCTCAGAATCCTTTCCTTACTCATCCCCATCTCTCTTTTTCAGGAAGTTTGTTGCTGGGTCCTCTGGGCTCTCTTGTGAACAGTACTCTATCCATGCCTTTTTGGTACCACTTGCTGCTTTGAAATTCTCAGTTTATATCCTAGCTTCCTTCTCTCAAAGGATGACCAAGGTCAGAAGCTTTATTTTGACATTGTTTGTCCTCAGACACCTCTGACTATGCTATATCAACCCCTTTACTGGCTCCTCCTCCTTGCCCACCTTATAATGTTAATACTCCTTGAGTTCTGGCCTTGGCAGTCTTCTCTTGCTACTTATTCACCTTGAGGAACATCACCCATGTTCATGGTTTAAACTACTACCTGCTTGCAGGTGACTCAACTACATACCTACAATCTAGACTCTTGAGCTCCAGACCCATAAAACCAACTGCCTAATGAACTGGGATGGACCATGGGCTTCCCAAATGCAGTAAATCCAAACCTTATTATCTTTTCTGCTTTATGTCTCTCCCCACCTATGAGTCCTCTTAAAATAAATGGCGCCACCATTGCTTCTGTTATACAAGTCAAACTTGTGAGTCATTCTGTCTCCTTTTCCTTTACCCAAATCAGATTGATGATCCTCTCTCTCTATGAAAAAGCTCAAACTCTTGCATGATATGTGAGTCCATGAAAGGCTGGTTTAACAAACAAAAACCAGTTGCTGAAAGCCAGTTTAACAACTGGCTTTTGGTGGTGGGGTGGAAGCCCTGATTTGTAGCATTTGCTAACATTCACAGCATAAATATTCCTGCCCTGGCTGGTTTTAAACTACATCATGACATCTCTGAATGCAAAGCTGGAAGAAAATACCCAGTAGCACACCATCACATAGTATTTACACCATATAGAGACAATAAACGCAAATATCCTCAACATAGCTAACAGTAAAATGTAGCAAAAAAATCAGGAAGTGCTTCATTTTTAGTAACTTTTCTTTGTAATATAACTTATTTAAGAGTAAGTTAATATAACCTTATTGCTAAGAATGACTGAGTTTAGCATCTGTCTCTTGAAATTCCTGAAAATTTAACCATGGGCACTTGCAAACACACCATTTTATAATCTGGAGCCTGCCTGACATTCCAGCCTCATTTTTCTTTCTATGTTTCTCTTCTCTTTAACCCTATGTTTTATTAATACTGGAAGATTTTCACCTTAAATACACTTCTTTTGACAGCAACATTCCCTACCCCTCTTGCCTCACTCTATCCACCTGGCAAACACCTACTTGTCTTTCAAGACTTAAAATAATCTCATTTATAAATCTGTCCCCTGATTCCTTAACACCCTCCTCCAGGTATTATTGTACCAACCTGAGTTCTTTGTGCATAATTTTAGCATGACATCTGGCATTTATTGTTTACAAGTTTAACTTCGTTACTAAACCAAATTGTCATGTATCATTTATTTTTGTGTCTCAGCTATACACATAGGCCCTTAAAAAGTTGTTGAGGCCAGGCGCGGTGGCTCACGCCTGTAATCCCAGCTCTTTGGGAGGCTGAGGCGGGCGGATCACGAGGTCAGGAGATTGAGACCATCCTGGCTAACATGGTGAAAACCCCGTCTCTACTAAAAATACAAAAATAAGCTAGTTGTGGTGGCTCATGCCTGTAATCCTCGCTACTTAGGAGGCTGAGGCAGGAGAATCACTTGAACTAGGGAGTCAGAGGTTGCAGTGAGCTGAGATCACACCATTGCGCCCCAGCCTGGCCACAGAGTGAGACTCCGAATCAAAAAAAAAGAAAGAAAAAGTTGTTGAAAACATTAACTATAATACTAGTAGGCACTTAGTAAATGTGGCATTGAGCTGATTTCCACTGTCACCCCTGAGGAGATGAAGCATTTTTTCTCTGAAGACTTCCTCTGGATTTCTGGACACTTCCATGCCCTGCTGTGGCCCCTCTCTTTGCCATTGTATCCTCTCTAGAAGCATGGGCCCAGTCATTCACTTAAAGCACACCAGCTACTCTGTTATAATATGAGGGACTCTTTGGGTACAAAAGATTTGCAAAACACAGTGTTTAAAAAAAGTCAAGCAAATGTACATCTTTAGAATTGTTTCAAGCTTTGCATATCAAACCAACAACTTCCTTAGAGCCATTCCAGCCATGGAAAAAATTATGTGGTTTCTGTTTGGGACTCCGTTCCCTTAGTCTAAGGTTGGAACTAGCCTTATGGCTCCTCCCCAAGATACCAATGATGACTTCCATAATTCTTCTGTCAATTTCCCTGCTCTAAGCTCTTCCCCTAAGCTCCAAGTGTCCCAACACAGTGCTGCTGTCTTTTGAGCTTCTTCAACTGATGATTCCATGCAGCATCAAGACCTGCCTTAGTCAGCCCTTCCCTTGTCTCTTCCTAAACCTACTGCTCTCCTGAATCTCCTAGTTTTCTGTTTTCAGAGGACTGTCTGCCAGGCCTTCAACGACTGACCGCTAAGTCTTTTTCAGGCAAACCACCCACATATCTCCTAAGTAATTAAATTTTCATTAGTCCAGGCATCAGCCGGTAGGAGATTTTTCTCAATACATGTATTATTTGAGGAGTCATTTCCTGCATAGCTTCTAATCAATTTCCCACAGGGACAAAGATCATCATCCCATGTACCCAGAATTGCTTTATTTAATATGCTTGAGTCAATTTATCAATCTGTTTTCAATGCAAGAATTGTATTTTA
Organism: Homo sapiens; assembly: GCF_000001405.40. Classification (NCBI taxonomy): domain Eukaryota; kingdom Metazoa; phylum Chordata; class Mammalia; order Primates; family Hominidae; genus Homo; species Homo sapiens. Next base: position 111,997,764 of record NC_000003.12, read on the forward strand.
TTCCTCCTCAGTCCAGTAGTTGGCATAAACACTCAGTAAATATCTGTTGAATGAAGAAATGAACCAAACGAAAAAAAATGTGGAATTTTTCTCATGAAAAACACCCAGAGAATTACACAACACCAATGAGACTCAATCTTTACCCACAAATGGCTTACAGTCTAGGAGGACAAACTGCCAAGCCCTTTAGCTGTTATAAAAATGTGGGGCCAACTTAGAGCTAATGGTTTCTCCTGAGTGCTTGTTTGCCCATGAGAAATATTCAGTTACTTCTGACAATATGTCGGTTGTGCCTTCACGGTCCTTACTTCAGATGAAGTCTTTACATTCTATCAAAACCTTTCACTCTAAGAGTTCTTAGTCGTTGAGTTTTGTTTAATTTATAAAACTTGCCGGGCGTGGTGGCTCATGCCTGTAATCCCAGAACTTTGGGAGGCCGAGGCAGTCAGATCACCTGAGGTCAGGAGTTCAAGACCAGCCTGACCAACGTGGCAAAACCCCATCTCCACTAAAAATACAAAAATTAGCCAGGCCTGGTGGCACACACCTGTAATCCTAGCTACCTGGGAGGCTGAGGCAGGAGAATCGCTTGAACCCAGGAGGCAGAGGTTGCAGCCAGCCGAGATTGTGCCACTGCACTCCAGCCTGGGCAACAGAGCGAGACTCTGTCTAAAAATATATAGTAAGAATTATAATAATAATTTATAAAACTTGTTCTTAGTGTCTTTCAGTTAAGAGTAGCATGAAAAAAATACCTCCCTTGAATAAGTCAAACTGAGGCACAACAGTTTCAGGATGGAAGTTTCTGGGTGAAGTTGGGCTGGCAGCTGAACAAGTAAATGATAGCAGCTCTCAGTCCCTCCCCTCCTGTCCTGCCAGACAGTTGTTACCTCAGGGCAGGGGGAAAGTAGCTTGGCTATTCCCGACAGATGGACAGTTGGTAGAACGGACCCTCCCACAGGCCCTCATCCCCTTGTGCAGCTGCTGGCCTCGTAGACAATCGGCTGTCTCCCCAGAAGAGGGAAAGAATTGTGCAGATGAGAAAGAGGCTCTCAGCGGGAGGGAGGCAGGCGGGCTTGATTGACACAGGAGAGGGCTGGCTTTTTGGAGGGCTCTTAGCAACGGCCCTGGTTGAGCCCCCTCAGCCATGAGAAAATCAAATCAATGTGCCATTCTTCCAGGCGCGAGGCAGCAGCGGCTGCAGTTCAACATGAAAGGAGGCTTCCTCCCTGCCTGCTAATTACCTGCTCTTCCCGATCTCATCGTTTCTGCCTTTGCAAAGTGCTACTGAGAAGGGGGAAGAAACGTCCGCCACCCATCCCCCTTGCTGCCTGGGGGTTCAGACTTGATTGTGAGTCCGTGTTATATCATCTGGTCTCATTGATAGGCGGGATAGGGAGGGGGATTCCAGCCCCCCTGGACCGGCCGGAGGTTTATTCTAGAGTTACTGGCGGGTAGCTGTGCTTTTCTTTCCCGTTTGTAGGTGAAACCCCATTGGCTTCATTGGCTCCTTGATTTAAACCACGCCCGGCTTTCTGCCCTCTTTGCTGCTGCTGGGCCAGGTTGCCCAGCCATATCCCAGCCCCGTCTGCAGGGAGCCGGAGGCTGCTGCTGCTGCTATTGTGTGGATGCCGCGCGTGTCTTCTCTTCTTTCCAGAGATGGCTAACAGGGGCCCGAGCTATGGCTTAAGCCGAGAGGTGCAGGAGAAGATCGAGCAGAAGTATGATGCGGACCTGGAGAACAAGCTGGTGGACTGGATCATCCTGCAGTGCGCCGAGGACATAGAGCACCCGCCCCCCGGCAGGGCCCATTTTCAGAAATGGTTAATGGACGGGACGGTAAGGCCGGCAGCGATCTCGGTTGCTGGGGCGGTGGGCAGGGAAACCCTCCAGGGCCCTTTCTTTTAACGTAAGGCTGCGGGAAGAGCTGCTGTTGCCAAGCTCTATGTCTCACCGGGAGGGGATGAGAATGCCTTTATTTCTTCAGGGTTGGAAGATTTGGGCTCCATGCACTATTCCCTAGCTAGCTTGGGGGTTCTCCACTCACCCTAGCATTACATCTCCCTTCTGAGTTGGCAAATTCGAAGCCCTTTTGATTTTTCTAATGAGAATAGAGATAAGTATGTCCTTGTAATTTCCCCAGCCTTCCTGGTGCATCAGCTCTTCTGGGGCCATTTCTTTCCCTAGGGGATCGTGTTGGTTACACAGTAAAACAAAGAAGGGAGGAGGGGGACTAGCCACCTTCACATTCTTGTGGGAGCCATGCACCCTGGAAGTGTTCAGTGTCTGTTTATTGAGTGGATGCGTTCTCATGAAACTGAAAGGAGTCCTTATTTGTTAACTGCATTTCTGACCAAATGCTCGTGTGTGTTTGAGGGTTTGAGGGCCGCAGGCTCTGTGATTCAAACAAGCCCATCCTTTCCTGCAGTCTGTGATTTACTGTTACATAACTGCTATCCAATGCTTCTGCTGGGTTGCCCAGAGCTTGGGTTATATATATATATCTGGGAAAAAGGTACCACATCCACTTCTTTTACACATTGTTAAAATATATGGGATGAGTAAATTGAAGCCTGCTTAATTTGCCTTTTGATAGAAGAAATAATATTAGACTCTATCATTTGAGCTCTGCCAACCTCAGGAGCCACTAAGTCATTCCTCCTTTGAAAGTCTAGAATCACGTCCTCATCACGTCACATCATTCCCTATCTGTAAACATCCTTTCCCTCATCCAGAAAAAGGAAGGGAGGAACAGGGAGGGAATGGCGCTCCCAGGCTACAGGAATCTCTGTAGTAAGGAGCAGCATTAGGAATGGGGTCCTCTGGGTCTTTGGGGCTTAGTATAGGAGCCTGGCTACACAGCCCAGAGCCCGTGCCTTCCTAGGGCCCATGACTTGCTCCTGCCCAAACTGGATGAGCAGTGTCCCACGTGAGCAGGATTCACTTCTCATTCTTGACCTGTAAATACAAAGGGAAACATTGATTCTGTCTCTCCCCTCCCTCTTCAGGTCCTGTGCAAGCTGATAAATAGTTTATACCCACCAGGACAAGAGCCCATACCCAAGATCTCAGAGTCAAAGATGGCTTTTAAGCAGATGGAGCAAATCTCCCAGTTCCTAAAAGCTGCGGAGACCTATGGTGTCAGAACCACCGACATCTTTCAGACGGTGGATCTATGGGAAGGTAAACAGCCCCCTGGCCTTTGGGATTGTTCTTTTCTTCTCTCCTTTGCCCCATCTCCTTGTAAAAACTGCTCACAGTGTTCTTCCCTGTGCCGATTGATGTGTGTAAGATGCTCTCAGCTGTTATCCTGGGGGCAGTGTTTGCCTTCCCCATTGTTATGTTCTATTAAAAGGAGGTACCCTCTTCTAATGGAACACACACCCTGAGGACACAGAGGGGATCTCAGCAACTAATGTAAACAGAAGCCTCAAGCTAGAGGAAGCTAACGGTGACATACTGCCTTTTATTCCTCTTACCACTCCCATAACAAATCACAGCTACCAGAGGAGAAGGGAGGCAGGGGGCCAGTGTGCTTCTTGCTCAACTGCAGCTTATAGACAAAGCCATCTGGGGCTATTTTGTCAATCTGAGAAATAGATAGCACTCCAACCTTTTGTTAAACCTTTATCTGGGAGCTTGGTGACTATGCCTTCCAGATATGCATTCTGCTCAGTGTGACAAGTGCTTGTTTCCTTCACATTTGTGAATTGACTTGCTGAGGAAATCTTACAAAAGCATAAAAATCAAATCACACTCCTGGATGTATTTAATGATCTGCCATTACTGGGGGAAATGATGTGAATGGAGACACTGCCAGAGAATTTGGGACCTATGGTCATGGTGTCGTTAATGTCCCCTTTAGCGAAAATGTGTATACCCAACCATATGACTGTGTTCCTTCTCCACTAGGCCTGCCTGAGGCACCAAGAGATACCAACTAGTCAGAGCAGGACTGTCAGATTGACTCTGCTCTCACATGCTCTTTGTCACTGGCTGTCATTAGTGGCCCAACCAACAGGATCCCCAGGGCAGTGACCCAAATGGCTCTGCTGAGAGTGAGAATGGGGTAGCTTTCCCCTGATGGAGAGACATGGTATTTTAAAGGGTATTCAGATGATGGTTGAAATAGATTTCTAGCAGAGGACCATTCTACTACTCACCACACTATGATTTATAAAGAAACAATTGCCTCCTTAATCCTCGGCGTCATGCAAAGAGCTGGCATTGCATGTTTCCCTCATAGGTGAGTGGTTAAAATCCTACGATGCTAATAAGTTTACCTTGTGGTTTGCCATTATTTAGAAACTCAGATATTCAAAACTGCAGGCCAGGCCAGGCTATGGATCTTGCTGTTGAGCCTCCAAATTCTCATGTAATTTCACAGTTGAGATTTGATCCTTGCTTCCTCGATCAAAACTATGATGATTTTTTCTAGCTAATACAGATAGCTACATAGCTACTGCTTATTGATGTTTTCCTATGCACAAGGCATTGTACAAGTGCTTTATTGCATAATGTCAGTCAGTTCTGCTAACAATCCTATGAGGTAAATGTTTTTTAATTTCCCCATTTCAAAGATGATGATACTGAAGCTTGCCCATGATTTCTTGTGTCCATGAGATAGCAGAGCCAGAATTCAAACCTGGGCTCTCTGACAGCAAAGAATAGAGCCTTAACTAGTCTGCCAACCCATTCTTGAGCCAGGAGGCTTAGTTTCCTTCACCTACACCGTGAGTGTGCTGTTGAATCATAATGGTGACTAGGTGATGAGGATGAAGAGGAGGTGGGGGAGGAGGTGAGGAGGAGGAAGATGACTCAGGACTGTGTAGGACAGAAGGATAGGAGAGTCAGTGTGAATGGAAGGGACCCGGGTGAGTCCCCCCCCCACCCCACAAAGTGCAGGAAGTGTGTGGGAGGAGGAAGAAGCCAGGAGGTCTGTGGGAGGTGAGGATTCTGAGAGCTTTCCTGTCTTCATGCTACTGAGGATGCTTTACTTGTCTCTCCCCTTTTTACAAAGAACACAAAGGTAAACTTTACTCGTCAGAGGTGCTCACAGCAAGTGTGGAGGAGTGTAGGGAGAAATAGTCCCTGATGTACAGAGTCGGAGGAGGTATACACCACCTGCCCCAGACCCGTGTGTTAGACTCCTCTAAAGAAAGAGGGAGGCCTGGAGGGATGAGTGTGGTCGCCTGAGCCAGGGCCGTGGACCAGTCAGCTCCAGGGCAACAAGACAGACACTAAGACTCCCAGCCCTAGGGTAGAAAAATGGGGCTTTAAAGGAAATAAGGAAGGAGGTCCACTCCAAGGGCACCTGGGCTGACAGGTAGCAGGAAGAACTGTAGGTAGGTCATGCAGTAGGTAGGGTTGAACAGGAGAGCTGTCAATAGGAAAGCAGGTGCTTCAGAGTTTCCAAATGGCCCCAAGAGGCCCCAGGGTCTGGTGGCTGACTCTATGGAATGGCCAAAGTCCAGGGAGATTCATTATAAGTTGGAGGGGATATCTGATATTCCCCAGGATCACTGTCTGAAGCTTAGGCCAATGCTGGTCACCATACAACAGGGCAGGAGGTACAAAAGTGGGTCGCTTTGAGCAGAGAAGCAGGAAGAGGGAGGGGAAGGCTGACAGTACTGCAGAGCAGACTGAGCAAGTGAGGCTGGGGTCCTTTCTGCAAGAACTGGTTGTTGCTCATGTGTTTTGGCATAAGAAAGCTGAAATCAAAGGAATGCTGCGGGGCAGGGTTGGCACGTGTTATGTGTCTATGTGCATGTGAGGGGGTACATGTTTGTGCACACAGCTATTAGACTAGCTGTTTGCTTAGCTTAGTCCCACATTCTCCCTACTATTCTCTACCTTGACTGTGGTTTTAATGCTGTCCTCACATATCAACTTACATTAATTCTGGATTCCCTGCACCTTGGTTGTGGTGTCTGTGGCCACTGTGGCTCCAGCCCTCCTTGCCTAGGAGCTTCTTTTCCTCCTCTGCAAGTATTTCATGCCCAACCTCTCACTCTCCCATCTCCCCTACTCAGTGTCTTCTCCCAAGTAGGGCTCTGCTTGCCCACAGCTGCCCTCTGACTCTTCAGGCTGCCTGGATGTTGCAAACCCGTAAGTCTGGAGGAGCCCAGGCTTGCCAAATGCATTCTTGTTTAGGCTTCAATCACTTCTATAGGCTGAGGCCCCAGATGTACCACTATCCTTAATCCCCCCAGGTGAAATACTTCAGATAGACTGCAGGGTAATTGGAATACAAGATTGAAGGCTTTAAAATGAAACCCAAAGCTAAATGGTCCAGAAAAACAACACAATCACAGGGACATTATAGATAAAGCTACTGAAGTCCCCCTAGCAGGGAGCTGGGGTGACCACTTGCTTTCAGTGATGGAGAAGAAGTAGGGTGGCTTAGAGGAATGGAAGGGGCCTGGGAAGTCTTCTCTTGGAAAACAGAAGGTGAATGGCCTGGCAGATTACTTTTGGATTTGCCATGGGTGCCCTGGAAAGGGCAGGGGTGGGGCCATCTCAGCTGTCTATGATTCAGAAGAAAGTACTCTGCAGGTAAGACTTCAGCATCTTTTCTGTGGACAGAAAGTGGGAAAGGAAGAAAAGGCAGAGCAAGAAAGGTGGGGGGCGGGGGGTGTGTGTAAGAGAGAGAGAGAACATATTAGAGCAAGTGAGTGTGCTGGTGTAGTATCAGGACAGAAAGACTGCAATACAAGCTTATCCTGGAAAGTATTACAGGAGAGTACAGGCTCCTGAGTCAGAAATTAGACTGCCTGGCCAAACCTGTGCTCTACCACTTATCAATTAACTTCTCTAAGCCTCGATTTTCTCAGTTGTAAAGTGGGGATAATCATATGTATTTCACAGGGTTGATATGGAAAGTAAACAAGATAGTTCATTAGAAGTGTTTAGCATGGTTCATGATGATAGTAGAAGATAATAAAAGTTGGTAATGTAGAAATTATTATTGTCATTGGCTTGTCTTTTCTAAGATTAACAGAAAATAAGGGAGGGAAAAGTAAGTCTGGAAAGACACTCACTCTGTCTTAGAACAAATGGACTTAGTGGCCACATACAGGAGCTGGTGTTGCGGGGGCGGGGGAGGTTGCCTGAATGACCTTTGCCCTCTCTGACAGCTGTGGAGCTTGTACCTCATCAGATATTCTCTAATACAAATGACCAGGCTTTAGGCATCACTTTATTGACATTTTTTTCCACTTTGTGATCATTACCCTCTTGATGTCTTTCCCCATAATTTACTGCTTTACTAATTCCAGACACAGAAGACCCCACTACACTGGAAAGAGCATGAGTTTTGGAGTCAGGTGGATGGGTTCAAATCTCTTTTGCTACATACTAACTGTGTGACCTTGTTTAAATTGCCTAGTTTCTCAGAGCCTCAGTTCCCTTCTCGGTAAACAGTTCTAATGCCTCTCTTTTGTAGAATTTTTGTAAGGATTAACTATGTAAAGAAGCTAGCACAGTGCCTGGCTACCAGACACCTAATAAATGTTGGCTTTCCCCCCCACACTATTAGTCATTCAGCAACTGATCTTTTTGGTTCATTTGTATAACCACTTGATGTGCATTAAACGTATAAAATTCTAGAATGTCAGAGCAGGCAAGACTCACAGATCGATCAGTCTCATGGCTCTTCTTAGTAATTCTACTGGTATGGATCCTGAACACATGGTGATGTCATGCCTGTTCCCCCTTTGATGACTGGGAGTTAGGGAGGTGTGGTTTACATTGGAAGGGCCTGGAGGTTCAAATATATTCTCTGGGAAGGCGTCACTTTATGTGTCATTCCTCAACAGCAAGAGTGAAGAGGTATTTCACACAGCATGAGAGATCTTTTGGGATATTGTAAGTAAAGTACCTGTAATGACTTGAGACATCACAAGTGTCTGCTGCTCGAAGCCTAATTTTCTTTTTTTTCTTTTTTTTTTTTTTTGAGATGGAGTCTCACTCTGTCGCCCAGGCTGGAGTTCAGTGGCCTGATCTCGGCTCACTGCAAGCTCCGCCTCCCAGGTTCACGGCATTCTCCTGCCTGAGCCTCCTGAGTAGCTGGGACTTACAGGTACCTGCCACCACGCCCGGCTAATTTTTTTTTTATTTTTAGTAGAGAAGAGGTTTCACTGAGTTAGCCAGGATGGTCCAATTTTTTTTTTATTTTTAGTAGAGAAGAGGTTTCACTGAGTTAGCCAGGATGGTCTTGATCTCCTGACCTCGTGATCCGCCCACCTCGGCCTCCCAAAGTGCTGAGATTACAGGCGTGAGCCACCGCGCCTGGCCTGGAAGCCTCATTTTCTATCAGAGCAGCCGTCACTGCATTTATTTCAAGTGGCTGCTGACGATTGTATTTGGTGGGTCTTTCCTTTAGCAATGGCTCTCTAATGCCAGCATGCATCGGAATCACTAGGTAGGCCTGTTAAAGCACAGACTGCTAAGCCCCAACAGCAGAGTTTCTGAGGTAATATGTCTGAGGTGAGGCCAAGAATTTGTATTTCTTACCAATTCACAGACCATATTGATTCTGCTGGTCTGGGAACCCCACTGTAAGAGCCACCACCCAGAGCAGTGGGAGTCAGGGAGGCAAGCAACAAACATTTACAAAATCCACAGAGCAAACCCAACCTCACCCCTGATATTTCTCCCTTGACTGTTGCAATATTTTGGTCTACCTTCAGTGGAGAATTGGAAGCTAGGCCAAAGTTATTATTCAGGGAAATAAGACATGGTTTCATACACTACTGCTTACTTTCTCTGTAAGTCCAAGAAAGATGGAAAAATCCAGTATTCTAAGAGTTACAAGGCTGAGTCAAGACTGATATATAATAGAAGTATAATAGCTCTGAGACAAAGAACTTTGACTGCAAGACTGATTTTTTGTATTAAAAGTAGAAATAGAAAGTAGAGACTGTCCAATCCAAGTTGACACACCCAAATGACTTCTCTTTTACCTTTTTTCTTTGCCTTTATCCTTTTCATTTACTTTTTATTTTCATAGACATACATAAGATACCTTGGAAGTAATAAAGAATTTAATGGAACAAAATCCTTGTTAAAGTATCTTTATAGCATTAAGAATTCCTGGGTTGGGGCCTTACAATGCAGAACCTCCAGTCCTACTCCCCAGGAGTTATAACTTAGTAATATGGGGTGCAGGATCACACTTTGGATAACATTACTTTGTGACAATGTAGGAAATAGGGAGCTCTGTATTGTCAAGTAAAGCTGTCAGTTGCTAGGTGAGACTCTTGCTGAAAACACTTGCCAGGTGAGACAGAGAAAGCTACCATACCATCAGCTCCTTTTTTGTTTAAGACTAATATTTTCAAGGAGTTTTAGGGTCACAGCAAAATTGAGAGGAAGGTACAGATATTTTCCATATGCCCTCTCTCCCCCACAAATGCACAGCCTTCCCCATTATCAACATCCCCTACGAAAGGAGCACATATTGCAAGTAATCAGCCTACATTGGCACATCATTATCATCCAAAATACATAGTTTACATTAGGTTCACTCTTGCTGTTATACATTCTATGCATTTGGGCAAATGTATAATGACGCATATTCATCATTGCGGTGTCATATCAAGTACTGCCCTAAAAAGCTTCTGTGCTTTGCCTTTTCATCCCTCCCACCCTCAACCCTGGCAACCACTGATCTTTTTACTGTCTCAAGAGTTTTGCCTTTTCTAGTATGTCATAAAGTAGGAATCATACAGTATGTATGCTTTTCAGATTCCACCAGCTCTTAGATAACCAGACTCTATCTCATTTTTGCTATCCCTCCATCCAGAAAATTCCCGACACTTAGTTGATCCTTCTTTGAGGAATGTTTTTCTGTTCTTGGAAGAATGGCCTGGAGCAGTGGCTTTCAAGCTCACTTGAGGAGCCCCAGCCATCTACCAAAGCATCCAGGGTGGCTGTCAGGGAGCAAAGCCATTCCAAGCTGCAGGGCTCTGGGCTGACTTCCAACTTGGAACAGAGCTTTTCTAATTATCGCTTTTACTTTTGACTTTGTGGAGGATATCTCTGAAGAAAGGAGTTATTGCTTAACAAATATTACTTAGTACTTACCACATGGCAGACATGGGGATGTTTTTAAACATTGAAAACCAAAGCTTTAGAGTAGTATCTGCTTGTCCATCTGGCTGCCTCACAATCATCCCAGGAGACTGCCCCAGAATCTGAATATTTAAGATTCTTGGGTAATCCTGAAGATCAGTTTAGCTTGCAAATCACCAGGCAACACCTATAACTCTCAAACTTGCCTGAAGATATGAATCACCCAGGAAGCTTATTAAAAATATGGACTCCCAGAATTTACCAAATCATTCTCTCAGGAGAATGACCTCAAAATGCATATTTTAAAAGAGATGCCCCCCTGCAAACTCCCATAAATAATCCAAGAAGCTTGGGAAAGCAGGCTGTGTATGGCCATTTTTTATACTTGCACAATTTTGAAGGCTTTGTCATTAGGCAGATATGACACTTGGTTGTGATACGACTAGTTTTCTTTTCTTGTTTATAAATTTATTTCATTTATCTTATTGTTATTTAGAGACAGGGGTTCCCTCTGTTGCCCAGGCTGGAGTGCAGTGGTGCAATCATAGGTCACTGCAGCCTGAAACTCCTGGGCTCAAGCAGTCTTCCTGCCTCAGCCTCCCAAAGTGTTGAAATTACCGTTGTGAGCCACTGTGCCCAGCCTTTTGTTGTTTTATACTTCGTGCACATCACAGAGCTTCCTTAACCTCAGCGCTTTTTTATGCACTTAAATTTTTGACCCCCAGTTGCAGAAATCAGCTTCTACAAGTGGCCCTGACTCCTGTGTGCCACTCTCATCCAATGGTGCTTGATGTGGGCTTCTGAACTGGCAAAACAAGACAGGGAAGGCTGGAAAGAGGCCCTCTTCCCATCTTGTCAGTCCAAGAGTGCTGGAATTAGGAAACATAACAAGAATAACATAACAAGAAAGTGAGCTAGATGTGAACTGGTTCCAGAAGGCAGATTTCTGGTCATAGTGTTATTTAGAATTTTGGCAATCATTAACTTAGTGTACTAGTCCATTTTTGTTGCTTTAAAGGAATATTTGAGACTGGGTAATTCATAAAGAGGTTTTATTTTAGCTCACGGTTCTGCAGAGTGTACAGGAAGTGTGGTGCTGGCACCTGCTTCTGGCAAGGGCCTCAAGAAGCTTACAATCATGGTGGAAGGCGAAGGGGAGCCAGTATGTCACATGGTGAAAGAGGGAGCAAGAGACAGAAAGTAAAGGTGCCAGGCTCTTAAACAGCCAGATCTTGTGTGAACTCATACATAAGAACTCACTCATTACCATGAGGTCAGCACCAAGCCATTCATGAGGGATCTGCCCTCACGACCCAAACACCTCCTACTAAGCCCACCTCCCACATTGGAGGTCACGTTTCGACATGAGATTTGGAGAGGACAAAACATCCAAATGATATCACTTGGCCAGAACATCAGTAGTGAGGCCCTAACTGCTTTTCTTTGTTTCAGTCTTGTTTGGATGAAGACATGGAGAAACCTAGACAAAAACACTCAAAGACTTATGGGCATTGAGGTTGGTGCCCTTGATTCTACAGGGCCTGAAATCTGTGCTCCAGTTTTATTCCCCTCAGTGTCCCCTCTGGCCTGGCACAAAACAGTCATCATGACCCTTTCAGATCATCCCTGATCGCTGGTTCCTACTGAGGAATGTGCTCCTCATCCAGCCTGCAATGGGGTGCCATGGGAGATGGCAGAGTGGCATGGTGGATTGTTCAAGGGCTTTACATTCAGACAGGTCTGATCTAGAGCTGGGCTCTGTTAACTGATTGGGTGACTCTGGGCATGTTAATTAACCTCTTTGAAATAGTTTTCTCGTCCACACATGAGGAGGAATAATCCCAATTCCATGAGGTTGAGATGACATATACAGTGTCTACCCTATAATTTACATCAAATATCTTGCTTTGGAAAGTTTCTTAAGGAAAAAATTCCAATTTCTTCCTGTCAAATAATGCCCGCTTCCCTAGTGGCTTCTTTCTCAAGTGTAATCACTTCCTTTTCCACTCTCCTGGGATGAGGGTGGAGTTGTGTTGATAGTTCTAGGCTCCTGGATATCTTATCTTAGCCGGCAACTTAGTTCCCTTTGTCCTCTCTGGGTTCATGTAGTAGTCTATATAAGAAGTGTTATATATAACACTTACATATAAGTGTTAGTTCTTATAAGTTCTTATATATAGTCTTATATATAAGAAGTGTTATATAGACTACTACATGAACCCAGAAAGGACAAAGGGAACTAAGTAGGGAACTAAGTGTTGGGAATTTTCTAGATGCAGGGATACCAGGGATGAACTAGCTACTTTGAAGGAGTCTAGTTCTATAGTTTAATAAAACTTTGCTTCTTCATCCGTTGCTCCAGGGTAGTGTCTGTGGGTGATCTGCTGGATGTCAGGCCCCACATTTTCCCAGATCCTGGACATATCAGAATAGCTCTTTCCAACCACCAGAAACAAGTATCCAGGGTGCTCTTTGTAAACAGTAGAGATGAGTGATATACCCTAACCTAAGCCTTCCTTTGCTCATTTATTTCTCTAGGTTCCCTTTAATAGTTCACTGCCTAAGAGCAAGTCCTCTCCCTATCTCTTCACAGAATGAACCTTCAGAATATCATTACTACATTTATATTTTTTAAAAAGTGTCCCATTATATGGTGACAATTACAGAAATGCTTTCACCTGTGGAAGAGTCATTCTAACAACAACTTCTGTGTTTCTTCTTAGTTCTGAATATTCCTTATGCCTTCTCCCTTCTGTCTGCTTCTGAAATACTTCATTCTCCACCACCCCAGTTATTCCTTGAGTCTGGGGGACTATCCATTGACAGCATTTTATCCTTGTATTCACCAACCAGTCCCACAGGGCCTCAGGATTCAGGCAATCACCCTGTGGTTAACATGGGAGGTGGGGGTAGAGGGGAGAGAGGATCAGCTTTCTGTCTCTCCTCTTCGAATAAATGAAGATCCTGAGCTGGACTTCCTCTGAAGGCCTTAATTGTTTATTTTATTACAGTTCATACTCCATTCTCACTTTCCATCTGCCTTTCCCCTGTAATTCTGTATTCCCCAGAGACTGAGCTGCAGCAGCTGGGCCAAAAAACTGCAGACGGTTCACCAGGTCTAAAGAGAGCCTTAATATTTGCCCTTAACTTTCACAGTTCCCCGCCAGGTTAGATGCTGCCTTCCCTTTTAACCCTATGCTTTTTAGCTTTTGTATTCCACACTGGTGCCTTGCATGGACTTTTGGTCTGATTCTAAATTGCAGGCCACCCCCTCAGTAGCATCTTCTCAGTTTAGGACAGGTCAGTCAACTGGAAGAGAAGAAAGGAGAAAGAATGGGAGGAAAGGCTGAGTTGTAAGGCCCAGTTGCTTTCTCCATGGGTTAATGGTCACTGGGCTGCTTAGGTAACAGGGCTCCCCATCCCACTGTGCAGGGGCCACACTGCACATCCCTCTCCCTTGCTCTCCTCTCTGTCACACACAAGCCAGTTGTTTATTGTCTCCATTTAGCTGTTTTCAAGCGGCACAAAATAAAGGCCCTATCACTTGTGTCACATTGAGTGCTTTCTGTGTTGATTTGCTGTTCTTCATTTGCCAGGCCTCTGGCCCAAAGAGCAAAGTGAATACTCAATTTGATGCACATGGATGATTTTATTTATACAGCAACTATGAACGGATTAGAAACTTGGTATCTCTGGTATGTACCATATAGAGAATAATTAACCAGGTTACTTTTTGTTCCTTTCTGAGAAGTTTGGGTATGGTTGTCTTAGGGCCACTTTGGGAGGTGTTTGATAGCACTGCTCCCTTGAATCTGGTCACCTGCAGCCTTCTATCAGAACTTCCCTCCTGGGTGTCCAGCCGTATCCTTCCAGCATTCCTTGGCTCTGACACGTGCTTGGCTTTAAGCTCTTTGTTGGCTTCCAGGGAAGGACATGGCAGCTGTGCAGAGGACCCTGATGGCTTTAGGCAGCGTTGCAGTCACCAAGGATGATGGCTGCTATCGGGGAGAGCCATCCTGGTTTCACAGGTAAAAGCCTCTTCCTTGCCCCCTGGACCACAAGGCGATTTTAACCAGAGGGAGGGTCTGAAGCCTTGGAACTCTACAGAGGCTTTATGTGCAAAGCCCCAGGACCAAGCACTGCTGTCTCCACAACTGAGTTCCCCAAAGCAATGAAAGACTGATGCTTCTGTACAGGCCAGTAACCTAACCAGAGCAGAAATGGTTGGGCCTTTTCTACCAGATACCTCCCAGCTCCACCCAGGTTCTGTTTCTCCTGAGGCTCAGCAGGACTGGATGGCCTTTCTTGAAGGTGGCTTCATGTCTGAACTTGGCTTTATTATGACTTAAGCCAGCTCTGAGCTTTCTTGCCTGCCTGGCTGCTTCCCTCCCTCCCTCCCTCCCTCCCTCCCTCCCTCCCTTCCTTCCTTCCTTCCTTCCTCCTTCCCTCCCTCCCTCCCTCCTTCCTTCCTTCTTTTTTGTTTGTGTACTTAATAAAGGGTAAATATGTCATGTTTGTTTGGAACAGTCATGGTTAATATCTATGTTGTCCCAGTATATCTATTAATAGAACTCTCTTTCACTCTCAACAGCGTCCTAGTCCGGATGACAAATTATATGGTTATCTCTCAGTAAAGGGTCTTTTTTTAAAATGATTTTTTTTTCAGGGGGTAGGGTAGGCAGGAAGCTTAAACTGGGTAATTTAGTTGTAGAAGAGTGCCCTGTGGCAAATAATTGATTATTCATTTCCAGCATCCCCTTTTCTTCTCCTTGACAGTTATTAAAAAAAAAAAAGTTACCAGCTTATGTCATTTTAAAGAACACTCGCCCTGAAAACTTCTGAGAGGTTGGCCATTTGAAACCCTGGTTTTAGTGTCTGTATTATTAGTGAACTACCGTGTTCCCATGTGGCTACACAACCACAATTATGTACTATCTGGCTCTTTACCAAAGTTTGCAGACCTCTAATCTAGAGTGCGACATTTCCCCTCATTAACTCTTAGGTCCCTTGGCTCTAAAAGGGTATATTCATCTTGGCCCTATACAGGGAAAGGGGGAATGGGATTAATGATGTGCTTTGTAAGAAGAACCAATTTTAATTTTCACAAAGGCTTGACGTAGCTGTGAGAGAAAGGGTAAGAAGAAGCAGGCTTCTTCTTAGAAGTCTGAGATGGCCTAAAGTGGTGGGGGAAGAAGGGAGAGTGGGGAGAAAGAGAAACAAGAAAAGCTGAGAGTGAATTCCCCAGAGAGGTAGCCACTGATTCTGCCCTACTCTTTGCTGGAATTCTGGAAAACACCTGGGCTTCTAAAAGATAGGGAGCTCATGCATCATGGTAGGGCCACAGCTCAGGCTAGGGCCAGAGATAGCTCAGAGTAGCGCCACGGCTCAGGGTAGGTCCACAGTGCAGGGTAGGGCCATAGCTCAGAGTAGGGCCATAGCTCATAACCACAGCTCAGGGTAGGACCTGCTGATCTATTTGGGGACCCCCAGCAGAGCCTGTCTAATTGCATATCTTGAAAAGGATTGGAAAACTGTCATAATGACATTATTCCCTCTCACTTTCCTTGTCCAGGAAAGCCCAGCAGAATCGGAGAGGCTTTTCCGAGGAGCAGCTTCGCCAGGGACAGAACGTAATAGGCCTGCAGATGGGCAGCAACAAGGGAGCCTCCCAGGCGGGCATGACAGGGTACGGGATGCCCAGGCAGATCATGTAGGACGCGGCATCCTGCCCCTGGTAGAGAGGACGAATGTTCCACACCATGGTCTCTACGAAAAAGAAATAGTTAGTCACCTTCTGACCTTCTCCTCTTTCTCAAAGCCTTCTGTCCCTGGTTTTTGCAAGTGCTGCATTTCCGCCGAGAATCCGCGTTGCCTACTGCTGCCACCTCCTGTTCATTTAGAACTATGCAAAGACTCCGCTTCCGTTTTCCTGAGCTCCTCGGGCCCCAGAGTCTCTGTTTGATTATTTATTTATTTATTTATTTATTTGCCAAAAATTCTCCTCTTCAACTTATAGAATGCACCTAATAAAGTAATTAGTCTTGTGTCTTACAGTGTAAAGTTCATTCTTTCTCTTAAGGACTCCACAGTCCGGACTGGTTTCTCTTCCATTCAAAGGCCAGAAAGATGGAATTAAGCTTAAGCTGCAGCTGAGCAATATAGGTTAGCTATGAGGACGCTCTTGCAAGATTATCGCGTTTATCTTGGCAATTGGAATAGAAAGTTTAGGAGTCATTTCGCCCACTCTGAGAGCCTAGAGACATAAGTTCAAGAACAAAGTCTTTGACCACAACAAGTTTTTGAGCATGTACTTTGTGCTTATTGTGCTAGACCTGTAGAGGACACAGCCCGGGAGACAAAGCCCGGTTTCTTGAGAAGCTCTTGTATAGGTGCCCAGGAAGTATCTGTTGAATGGATGGAAGGAAGAATGGATGGGTGGATGGTTTTATTGAATGGATGGGTGGGTAGATGACTGGATGAATGAGCAGTTTTCACTTCTCTAGCATTCATCTTCCTCTTACAGACGAGACCCTAGGTCCGATGCTGACATTTATACAGTTTTTTTCATCATCCAGGAGTTATAGACAATGTAGTTTGCTCTCCTAAAGTCATTTAAAGGGTCTAAACCCTGAAAACCCTAGGATATTGCCTGGTATTGCGATTTGCCTAAGATGAATAGGTTTTTGAGATTTTTTTCCCCGTGGATAGAAAACATTAAAAGGTCAAAAAAGCCTGGGGATTATCAGTTCATCTTATTCTTTCTTACCAGTAGAAACAAGGAAAAAAAAACATGTGATATATCTAGTAAGAAAAGAAATAAGGTATTTTATCCATATAATGGATAACAAGAAAAAGATAAAATAGATGAAAGTATAGACATTGCCACACTCTAAATGTTTGGATGGTAGTTTTTTGGACTGTGTTCTCTCTTTGTTCTCTGCAGTTCTAGGTTTACCCAGAGGTTCCTATGGGATCCCTGTGGGGGCAGGGCTGCTGAGGAGGCAGAACCCTGGGCCCCCACTCCTGCTTCAACCATAGCAGCTCTGATATATCTGTATTACACATTAGGATTCAGTATAACATTTAAAAAAGACCTTTAATGTAAAAGAAAAAAGGAAAAACCATTATGCTAAAGAAAATTGGCCTGTGGGTCACCTAAGCAGTTTACTGTATCTGCTAGAAGTTCTAGTGACCCTTTGACAGCTACCAGTGAACTGCCTATTCCCAGAAAGATGTCTCCCAGCCATGGCAGCTGAATTATTACCTAAAACCTCACCTTGGAGTTGCCACAAAAGTAAGAGAGGGAGGCCGATGGATCCCAAAAAGTGAAATAAAACTGGGAGGAAAGTCCTGGAGAAACAGAGGGTGTCTAGGTCCCTGTTTGGGATTGGGGGTAGGAGCCCTAGGGAAATAGCCTCCATCAGGAAGGGAATGGATTGGGAGAGAACTTTCAGGATGTGCCGTGTTCTGGCTCCCACATTGCCCTAGCTGTACCAGTGACACAGAGAGGTGAGAAAACAGCAAAATTAGTTCAGAGCCAGCAGGAATCAGCTTGCTAAGTTCAGGGCTGTGCTGGAGCCCAGCTGGAGTGAGGAGCAGGTAAAAAGAGCACCGGTAGACTTGCCAGCACCTGGACATTTCTCCTCCCAACAAGATGCAACCCCCCCCCCCATGGAGACTCCCATCCCTTCAGTTGTATCTAATAATTGTAACCTAGGGACGAGGCTCTTGAAAAAATTTGAGGACCTAGAGCAGAGGTTTACCCTGAGTGGTGGCGATTAGGGTAGAGAATGAGAATCCAGTGTGTAGTTCCAAAGAATATCTGTCTCGATATATTTTCCCAAAAGTCACCAGAAGTGATCCAAGCTAAAGCCTGAGATTATTTTTCCCTCTTTTCCCACTTTGCATTTGCAGTCAAGTAGTAGGATCTTGCTTTTTATTTGCAGGCATTCTGCCATTTTAGTTACCATTCGCAGAAAGCTTTAATGGCATAATAGTGTGCAGCACTACTGTAGATAATAAATTTAATTGGCATGGCCTCAAATTAGCAAAACTGCTAATTTAATCAGTCATTGAAATTGAAACAATTCTGTTGACTATGAATCTTTCACTGCTATGGTAACTGTAAAGCACAAAGATAAAATTTTAAATTGTAGTAGCATTATTGGCAGAAATGAGCACAACATTCTTGTGAGTGCTTTTAAAGCCTATTTCCCTTGGACATTTTAGAAGTGAAATTTCCACATTTAAACAGGCCAAGGTCAGCTTCTTGAATAATGTAGACTCCAGGCCATCTTTCGCATGGGCTTGGTAATGCCCTCACACTGTGCATGTGATAAACAAGCTTAAGGTGACTGCACCCCCTGAGTAAGATCAGCGTCTCTGCTCCCAAGCATTGTTTGAGAACCATTTCATATGGTAGGTGCCAATTCTTGATAGTTTGTTTATGCATTTCAGCTACAGGAAATAATGTAATAGCTTGATTGGATCCGAAGCATAGTCAAGTCCATTTTTTTAAAAGAGCAATCTTTCCTCTTTCTTAAATTATAGACCCAATTAGCATGCCATGTACTTTCTTCTAATTGCAGGCAGTGGTGACTGAGTGACAGTAAA
Organism: Homo sapiens; assembly: GCF_000001405.40. Lineage (NCBI taxonomy): Eukaryota > Metazoa > Chordata > Mammalia > Primates > Hominidae > Homo > Homo sapiens. The sequence continues at coordinate 112,016,451 of NC_000003.12, forward strand.
CTCTGGATAGTCATTATGTAAACCCTGTGTTAGTAATACACCTACTGTGCTATTAAAACCACTGGCTAGGGGGCCAAATGAGAAGGATTCTTCTGGGCCTCTGGTACTCAATTTTTCTCCATGTGATGATAACGTGCTGCAAATTGTAGAAATAAAAATTTTCTTTTTTTTTTTCACTCCTCTCAGCTCATACCTAGAAATAGGAATTTTCATGTCAAAACAGTTGTTTGCCAACATGTGCACCCAGCAAACAAAAGAAAGATAATTGCATATTTTAAAACATTAATCCTTTCTTCAATATATTAAGTCAAAGTTGCTTTGTATTGCAGTAAGCCGTTGTGACATAATCCATAATAGATGAGCCTCTGAGGCAAAGCTCCTTGGAAAACACAGGGTGATTCTAGATGTTGGTTTGTACCTGCTTTATTATTTTGCTGCTGCTTTATTAATAACACAGATCTTAATTAATGTTTATCATGCTTAATTTATTGACCGTCACTGTAGCTTCAAGGTATTTGTACAATGGGCCAGCAAGATAATTATTCCCTTTTATCAAATTTCAAAATAGATTTTTCCCTTGATAAAACGTTGTAAAATATTCAACAATTTGGGCAATGTAAAGACCCTCTTTAATTCCATCCTCCAGGATAACCACAACCCACAATTTAGTGCATCTCATCCTAGCAAATTAAAATGCATATGTAATCTGCATAACATATTGAGAATATCTTCATTTCTACAACCATTTGGTAATAAACCAGTTTCTCACAGCTACAGCCTATCAGATAAAAGGGGAGGGTAGATATCTTCTCAGGAAGTAGGAAGGTCTGACTCAATGGGGTGTCCCAACAAGACCAGATGAGGAAGCTGGTCCTTTCTACATGGAAAGTTCTACAAGGAAATGACTGAATAATTTTTCCTTGAAAATCTGTTGAATGGATGTATCACTTTTCATTTAATTAACCCTTTACTGTTGGATTTTAAAATGCTCTCAAATTTCATCATTAAAATTAATGCTATAAGAAGCATCTTTATAGCTATATCTTTGTAATAATTACCTTAGGATAATTTCCTAGTGATAAGTATCCATTTTTGATTAATATTGTCAAACTACCCTCCATACTACCAGTTTAGCGCCTCACCTGCTAAGTATATGTGGCCATTTCCATACACTCTTATCAGCATTATCATTTTTTTAAAAATTGTGAATATTTTGAAAGACACCGTCTGCATGCTAGGATGTTAGTGGAATTTGGTGTTCTTCCTGGGCAGCTGCAAAGAAATTTTATGGTGGCTGGATACCTTGCCACAAATCCCAGTGTTTTTCATTTCTGCCACAGAGCACATTGGATCTGTGAGCAATTCATGCTTGTTTTATTATTATTTTTATTTATTTATTTGAAACAGTGTTTTGCTCTTGTTGCCCAGGCTGGAGTGCAATGGTGTGATCTCGGCTCACTGTGACCTCCGCCTCCTGGGTTCAAGCGATTCTCCTGCCTCAGCCTCCCAAGTAGCTGGAATTACAGGCATGTGCCACCACACTCTGCTAATTTTGTATTTTTTGGTAGAGACAGGTTTCTCCATGTTGGTCTGGCTGGTCTCAAACTCCCGACCTCATGTGATCTGCCTGCCTCAGCCTCCACAAGTTCTGGGATTACAGGCATGAGCCACCATGCCCAGCCTTATGCTTATTAATGACTGTATGAAGTAAAACTGTATGAAGTAAATAGGATTGCTAAAAACAGAAGGGTTGGCTGGTAAAAAATTATTGAAAAATATGATACCAGAACAGAAATTACTGTTTCCAGAATTCAATTTGAATGTCTTAGACAAGAAAGCATTGCGAAATGTAGTTAATTAATTTACTACTCAGTAAAATCAAAGATCTGACATGGCTGTGAGTCTATAATATAGACTCAAAATAAATATGTCAACTTTTATAACCCTGAGTTGAAAAGCCCTGAGTTGAAAAGTAAAGCTATGTTGAAGGGCAAGAATAAATCTCACTGTGGTTTAAATGAGTTTAGGGTAAATACTATCCTACTGACCTTTGTTTTAATGAGACAGATATTGAATGCCTTCTGGAGGATAAAGTTAAAGATCCATTCTGGTTCCACATTTTTTTTTTTTTGAGGCGGTGTCTCACTCACTCTGTCGCCTAGGCTAGAGTGCTGTGGCAATGATCTCAGCTCACTGCAACCTCCACCTTCCGGGCTCAAGAGATTCTCCTGCCTCAGACTCCCGAGTAACCAGGACTACAGCCATGTGCCACCATGCCCAACTGATTTTTTGTATTTTTAGTACAGATGGGGTTTCACCATGTTGGCCAGCCTGGTCTTGAACCCCTGACCTCCGTGATCCGCCTGCCTGTCCTCCCAAAGTGTTGGGATTACAGGCGTGAGCCACCATGCCCGGCCTGGTTCCACAGTTTTGAATCAATAATTCTTTGGGAGAACATTGCATCAGTCTTATGATGGGATGAGCTTTGCTCACATAGATTGCAAAATAAGGAACTCTGCCTTATAAAGAAATTTCTTATGAAGAAATTCCATTTCAGAACAAACTAAAGGGAAAAAAAATAATGACCTATGGGAATTTCACTTGATAGAAATTGCCCTTAGTCCAGTTGGGCTGCTATAACAAAATACCTTAGACTGGGTAATTTATAAATATTAAAAATGTATTTCCCATTGTTATGGAGGCTGAGAAGTACAGGATCAAAAAAACAAACAGATGTGGTGTTTGGTAAGGGCTTGCCCTCTGTTTGCAAGATGGCACCTTGTTGCTGTGTCCTTCAGTGGGGACAAATGCTGTGTCCTCACATGGCAGAAGAAACTGAAGGCCTAGGCAGCTCTCTGAAGCCCCTTTTATAAGGGCATTGACCCCATTAATGAGCACAGAACCCTCATGGCCTAATCACCACACAAGGCCCATCTTTTAATACCGTCACCTTGGTGGCTTGAGTTCCAACATACGAATTTTGGAGGAACATGTACATTCAAACTGTAGCAGGTATTTATTTAACACCTACTAAGTGTCAGGCACTCTGTATAATTCATATCCTTTAATACTTATAACAACCCCGTAAGGTGAGTATTTATGTAATTTCCCAGATAAGGAAAGTGAGGTATAGAGAGCCTAAGGGATTGTCAAAGGGTCCACAAATAGTAAGAGGAAGAACTGAAATTTGAACTCTGAGCATTGATTCCAAAGCCTTCTGAATTCTACTATACGGTGCCCCCTTCCACATCCTAGACACAGTGCTGGACTCTGGTGGATACATGAGTGAAGACATGGTCCCTGTACTGAATTAACACTTACTCTTTCCCCAGTAGGAACTCACAATGAAGAGCTTACCAGTCTATAAATCAGGAAAGTACAGATAGGAGCAGTTCTCTGGCTTAAATTCAAAATATGTATTTCTTTCCTGAATTCAGAGCACCCTCGTGTATATAAATAACCAATATTCAAGTAGCTTGTTTTACATTTGAAAGTTTAACATATGTTTCTTGATTGGAATGATTCTTGCATAGCTGTGCAGATGTCATGTAAGTTTTTTTCTTTGGGATCTTTTAATTAGGTCCAGGATTAGGGTAAAATGAGTGAGTTATTCTCCTTGGACACAAAATTTAATTTTGAGAAGGAAAATAGTCACAACACTCCTCTCTGTGTAAAAGGAATAAAGATGGTAAAACTAGGTCTTTGGCAATGTTGTATTCATTACTTCATAGTAATTAATAGATGTTATTAATCTAATTAATACACATTTTGAATTTAATTAATATAACAGCCAAGACTTACTGAGCACCTGCTATATGTCGGGCACCATAATACCCTCAGGGTATTTAAGGAACAGACTCTCCCTTAGCTGATGTAGGTCACTCATAAGAAAAGCCAGGGCCGGGCACAGTGACTTACGCTTGTAATCCCAGCACTTTGGGAGGCCGAGGCAGGTGGATCACCTGAGGCCAGGAGTTCGAGTTTGAGACCAGCCTGGTCAACATGGTAGAATCCTGTCTCTACTAAAAATACAAAAACTAGCCTGGCGTGGTGCCGGGTGCCTGTACTCCCAGCTACTTGGGAGGCTGAGGCAGGAGAATCTCTTAAATCTGGGAGGCAGAGGTTGCAGTGAGCCGAGATAGCCTCACTGCACTCCAGCCTGTGCAGAAGAGTGAGGCTCTGTCTCAAAAAAGAAAAAAAAAAAAAAAAGAGTCAGCACAGCCCCTCTAACTGTGCAGTCATGCCTCACAACTTTGGATTACTGTGGAGGACAATGATTCTCACAGTGTGATACCAGCCCTGTGGACAGATTCCATCCTCCACTGATTTGCTGAAACACTAAGGCATTTTATCAGCAAATCTGAAGAGCCTGTATCTCTGAGTAAGGGGATTTGGCAGCTGTGGCTAACTGTAGGCGAGTGTCATCAAGGACTTCTAGTGAAATTTAACTTATGAAAGAAGTGCAAAAACACCATTTAAGATAAAACTATTTCCAGCCCATTGGAGCAAATTGATGTACTGAATGATCACATAGCAGAGACATCCACTCATATGCCCTTTATGCTTGATGAGACAGTGTGAGGATGCCAGCAAGTACCCTCAGAAAGTCAGAGGCACTTAGCCTGCTGGGGAAGTAGTAAAATTCCACTGGAGCCTCCTGCATCTTGTTGCTAGGTCCATGAACCTAATCAATCATATTTTAGAATTCTCCAAGGAGATCAGTTAGAATGCAACAGCCAGGGGACCCTCTGCTGAATTAACACCCTATTAGAGATACCAGTGGAAATGAATAAAAATCAGTTTAGTAGCTAGTGTTACACAAACAGAAACACAACATTACATGTGTTGCCAGGAACAAAACTGAACCTATGGTTGCAAAATGAAAACAAAACCAGTAAAAAAAAGTAAAAAAGCAAAAACAAAAAAACAACTGCTCCAGCGCTATATGGCTCCTCAATTAGGATAGGAAAGGTTGGAAAGCCAAAGCAATCTTTAGTAGAAAGGATCTGATATGGTTTGGATGTTTGTCCCCACCAAATCTCATGTTGAAATGTAATCCCCTGTGTTAAAGTTGGAGGTGGGACCTGGTAGGAGGCATTTGGATCATGGGGGCATATTCTTCATGATTGGCTTAGTGCCATCCCCTTTGTGATGAGTGACTGAATTCTCACAAGATCTAGTTGTTTGGAAGTGTATAGCACCTCCCCCACTACTCTTCCTCTGGCTCCCTCTGGCCATGTAATGCACTAGCTCTCCTTTGCCTTCTGCCATGACTGTAATCTTCCTGAGGCCCTCAAAAGAAGCAGATGCTGGCACCACGCTTTCTGTACTGCCTGGAGATCCAAGAGTCAATTAAACTTCTTTTCCTTATAAATTACCCAGTCTCAGGTATTTCTTCACAGCAATGCAAAAACGGCCTAACATAGAAATTGGTACCAAGGAGTGGGGTGTTGCTATAAAGATACCTGGTAATGTGAAAACAACTTTGGAACTGAGTAACGTGCAGAGATTGGAAGAGTTTGGAGGTCTGAGAAGAAGACAGGAAAATGAGGAAAAGTTTGGAACTTCTTAGAGACTGGTTAAGTGGTTGTGACCAAAATGCTGATAGTTATATGGACAGTGAAGTCTAGGATGATGAGGTCTCAAAAGGAAATGAGGAACTTAATTGGGAACTGGAGCAAAGGTCACCCTTGTTATGCCTTTGCAAAGAACTTGGCTGTATTGTGTCTATGCCCTAGGGATCTGTGAAAGTTTGAACTTAAGAGTGACAACCTAGGGCCTCTGATGGAGGAAATTTTTAAGCAGTAAAGTGTTCAAGAAGTGGCGTGGTTGCTTCTAACAACCTACACTCTGATATGGGAACAAAGAAATGACCCAAAGTTGGAACTTATATTTAAAAGGGAAGCAGAGTGTAAAAGTTTAGAAAATTTGCAGCCTGACTACGTGGCAGAGAAAGGAAAAGCTTTTTTGGGAGAAGAATCCAAGAGTGCTTCAGAGCAACCCACTTGTTAAAGAGATATCTGTGACTAAAAAAGAGCCACACGCTAATAGCCAAGACAATGAGAAAAAGTTCTCTAAGGCATTTCTGAGATCTCTGAGGCAGTCCCTCCCATGAGAGGCCCAGAAGCCTAGAAGGAAAGAATGGTTTTGGGGGGCCAGGCCCTAGGGCCCTGTTGCCCTGAGCAGCCTCAGGACATTGCTCCCTCCATCCCTTCCACTCCAGCTCTAGCCACAGCTCAAAGGGACCCAAGTAAAGTTCAGGCTGCTGTTCTAGAGGGTGCAATCCTTAAGTCTTGGTGGCTCCCACATGATGTTAAGCCTGCATGTGCACAGAGTTCAAGAGTGAAGGAGGCTGCCAATCTTCCTTGGCAGAGTCCCGACAGGGGCACTTCCTAGTGGAGCTGTGGGAAGGGGCCACTGTCCTCCAGACCCCAGGATGATAGATTCATTGGCAGCTTACACCCTGCATCTGGAAAAGCGACAGGCACTCAACATCGGCCCATGAGAGCAGCCACAGGGGCTGTACCTTGTAAAGCCATGGGGATGAAGTTGTCCAAGGTCTTGGAAGCCCAGCCCTCATATCAGTGTGCCCTGGATGTGGGACATGGAGTCAAAGGAGATTATTTTGGAGCTTTAAGATTTTAATGACTGCACTACTGGGTTTTGAACTTGCTTGAGGCCTGTAGCCCTTTATTTTGGATGATTTCTCCCTTTGGGAAAGGAAGTGTTTACTCCGTGCCTGTACTACCATTGTATCTTGGAATTAATTAACTTGTTTTGATTTTACAGGCTCATAGATGTCAGGAACTTATTTACAGATGAGACTTTGGATTTGGGACTTGGGACTTTTGAGTTAAGACTTTGGGGGACTATTGGTAGAGGATGATTGTATTTTGCAGTGTGAGAAGAACATGAGATTTGTGGGGCCAGAGGTAGAATGATATAGTTTGAATCTGTGTCCCTACCAAATCTCATGTTGAAATGTAATCCCCAATATTGGAGTTGGAGGTGGGGCCTGGTGGGAGGTGTTTGGATCATGAGAGCATATCTTTCATGAATAGCTCAGTGCTATCCCTTTGGTGATGAGTGAGTTCATTCTTGCAAGATCTGGTTGTTTGAAAGTGTGTGGTACCTGGATCCCCACTCTCTCTCTCTTCCTTCCTCTCACCATGTGATGTGCTGGTTCCCCTTTGCCTTTCACCATGTGATATGGTTTGGCTGTGTCTCCATCCAAATCTCATCTTGAATTGTAATCCCCATAATCTCCATGTGTTGAGGGGGGCCGTGGTGGGAGGCCTTTGGATCATGGGGAAGGTTTTCCCCATGCTGTTCTTGTGATAGTGAGTGAGTTCTCATGAGATCTGATGGTTTTATAAGTGTTTGACAGTTCCTCCTTCACACTCGCCCTTTCCTGCTGCCTTGTGAAGACGTGCCTTGCTTCTCCTTTGCTTTCCACCATCACTGTAAGTTCCCTGAGGCCTCCCCAGCCATTCAGAACCATGAGTCAATTAAACTTCTTTCCTTTATAAATTACCCAATGTTGGGCAGTTCTTTATGGCAGTGTGAAAATGAACTGATACACCATGATTGTACATTCCTTGAGGTCCTCACCAGAAGCAGATGCTGGCACCATGCTTGCTGTACTGCCTACAAACCCATGAGCTAATTAAACCTCTTTTCCTCACAAATTACCCAGTCTCAGTTTCTTTCTTTTCTTTTCTTTTCTTTTCTTTTCTTTTTTTTGTTTTTGTTTTGAGATGGAGTTTTGCTCTTGTTGCCCAGGCTGGGGTGCAATGGTGCAATCTCAACTCACTGCAAACTCCGCCTCCCAGTTTCAAGCGATTCTCCTTCCTCAGCCTCCCAAGTAGCTGGGATTGCAGGCATGTGCCACCACACCCAGCTAATTTTTGGTATTTAGTAGAGACGGGGTTTAACCTTGTTCGTCAGGCTGGTCTCGAACTCCTGACCTTAGGTGATCCACCTGCTTTGGCCTCCTGAAGAGTTTCTTTACAGCAACACAAAAATGGCATAATATAACCTCTAATTTAATTTTGAAATATTTCTTTTTTGGGGGGTGGCGGACATAAGGTAGGATTTCTGTTTTATCCCATCACCACTGTTTTTATTTGGATTTTAGCTGTGCTTTCAAGCACCTGAGCTTTTGACAGAAATTTCCAGAACATACACTCAGTCATTTCTCTCAATTGCCATTATCAAATTATATCAAGGCCATTGGGGCCTCTAACTGGGAATGATTTAGGGTAATGAGCAAATAGTTGAGTGTTATTATTTCAGATTCCAGAATGTGCATAGTCTATGAAAAAGTTGATATGACACAGCGCTAAACAGCACAGAAGCTGGGAGCACTGAACAGCATTACTGAGATGAATTTGGTGGAGAAGCTAACTCTGCAGAGCTGCAAAACTCAGCCGTTGGATGCTAAGATGTGAGATGGTCTCCAGGCCAACTTAAACCATGGAATACACGTTTTAAATTATCTAATTGTTCTGTTCCTTTTGTTTTCTCCTCCACTGATTTTTACTCCTCATTTTTATTCCATACCTCTCTGTACCAAGTTCATTTTCATTCATTTATTTCTATCATAATTTTTCTCATTTTCTATCCTTTCATCATTTTCCCAATCCTATCTTGTTATTCTGATTTGTAGTTGTTTTTCAAAAGCATCCCTTTGTAATCTGGTGACCTTTGTACTATTTCCAAAGTCAGTACTTTTTAGTACAGCAGGTTCATTTCTTCATCAAACATAAATCAGATTCAGCTCCTGCTGTGAGCCAGATGCTACACCAGCTCAATGAGATGGCAGCTTTCTGTGACAGTGCTGTTTACCACCTGGGGACAATCTGTGCCTACTAGGGTTTGTCTGGTTAGATATGTGAGGTAGAATGGCTTCTGGACTAGTTTACCTCAGTGTCCCTTAGCCCAGTCACATGTTCATACTGAATTGAGTGCTTCTCATAGTAGGCAATCAAAAAACGAAAAGAGATATTTTCTACGGGTCCATTGAACCACAAAGAAAAGACGCTTTTCACCCATTAACTCTCCCATTACTGGTCTAGTTGAATAGCAGGACAATCTTGTCTGAACATTCACTTCTTGTAATATGGCTGACCATGTATCATGTACTAATGAATCATAATTTCTTCTTGACCATAAATAAATCACACTGAACCATCCTCCCCCTCTCTACCATAGAGGGAGAGTCAGAAGAGTAGAGTAGGATTTCAGGATAACATCTGGATGAAATGGTAAGAATGCCACCTAAACCTATCGAAGAATATGACCTGGCTCTAGAATTTTTGCAGTGCTGTCTATTAGAGGCAAGTTTACTCTGTTGAGAGAGACAGTTCTCCAAGTCTCTCAATATCCTACAGGCCTTATTGGGTGGTATGCATTGAATTATGTCTCCCAAAAAACATACGTTGAAGTCTAACTCCCACAACCTTAGAATGTAATATTATTTGGAAATGGGGTTATTGCAGATATAATTAGTTAAGATGAGGTTATGGTAGAGTAGAATGGACCCTTAATCCAACAGGGCTGGTGTCCTTATAAAAGAAGAAACACAGAGGCACACAGGGGAGAATGCCATGTGATGATAAACGCAGAGACTGAAGGGCTGCAGCTGCAGCTGCTAGGAAAACACAAGGAAAAATTCTACCCTACAGGTTTCAGAGGGCACATGACCCTGCCAACACCTTGAATTTTTAGCCTCCAAAACCACGAGACAATAAATTTCTGTGGTTTTAGCCTTCCAATTTGCGGCAGCCCTGGGAAACGAATACACTGTGTATGCCAAGAATACAAGGCCCTGACTGCTCTCCATCTTGGCCATTTCTCAGGGTGTGTTTGTGGGCCCTGTGGGAGGAGATAATATCTCCATCTTGGACAATGAGAAGGTTTGCTTATTGTTTGCTGTAAAAATGGTAGATTTTCCAAACTCTGCATTCCTCAGCTGCAATGGAAACCCACTACAGATGCAGCATCCATCTGGACCATGTTGTATCACCCCTGTGGGACACCCACTGACACTCATGCTGTTTGCTGAGCCATGAATCTTGTGTCTTTTGCTACCATCCATAAAACAGTTAACAGGCTAACTTATTAGCTTGTAAATAAGGTGCAAACAAATCCCAGACCTAACTAATTCCTGAAGAGGCTATCACCAATTGCCCCTCCCCAAGGTTATTACATTGAAGGATACAATACAGGGACCTTGTCTTCAAGGAGCCTAGAGTTTAGTTGGAGATAGGATATCCATATGACAAATTAAATAGCCAACAAGACAGATGATAGATGCTACAAAGTAGTGCTTGATTAATTATTACATTATTTAGAGTTTCAAGTACTAGTATGTACCATAAAGGTTTTGAGTTAGGAAGAAGAGAGTGTCATAGGGTGGGGTGAAAAAGCATGGAGGAGAGCTATAAGTAGGGTATGGAAAGTGGTTAGGATTTGAATAGCAATATGCTCTGGGGGCACGAAATTCAGGGGAGAGGGCTGTTAATATCAGCTTCCTCTAAGGTTCTAGGGCATTTGTTCACATCTCTGTTATAATATTTATTACATAATATTATAATCAGTCATTTGCATTTCTGCCCCCTCCAATGAGAGCTTTTTAAGGGCAGTAATAGGTTTTATTCAGTTTTTAAAAATATTTGATATGTCATATAGTAGGCATGAAATAAATATTGAGTTAACAGATAGATGGATGAATAAATGGAGGAATAAAAATGGAAAATGCATGATTTGACAGAACAGGGTCAGTATATGTGACAGGAGTACACAGTTAGAAAGGCAGCCTGGAGCCACACTGAGGAAATCTCGAATGCCAGGCTAGAGGGACTGAACAAAAGGGCTGCCATTTGTTAAAGATGGAAGTGACGTTAGAGTCATTTTAGGAAGATTTACTAACAGTGATGTACTCATGGGTCAGAGTGTGGCAGATGAGCCTACAGAAGGAAAAGCAGTTAAGAGGATATTGCAATGGCCCAGATTTCAGATGCCATACTACAATTTCACTTTTAAAAAAGATCCATGGCCGGGCGCAGTGGCTTATGCCTGTAATCCCAGCACTTTGGGAGGCCCAGGAGGGCGGATCATGAGGTCAAGAGATCGAGACCATCCTGGCTAACACGGTGAAACCCCATCTCTACCAAAAATACAAAAAAAAAAAAAAAAAAATTTACCGGGCGTAGTGGCGGGCGCCGGTAGTCCCAGCTACTTGGGAGGCTGAGGCAGGAGAATGGTGTGAACCCGGGAGGGGGAGCTTGCAGTGAGCTGAGATCGTGCCACTGCACTCCAGCCTGGGCGACAGAGCGAGACTCCATCTCAAAAAAAAAAAAAAAATCCATGTGATGTGACCCAAAAGATTAGATTCATGCTCCCTGCAAGTCATCAGGGAAAGGGAAGCCAGGATCATTGTTACACGAGTCTATTACAGGACACCGAGAATGATAATGTTAAGTGGCTGGCTGACTTCCCAGCATCCTGTGCAACCTTGAGATTCCTCAGGATTTACTCCCCCTCTGCAGATAACTCAGTGGACAGTGGTGATCAGATGGCAACTTTGCACGTAGCCACTTATCATAATAGGGAGAAGTGGGTCCTAAGTAGCAGAAAGACACTTATCAGTTTCTGAAGAGCTGACCTCTCCTCTGGTTAGGCAAAGATGAAAGTGTCACCTCCCGCTGCTAAGTGCCTTCTATGCCAGCAGTGCAGAACCTTGTTCACATTAGATAGATGATTTGGACTTACATCCTGTCTTCACAATGTGCTAGTCTCAGCACAGGGATGGAAGGTTGAAACATCTAAAGTGTTTTCGTGTGTTGAATTCATGTATTGATTATGTGTTTGCTCCCAATAATCACTGCTAAATGCAATGGAGAAATATCTCTCCTTTGATCTAGATCACTGTACACTATCTGCTTAGAAAGCCAGCTTTCAGACACCTACCCTGCTTCTCTTAGCACAGGGGCCTTTGCTCCAGGGAAGAAATAGAAATCTCTCCACCGTCTTCTAAACTGCTTATGATGGAAAACATCAGCATGTACCCGGCCATTGCGATTGTCTTTGGTCATATGCTCTGGGATTGAAAGGACTCTGTACCAGAACTTCCATACCAGTAAAAAACAACAAGGAGATCAATGCATACTTGCTCACCAAGCTTGTTGCAAGCTTGCTTATCTTACATCCCAGCTTTCTTTGCCATCATCACTCAAAACCAGTGACTTATCTAGTGTATTTGACTCTCAGAGATGATCATTTTCCCCTCAACATTTTATTAAGAAAAATTTCAAACAAGCAGTTGAAATAATTTTATAGTGTAAATGCATATACCCACACCTAGATTCTACCATTAACATTTTGCTGTAGTTGCTTTATCATATAACTGCTCACTTACAGTAGATCATTTCTTTCTATATTTTGTGTTGTATCACTTGGTCAAGATTTATTTCAAGGCCTGAAGACATTCAGACTAATCAAAATGGTACTACAGTAATTTATTATAATACATAAATAATATAAAATTTTGAAAAATGCTGACACAATTCTTAAACAAGGATACCCTTTGATTTTCAAAAGTGAGGGCTATTTAACAAAATGCAAGATGACAATAAAACATCAAATAACTTTCACACACCTAAGGAGAACATAATTAGCAGCAATCTATTCAGACAAAACAAGCACAAATATTTTTACAATTTCCATGTTTGTTTTTAACTTTGCTTCAAAAATCCATGATAAATGAGGCTTCTTTCAAGTATAGGATTTCTAACATTTACAATTATGTTTTCTAAATATTTCTATAAAGAAGCCACAAACTATATTGTTTGCCATAAATACGTACAGCAAAAAGTAAAACACAATCCAACTGAGTTTATATATGATTTTCTCTTCTCCAACAACTTTATATGCTTTTCTAAATAATTTAAAATATTTTAATTAAAATCAGTTCTAATTCACCTATGCAGATTAGGGGAAACTGATGCATAATGAGTTATCTTTAAAAATAGCTTTTGCATAGTTCTACTCCAACCCCGACCCCCATTTACCACCAGATCTGTTGCTAGAGTGAACAATGATGCAAGATGCTGTTTGAGGAGCCCAACACAACCTGTAATCTTAATTTCCTAAGTATCCAAAGATTTCAACTTTCTTCTGGTATAAAGAAAAAGACTCAAATGGCCAAAAATCATACAGTTAGTAGGAGGAAAAATCCATATTATGAAAATTATTTAAGTAAAATTTTGGGCATTTCCCTGAAGCTACAAGCACTCTTTAGACAAGCATCAAATTACATTGTGCATATGCAACTACAGCAATTTAGATTTGCTCCAGAACATATACTTGCATTAAAAATAAATAACTTCCTAATTATTTTATAGTTTAACTGGCTCAATAGTTTTGTGCCCTTTAAAAAACTGGTACATATAAATGAACGGCTAAATGTTCATTTAAATCTTAAGGAAAACTAAAGATGAAGTTTGCTGTTTTGTTTTTTCTATAAAATGCAATACATACATATGCTTACTTACTGTTCTATAGTGAAAGAATGGAATGGTATGGACAGATGCAATCTCTTTTAAGTATACAGTTGTAGGATATTCTAAATGGAATAAACTGACATTGACAATCATTTAAAGGAAGAAAGAACCAAAGTAAAAAAAAATTGTGGCAGGACAGAGATATCTACTGTTAAAAAGATAAAAGATAAAAAGGGTTATCCAACACAAAATGTTAAAAGATAGAAAGGGTTATCCAACACAAAAATGAGACCTACAGATTCAAAAAACACTTATTCTGCTGTCTTAAAATATAAACACAAAAACCATGATAGGCAGAGGGTGTCTAGTCCACAAATTGAGGCAGTGCCATACAAAAATGAAGATGATACAATGCTGTGACCTCATAAAGGAAATGACTAAAATAATATTTCCCAAATGTCCTCATGTTTATGATAATATATTAATGTACAAAATATCAAAAAAGTACAAAATCTAGATTTTTTCCTTTTAGGATTATAATAAACTATCAACCTTCTGTTTAGTGCATTTACTTTTATAAGGCCCCTCTGTTTAGCAGTAAATCTATATGAGTATATATATGCTGGTATTTTACCATGAGAATTATACTTCTCACATCAAACTAGTGATTTGCCTTTTTACCCATACTTACATACATTTTATTTCCATAAGACCAATACCTTTCTAGTGATGCATTTGAATCAACATATTACATAAAAATAATATTGATTTTTAAATGAATCTCTTTTGTACTACGTCCTGATGGGTTTAACAGTTGAAACATAAAATGGTAACTGCAGTGCACTGTTTAAACTAATTAATAGCTGTAGGGAAATGTTTGGTTTTTAAAATACAACCAAGATGAGACTGCAGAGTTATGAGCAGTTATGTTTTCACTAGAAAAGAGTGAATGAATAAATAAGATGATTTTTTTCATCAGTGGCCATTCATCATTTTGCTTTTAGGAACCTGGAAGAAATTGTCTTCTTTGAGTTTCAAATGTTCTGGTAAATCACATCATTTCTTAGCTTCCTCAATATCACCGTGAATTGCTGAAACAAGTGACTCTAAAGAATCCGAGAAGTTTTTTTCTGATTAGTAATTTCCTTTATGAGGTAGTCAACGATAGTCACATTGAGGATTTTCCCACAGAAGTCCTAGTTCACTGCAGCCTCAAACTCCTGTGCCCATGAGATCCTACTACCTCAGCCTCCCAAAGAGTAGCTAGGACTAATGGCGAACCACCACACCTGGCTTTTTTTTTTTTTTGTACGAACAGGATCTTGCTAGGTTGCCCATGCTGGTCTCAAACTCCTGGCTTCAAGTGATCCTCCTCCCTTGGCCTTTCAAAGTGCTGGGATGACAGGTATGAGCCACTGTGCCCAGCCAGAAGTCCTCTTTAAAGGCATGCATGGTAGGAGTTTTTGTGGATTTTTTGGGTATTTTTGCAGTATGGATTCCACCCTATGTTCACCACCATCTTATGGACATTTCCACTTCCAAACTGGCCCAACCATGATAAATGATGTGGATACACCAGTTGGAAGGTTATCTACCACTTATTCTGGATAGTTAGCTGTGGGGAGGCCCAGCTACTTGGAGCAGTGGCCCAGGCTCTGCACCACTTGGCTCCAGCAGAAGTATGGCCTGTGCCTCTGATACCATGCACTCAGGGCATGGGCGGTGGTGCAGCCTCCATGCATCTGGAAGAGCCACAGTCGAGGTAGTACCTGGACCCCGTGGACTAATCTGGGAATGTGGGTATGAGCTCTGCTGGCCGATGGAATCACCAGTTACCAGGCGGTGCCAACGACACCCTGTGGTAGGTCCTTCACACTGTTGACCCTACAGAAGCTGCCCAGCTACTCAGGGGCTGCTTCTCCTTGGAGTGGATCATTTCTCAACAATCTCTTCTCCTATACAGTAAAATTGTTTTCAGGAGGAATCATGAAATAAAACTAATAATAATATTGATGAGAAAAAAAGTGAAAAATTTTAGTCAACTTTGTATATATAATTATGCTAGCAAAAATAAAATTAACAAAATACATACTGCATACAGAATATTACATATAAAAATATTACACCTTGCAATTCATACCCTGTAACTGTATTAAATTTTAAATATAAATTAACTCATTGGTCACATAGAAGGACAAATGAAATAACTGAAATTCTGTTTCTTGGTCTTTACAATCATTGTGCTATTATTGCTTGTTTTGAACCTTCCCTTTAAATGCAGCAATATGTAATCCCACAGGGATTGCTGGAGGCAAGGACTCTGCCCTAAGTATGTGCAAATGATTCCAGACCATTAGAAGCTTACTCTTGAAATGAACATGTGTCACAGTCATCTTGTATTCTGTGGAGTCCTAATTAGGGAAAAGGAGTCGGGCTGGTGGAAGCAGGGGAAAGCAAAAAGAAGAAAGCAAATGAGCTGTAAGTCTGCCTTTCTTCATGGTCCAAGACATGTAGCCCTCCTGCACAAGTAACTCAAATAACTCACAATCTTCCTGCACCCGACTAATCACCAGACCCTTGACTGATAGAAAAATGCAAGTTAGCTCATTGTGACCTTGGCATTATCAGCACTCCACGTGGCCCTCTTGAGCACAAGCACCATCCTGTAAAATCCCGAGCCAGCCTTTGTCTCCTCGCAGCCAGCTCCTCTCTTGCTGATCTGCCTGTTGCTCTCTTGCAATGTATTTTCTTACTTTCTCTAATAAATCTACCTTTCTTTACCTACAACTGTCTTGGGAAATTCCTTTACCACCTGCACCACTGGCCCCAGATAGTTGTTACCCACAACATGTTTGAGACCAACTTTACAGTTGGGAGATTTCCAAATTAATTTCTGCATGACATTCATCACTTACTAAAAAATGAATAATAGGAATTGCTCATTATACACTTAAATAAGTATTATTCAAACAGTTGTAGTGGCAGTGATTGTTTAGAACTCATGGCAATTTTTTTTTTTTTTTTTTTTTTAGAGAGGAGTATTTTGTCACTGACATTATTTAGAATTGCTGGCATGATGATAGTGAAAAAGCAGCCTTTGGTTGGTTTTATGATTGCTTTTAAATTTGGTACATTTAACACAGCCTCCTGATATTTTGCTGCCACTTTTCACACTTGGTGGTGTGAAAGGGAAAAAAGGATGGGGGGACACTAGTTAAAGGCTGTAAAGACAGATTTTCTTCAGCACTGTTGCAACGGGAGAAAGTGAATTCGATATAGAGCTGAACTCAGTTCCAAATACAGCAAAGAAAGCTGGGGATTAGTAGTCAATGAAGAGAGTGAGGGGGTCCATGGTTGGAAAATTACTAAGGGGAAACACCAAGGGGCATCCTTGCTAAACTGACCAATCAGGATTCTTGTTACAGGCAGCCAAGGACTTACATATCAAGGGTAGGGGATAAAGAACTTGATCAGATATCAAGGGTATTTCAAGGCCACTCTTGAATCAAAAAAAAAAAAAAAAAAAAAAAGAAAGAAAGAAAGAAAGAAAAGAAAAAGAAAGCAAAATCAAGGGTGATCAGATATCAAGGCGGGGGGATTCCTGCTAAACTGACCAGATGGGCCAAAGACAAGGCCCAAGGACAAGGTCTAGTTGAAAAGAGAGCTCAGAGTAACCTGACAACACTTTGGTCAAGAAGAGAGTCTTTGTCAATGGCCACCGATAAGTATACAAATTTTACTTATATTGGTGAAATATGAGTTAGTTCTAGAAATAGGTAGAGAAATAATACTGGAAAGATGAGCCATTAAAAGTAATATTATAAAGTCTAAACCATTATTAATAATTTCATCAATGTGAATAATAAATAACAAAACCCAAGAGGCGAATTTGTACATGACTTAATTCTTTTTTTTTTTTTTTTTTTTTTTTTGTTATTCTGTCTCATCTTCCCCAAGTTAGATCAAATTTCAGGTATGAAGCAACTCAACTAATCTTTCCCCACTTTCAGCAGGCAGTTTCTCACTTGCCATATGCACAGCCCGTGAATGATGCTGAAGTTTGTGTCTGGATCAGCAGAACAGTGTTTCTCCTTTAAAGCGTGACAGATCAGCTTTCTGTTGACACCCAGTGCCCACAGGGTGATGAGGTTCCAGCAATCCCTGCCTTTTTCTCCCCGTCTGCTAAGAGAAATTCTGACACTGCCCCTCAGGATTGGATTATTCTTCCCACCATGGATCTAATTCAGATTGACATTGGGAAGTATGGGAGAGATGGAAACAGGGGCTTTACAGCAGAAAGGGCCCCAGGTTTACTGAGGACTGACTGCAAGAAGTAGGGGGAGCTAAATGGAAAAAAGTCCCTTTGGATTATGAGTTCTCAGAGAGTATGGCTGGAGAGTTGAGAGCAGGACTGAAGAGTGAGTCTCCTGGAGCAGGCAAGAGATGCCACGCAAGAGAAATGAGGTGTGAGGACTTCTCAGATGTGGTGCTGAGGGTTGTAAATTAGACCTCTTCATATTCTTTAGGAGATGCAAGAAAAAAATTATAATGATTTTTAAATGTTACTGGATTGTAGGATTGTGTTTCTTATAAGAAAACCTTGCCTTGAGGCTGGCTGTACTCTGAGAGGCCTGACTCCTATGAAAGTTACATTGAGAATCCTTGAGTTTGGGGTGCAAAGCTGAGTGCTAGGTCCCTTTAACATTTACAATATAGCAATGAGGCGGCTTCAGTTTCTGAACTGAACCCGGTGGAGGTAAATTGATTCCACTCCTCTGAAAGCTAGCTTGAATGCGGTGACGGTTCTCTCAATTCTTCTCAAGAGAGCATATAAGGGGCAAAAACTGGCTTTGAGACACCCCTGGATGATCACACACAAAACGCCTAATAATGGACAAAGAAAACAGCGATGTTTCAGCCGCACCTGCTGACCTGAAAGTAAGTACAGGGTGAGAAACTTTCTCTTACTTGAATGCCATTTATTGTTGACCCTGTTAGTAAAATGAGATTGTATGACCTTATAAACATAAAGGAAACAATAATAAAATATTTTATCTTCTTATGGTAATTAATGGGTTTTACAAATGTGAGCTTATTATAAAGTGCTGTACTTGGCAATTGATTTGTAGCCGTTTTTCTAAAACTCCAGGGAAATTGTACTGATCTCTACACAAATTCCATTTTAAAATTTAATCAGTGCTAACTGAGACTGCCTATAATGTGTTTCTGCACTTAAAAGATCCAAACTTGGCTTTGTCAGTTCAACATGTACTGGCATTTCTGCGTGTTTCTTTATTTCTTTTGGGGGAGCACTTGAAAGTAGCTTGATACCATCGACAACTCATTCTACAATGGAATGTTTCTCTCTTTAGAAACCCAGTCCTCATTCCTGCAGGACACCACATTAAATGATGTCTGGTCTAGTTCAATTTCACCAGAAAGGATACAAGCAACACTTCACTCCAGGGGTTGACAAGGTGTTTGGCAAAAAGAATGAAGGGGCCATGAATAATTCAGAGTGTACGTGGCCACGTATTATCCCATTAATTGGCAAGATTAAAGACTGGAGGGCATGAATTTTGAAGAGAAGAGTGAGGGAGAGGAAAAGAGAAGGAGAGAACTCTTAAGGACAGTGCAAAAGAGAGATTATTTCTTTGGCATTGGCATTCCATATTGTTGCCTTTAAAAGAATGTGTGGTTAAAAGCTATTTCGTCTCTGGAGTTTAGTTACCCTGACTTGTATAAATCTCTCCTTAAATGAAGCTAAACTCTTGAATACATTATTAAAGAATTCACAGCATCAAATAGCAGAGGGTAGACAAGAAAATAAAAGAGGAGGAAGGGAAACAATTAAATAATGTATTTTTTACTCTTGCACATAACACTATGCACATCAATACACTTAAACCAACAATTTTCTAATCTAATGAGTGTTCTATTTCATTCTTCCATTTACTTTTAAATAATTATTTCATTTATAATTGAGAAACTGTGGCTGGCAATGGCAGCGGCTGGCAATGGCAAAACAAACATATTTAATTCCTATAAACCCACAACCCTACAACCGTATGTAAACACACATGCTTTACGAACAATTTGTGCAGTTACAAATTGCACAAATTTGTACAATCTATGCAAATTATCATATCACCTTTACTTTTCCTTCCTACCACCCAGTCATGAAGCTGTAACTAGGAAATCAATTCATTTCTGTGGGGAACTCACTTATCTTCTTATTTTCAATCCTGCATCAGCCCAGAAATAATTGATTGTGAGAGAAAAACAATATAATACAAACATGTGAAACACACACATATACTAAAAGGACTGTGGACAGGCATAGTGGCTCACACCTGGAATCCCAGCACTTTGGGAGGCCAAGGTGGGTGGATCACCTGAGGTCAAGAGTTCAAGACCAACCTGACCAACATGGTGAAACCGCATCTCTACTACAAATACAGAATTAGCCAGGTGTGGTGGTGAGTGCCTGTAATCCCAGCTACTTGGGATGCTGAGGCAGGGGAATCGCTGGAACCCATGAGGCAGAGGTTGCAGTGAGCCAAGATCACTCCATTGCACTCCAGCCTGGTCAATAAGAGCAAAACTCTGTCAAAAAAAAAAAAAGGAGGGGGGAGGGGCTGTGTACACACATGATTCTACCCACATAGAATCTTAACCTTAACCTCCTAACCTTCAAGTCCTCTAATCTACTTTACCCCATGAAATTCAGGCCTCTCCTCCACAGCATCTATTCAACAGAGTTGGAGAGTTGAGGAAAGAACCTAGAAACTGTTGCGGGAAGTCAGCGACCCTGAATGGAGGGAATTGCTGAAGCCATGGCAGAAGAACATAAATTGTGAAGATTTCACGGACATTTATTGGTTCCCTAAATTAATACTTTCATAATTTCTTACGCCTGTCTTTACTGCAGTCTCTGAACATAAATTGTGAAGAGTTCATGGACATTTATCATTTCCCCAATCAATACTCTCATAATTTCCTATGACTGTCTTTACTTTAATCTCTTAATCCCGTCATCTTTGTAAACTGAGGATGTATGTAGCCTCAGGACCCTGTGATGATTGCGTTAACTGCACAAATTGTTCGTAAAGCATGTGTGTTTGAACAATATGAAATCTGGGCACCTTGAAAAAAGAACAGGATAACAGCAATGTTCAGGGAACAAGGGAGATAACCATTGGGTCTGACTGCCATGCAGGACAGAGCCATATTTCTCTTATTGCCAAAAATGGGTAAGAGAAATATCGCTAAATTCTTTCCCCAGTAAGGAATATTAATAATTAACAGCCCTGGGAAAAGAAAGCATTCCCAGGAAGAGACCTCTAAAATGGCCGTCTAGGAGTGTCTGCCTTATGCAGTTGCAGATAAGGGATGAAACACACCCTAGTCTCCTGCAGCACCCCCAGGCTTGCTAGGATTAGGAAATTCCAGGTTGGCGAATTCTAGTCAGACCAGTTCTCTGCTCTTGAACCCTGTTTCCTGCTAAGATGTTTATCAATGACAATGTGTGCCCAGCAGGATGTGGACCTTCATTAGCAATGCTAGTTTCACCCTGACCTTGTGATCTTGCTCTGACCTTCTGCCTTGTGATATTTTATTGCCTTTGAAGCACGTGATCTCTGTGGCCCACACCCTATTCATACACTACCTCCCCTTTGAAAATCGCTAATAAAAACTTGCTGGTTTTGTGGCTGAGGGGGCATCATGGAACCTGCCGACATGTGATGTCTTCCCCGGACACCCAGCTTTAAAATTTCTCTCTTTTGTACTCTTTCTCTTTATTTCTCAGACCGGCCGACACTTAGGGAAAATAGAAAAGAACCTACATTGAAATATCGGGGGCTGGTTCCCCCAATAGAAACCATTTCACTAGGGTTTGTATACAGTAATGTCTAGTTTATCTGATCTTAATTTTGTGACTTGGTGCAAATCAAGTTATTATACTTATGTAAATAATTTGATATACTTACATAAATATGAATGCTTAAATAGTCATATTTAGGCCTTTTAGTACCAACATCTCCTGACTGGGTAGTTTCATTTAAGATCCTGTCTACTTCTACTTGGTAACATATCTTATTTCTTTTTTTTGAAGATATCCAATATCTCAGTCCAAGTGGTCAGTGCCCAAAAGAAGCTGCCAGTGAGACGACCACCGTTGCCAGGGAGACGACTACCATTGCCAGGAAGACGACCACCACAAAGACCCATTGGCAAAGCCAAACCCAAGAAGCAATCCAAGAAAAAAGTTCCCTTTTGGAATGTACAAAATAAAATCATTCTCTTCACAGTATTTTTATTCATCCTAGCAGTCATAGCCTGGACACTTCTGTGGCTGTATATCAGTAAGTTAAAAATCTGTGTTTCTTTGGGGTTAGGGCTTATGGTATGAGTCCAGCATTAGCAATGCAGCCCTAATCTGCCATAGGTATTTCTGATGGGATTTTCCTTTTTCCAATATGGATACACCATTTCCAAAACTGGTGTTGATGGTTTTTTATTATTTTGTTTTGAGACAAGGTCTTGCTCTGTCACCCAGGCTGGAGTGTAGTGGCACAATCACAGCTCACTGCAACCTTGAACTCCTGGGCTCAAGCAATCCTGCTGCCTCAGCCTCCCGAGTAGCTGAGACCACAGGTCTATGCCAGCACACCTGGGCTAACTGGCTAACTTTTAAAGTTTGTTGTAGAGACAGAGTTCTCACTATGATGCCCAGGCTGGTCCCAAACTCCTGTACTCAAACAATCCTCCCACCTTGGCCTTCCAAAGTGCTAGGATTACAGGCGTGAACCATGGTGCCCGGCCTGGTGTTGATATTTTAAGGAGACATAAGCCAGAATTCTCTTTCTCATTTCTTTTTTTTTTTTACCAACACCATTTTCTCCCCATAGGAGAGCAAGAGGAGGAGATTGGGGATAGGATGGGAAGAGCTGAGAAGGATGCTCAGGAGATTTTGACTGGTTCAGAAATGTAATGCATTTGTAGCTTTAAAAAAATTAATGGAATGCTAAGCTGTTTCATTTCCTCATTCCACCCACCACCTGTTTCTAGGCAACCTTGAATTTCCGGCTCCCTGAGCTCCATTTTGCACATGCATCTTTCTCTCCTCTGTTATTACGTGTTTGTTGATCTGACTGATCCTTTTGGACAGGTGTCATAACTAAGCCCTTTCCTATAGAGTTCTCACTTATGCAACACTGCAAGTATAGCCTTTGTTGACTTGTATCGGAGTTGCCATCTATACATGTTAATGTATTTGATACAAAATCATGCACCATGATATAATGTGAAATACATAGTTATTCTGTGCCCTAGATTTCTGGCTCAGAGCTTCTAACATTCTGTAACTTCCTGAATGATAGGAGTGATAGGAGCATCTTTTGGTTTATATACATACATTTTGTTATAATATTTGATTGTAGTCCTTAGATCCTAACACAGAGCTTCTAAGAATGTCTTTTTGTATATTAACAAAGTGACTGGTGGCTGAAAGCCCCTAGGTAACCAGAGAAACCAACCACATGCTTAGAGGATTGTAACTTTCAAGAGGGGGCTGAAGATTGAGCTTAATCACGAATGCACAATGATTTAAAACTGACCTCTGTAAAAACCAAGGAGCTTCCAGGTTGGTGAACATATCCAGTTGCTGGGAGGGTGGCATGCTCCAACTCCACAGGGACAGAAGCTCCTACTCTAGAGACCCTTCTGGACCTCGCTGTAGGTACTTCTTCATCTGGCTGCTCATCTGTATCCTTTATAATAAAGAAGGAATAGTAAGTAAAGTGTTTCTCTGAGTTCTGTGAGTCATTTTAGCAAATTATGAAACCTGAGGGCTTTATGAGAACAGCCAATTTGTAGCCAATTTGGACAGCAGTGTGGGTAGCCTGGGGACCTACTACTTCTGATTGGGATCTGCATTGGGGGGCAGTCTAGTAAGAATGTGCCTTTAACCTTTGGGGTCTGACACGAACTCTTGGTAGCTGGTGTCAGAATTGAATTGAATCATTGGACATCCAGTTGGTGTCTGCAATGAATTGGAGAGTTGCTTGGTGTGCGGAACCCCTGCCCCCACCCCCACATTTGGTGACAGAAGTGTTATGGGTAGAGAAACAGTTTTCCTAGATGTACTCTCAGAGATATGAAAATCTGATTGGAAGGGAAGACTTTCAGGCAAAGAATGAAGGAATACTGTCTTGAACGGTTCAGGTCACTTATATGCACATAAATTGATCACTTGTGATTTGCTTGGCAGAATGTAGGGCATCAAACACACCACGATGCATCTCCTACCTTCAGAAAGCTCACAGATGCATTTTCTACTTTCAGAAAGTTCAGAGTTCAGTGCTAGAGAGAAGGTGTGAGTTTTTTTGCTTAAGTGATTATCTTGTGATGACAGAAGAAAGACATCCAAATTGCCCAGGGATGGCATCCAGAGAAGGGTTCATGAACTGGTTCCCGAACATTCATTTGATACATCTTGAGACTGTTCATTATGTGTTGGGTCCTGGGGTAGGCATGGGAGCAGAGTGGTGAGCAAGATAAGATCTCTGTCCTTGAGGAAACTGGTGGGGAAGTCAAGTCAATGGGCCATTAAGACAAACACACACAACCCCAACCCAGAACAAAGAAGCTTATTTGCCGTGGTTTCTCTGCTGTTCCCCAGCTGACACATTTGCACTGTCCTAGCATTTTTACATAAAGTTTTAGAACATCCTTGTGCAGATGTAGTTTGTTGGCTTATAAAAATCAGAGAAGGCCACTTCATGGAAACAGATCAGTACAAGCAAAGGGAGACTGGTATGGACCAGTAAGAATTTTTCAATAGAAATCAGGTTAGTTTTGATACAGGAAATCTGGGCATGGAGGGTGGCCTTGAAAAAGGAGGTAGACAGAGAAACAGGTAAACAGGGAGACTACGGAGGATCTTGTACATTAGGCTGAACTGAAGAGTTAGGTAAATGTAGTCTGATTGAATGCTAAATTAATTGATCTTTCTTACATGGTTATTGTTCTGACTGTAGAGTACTTACTGATATGAGAAGGATGCGTGAGCTTCTGGAAAGAAGTCATAGCTTTCATTTGAATTTTAGAGTCTGCAACCAAAAAAAAAAAAAAAATCTAGGACGCACTTCCCTGATAAAAATAAAAAAACCAAAAACCAAAAAACAACTGTTGTTTTATATGGTCGGCCTAGAGGCAAGGTGATCAGTCCAAGGTCACATTACCTGAAAAAACAAATCAAGGACAGGAGTTCAATCCTTCTGCCCCTTACCCCGTGCTTCCTCCTCCCCTCCCCAGCCTCCCTACACTTCCTAGGGCTAAAGTGACCTTGAATGGATCTTAGAGGGGAAGCTGTTTCCTATCACTCACAGCAGTTGCAAATTCTTTTTAATTCAGCCATCATTTATTTAGCATTTCCATGTGCTGGGCCTTGTGCTAAGAGGAAATATTCTCTCTCTCTCTTTCTCACTCTTTCTCCCTTTCTCTCCCCCTCTACCCACTTTGTCCCTCCCTTCCTTCCCTCAAATGTTTATTGAGCTTCAAAGCTAAGCCAGGCACTCCCTGCATTAGGGGCTGAGGAATCAAAATAAATTACCATTTATTCCTTCAGAGAGCCCATAAAGGAGACAGAGAGAAATTATGATAAAGCAGGGTATATATGGGCCACAGAAAAGTAACACACAAGGGCCATGAGATCCTTTTAATCTTGCTCTTAAGTATTTGCCAGAGTGGACAGAAGGAATATTCTGAGATACGGTTATTTGCTGCTGATGAAATAGATGTTGTTACCTACATTTAAAAGTTCACAGGCTCTGAACCAGTTAGTATGTAGCTGCCTAAAATAAAATTATTTTAGGAGCCTCATACTGACATAGCTCAGACAATTCCTTACTGCCACACAGATGGGAAAGCCTCCGAATCTTGTTCTTTCCTATTTTACAGGTAAAACAGAAAGCAAAGATGCTTTTTACTTTGCTGGGATGTTTCGCATCACCAACATTGAGTTTCTTCCCGAATACCGACAAAAGGAGTCCAGGGAATTTCTTTCAGTGTCACGGACTGTGCAGCAAGTGGTGAGGCGATGGAGGTAGAGGGTATTAGGGTAGAGTGGGTTTGCGGGGAGGTGGGGGATGAAGCTGGAGGGGAACACAAGTGTCACAGGTGAGCAGGGTTTAGGGAAGTAGAGGGCAGGGTAGACAAAGGAAGGTGTCAGAAGAAAACATGAAATCTAGCACATCTTGGCTATAAGATAGAATTTCTCCCCCTGCCCCCATGCTCCAATGTAAAAAAAAGAATGGCTCTCTCAGCTTCAGTTCTTCTGAACCGTAAAATAAAAGAATTGGAATCAGATGACCTTTAAAACACCTTCCAGTTCTGAAGTTAGATGCATACCGATTAATTCCATTATTGTACACATTTATTTCAACCTTGATGCCCTGGCAATCTCTTCATTGTAAAAAAATAACTTTCTCATTGTAGAACTAATACATATTTATTATAAAAATTAGCAAAATTCAGATGATTATGTTTTAAAAACTAACATCTTCTTTAATGTCATCACCGGAGACAAAGCCCCTTTTTATTCTGAAATACACAGACATAGAGAATAGTGCAATATTGGAATATTATATTCAGTTTTATAAACTAACATTTTCTCTTAGCATGCTATTGCATGCTTCTATGCACGTAAATCTTCCTTTAAAAAATATAAGTTACAATAGACTCAAAGTTAGCAAATCCCTATTTATTGGATGTTTAGGCTGTTCCCAACTTTTGCTATAGATAATGTGACAGCAAAACTGCCACATTCTTTGTGAGTATCTCTGACTACTCCCTTAGGTGGTTTCCTAAAAGCATAATTACTTGGACAAATAGAAAAGTATCTATTCATGGCTCTTGGCACATATTACCAACTAGAACGTTGCTGTCAATTTGTATTTCCACGGTACTGGAGAGGGTTGTCATAGTGATGAACTTGACACAATGACTGGCTGTGTAGAATGAGGAAAGGTGGTGAGAGAGAGGGCACATCAAAGACAATAGTGCTCAGAGCAGCTTTTACTTATTGAATGCCTGCTATATACTGGGTACGTCACTAAACCCTTTGCCTCTAATATTTATACAGTCCTGTGTCGCTTAACAATGGAGATACTGTTGTACAAACATCATAGAGTGTGTGTACACATACGTAGCTGGAATGGCCTACTACACACCCAGGCTAGATGGTATAGCCTACTGCTCCTAAGCCACAAACCTGGACGGCATGTTACTGTACTGAACAGTGTAGGCAATTGTAACACAAATCACTAGATGATAAGAGTTGCTCAGCTCCATCATAATCTTATGGGACTACTGTCATATATGTGGTCTGTCATTGACCAAAATGTCATGTGGCATATGACTGTATACCAATTATTTCTAAAATTATCCCAAGGAGGTGGGTGTTTTGATTACCACTTTATAGGTGAAAAAGAAAAAGAAAAAAAAAATCCTGCCTAAACAGGTTTAGGCAACATGTTCTGTGTTGCACAGTGAATTTAAATTTCACAGCTTATATTGTTTCCACTACACTTCATAATTTCTAAGGGTTAAATTTTTTTGTTTTTAAATCTTGGGCAATTATGTAAGTGGTTTTCAAATTACATAGGAAGGGGAATACTAGAGAAAATGACTGGGGAGAAGAGAGTGAGTTTGCTTTTAGAAATGCTAGGTAAGGGCCAAGAAGGTAAATCGATTGAAACAGAGCTCTCCCTTGAGATCCAATTATGAAGTTTTAAAATGGCTGGGGCGCTTCCCTAGAGTTTGTTATGAAGGGGGCTGGTAGACCTGGCTGTGGGTACCACTCGCCCCCTAGTGGCTAATGTGAGAATGTGTCCTTAAGAATATGGTCGACGCTGGTGCACTGATAGAAAAGACGTTGGGTCAGACTACTGTACTATGAAAATGTACTTAAATGAGTTTGATTTGTTAACTGTGGGGAAAATTAACCTTTGCAGTGGGGAGAATACAGAAGTTAAGTTTGAGTTTAAAGAGAGCAATAAATGACTTTTCACTGATTTTTCACAGATAGCAGAATGAAAGTAAGTCACTCAAGATTGTTGCAGGAAGAATTTATTTGAATTCAAGAAATAATGCCGGGGTGTGGAGTTAGGAGCCTTTATTTTGAGGCTTGCATTTCTTCTTGCTGGCTGTCAGAGCTTGGGCCTACAACATTTAAGATACTGTAAAAGGAAGTCAAGTATGAAATACTTCAGATACCTCAACTATTCTTTTTCAGATAAACCTGGTTTATACAACATCTGCCTTCTCCAAATTTTATGAGCAGTCTGTTGTTGCAGATGTCAGGTAATGCATGTCCCTTGTTTTGAGATTTCTGTGTTCATTGTTCTAAAGTCCATTCAAGGCTATGAAAAGGCTGAGATTCCACCATTCCCAAGTAACTTCTTGGAAGTGGTTGGGGATTCATACTGTATTAGCACAACTAGCGACTCAACTCACTGCCCTTCTTTCTTGCTGTGTTTTTGCTCTTTATCCACCAAATCCCGACCTTCTCCCCATAGCTAGAATCCTGAACCCCTATAGCAGTGCTGCTGTGCAAAATGGCCATAAACTTGTCTATCATATTGGGTGGAGGGTGGAGGCAAAAATAAAGCACAGACCATGATTTCTTAATGTTCAGTGAAAAACTGGTCACTAGAGATCTTCTGAGAAAAAAGGGGATTCATGGTCAAATAATTTTTAGAAAAAATCGTGCACCATATATTATATCCCACCCCCACCCACTCCCAATATATCTGCAGAGATTCACAATCCACAATCCACTTTGACATATTAAAGCACTGAGAAGCCTTGGAGTATAGCAACTTGATTAGTTTCCTTAACCTTCCATTTCCCAAGTCATTTCCTGCAGAATGCCATGTTATGTTCCTTTCCTAAAACGTGGCAGTATTTATGTCATTAGGAGCTCAGGCTCTGGGGGCCGACTGGAAACCAAATTGGGCTTAATTACTGGATCTGCTACTAGCTATGTGACTTGGAGTTGTATTCGGCTTCAGTTTTCTCACCTATAAAACTGGAATAATAATGGGACCTTCTCATAAGATTAAATGGGATAAAGCAGATTTAGCACAGTCCCCGGACATGGCAGAGTATCAAACATTGTAATGGTTTTAATTTTTTTTCTTTTTTGAGACAGAGTCTCGCTCTGTCGCCCAGGCTGGAGTACAATGGCATGATCTCAGCTCACTGCAACGTCTGCCTCCCGGGTTCAAGCAATTCTCCTGCCTCAGCCTCCCAAGTAGCTGTGATTACAGGCACCTGCCAGTATGCCTGGCTAATTTTTGTAGTTTTAGTAGAGACAGGGTTTCACCGTGTTAGTCAGGCTGGTCTCGAACTCCTGACCTCAGGTGATCTGCCTGCCTTAGCCTCCCAAAGTGCTGGGATTACAGGCGTGAGCCACCATGCCCAGCCATGGTTTTAAATTTTAATGGCAGTGAATACTGATTGATATCCATAGAAATAGCATATTCTCCATGGAGACGCAACTCTACAGTAATGGTTTTAGATTAGAATCCAACACTATGGTCTGAATACATATAACATGATGCTGTCCTTTGCCAATCTTCATAACAGACGTCAATGACTACCTAAAGAAGGGAGCTAGCTTCAGTTGAAGGATGTGCTCATTGGCCTTACCTTGAATCCATCATCTGGGTATTTCTTCTCTGTAAAGTCCTATGAGGTCCCTGATGATCTCTCTTTTTTCGTTATAGCAGCAACAACAAAGGCGGCCTCCTTGTCCACTTTTGGATTGTTTTTGTCATGCCACGTGCCAAAGGCCACATCTTCTGTGAAGACTGTGTTGCCGCCATCTTGAAGGACTCCATCCAGACAAGCATCATAAACCGGACCTCTGTGGGGAGCTTGCAGGGACTGGCTGTGGACATGGACTCTGTGGTACTAAATGGTGATTGTTGGGTAATTTTCCTTTAGCATTCCTTCCTGCAGGACTCCTGATACTTGCCATGATTATAGTCAACATTGTAATGAAGCATTACAATGTGGGATTACCCCACAATCCCAGTGGCGCAGGATTAACTAAAGACATTGGAGCTATGTTAGTAAAGGAAATTGCTAAATGTTGTATATTGCAATTGAACAATAGATGTGGGGACAATATACATACGAAATTGAATGTATTACTGTGTACCTCTACCTACCTTTATTCAGGTCATGCATCATCAAACTAAGTCCCCAAAGAACAAAACCCTAGACAAGGAAGAATTTTGCTGAGGTTTATCTTGTTACTTTACTTGCCCAGACAGAACTGTCCCTTTACTGTGTAATGTTGTCCAACACTCCAAAACAGCTTGCTTCATAGCCCCAAATGCAAATTTCATTGTTTGCCTTGATAGTAAAATGGTTTAATGATTGCATAACTCAAAATTTGTGCAGTTTTCTGTTTTGATTTAAATTTTATAGATAAAATACATATATGAACATGTTATAAGTATATTATAAATTTGTGTGTATTTAAAAATATATAAGTATATTATACACACACACATACACTAGGCATATGGTAGGTAGCTGACAAATATTTGTTAAATAAAGGAAAAATCTCATAGAAAATTCTGTATCTCATGTACTATTTCATATATAGGACTAATATCATATTTGTTTGGTTGCTTTTTTACCTTTGAAAATATTTGAAACTTGCAACTACAATTTCAAGGATACAAAAGTAAAGAGAATAGTATAGTGAACTCTCATACACCCTTTACTCAACCTCGACAACTACCAACTCACTCATGACTATTCTATTTGATCTCTAAATACCTGAACAACTACCTCATCCTCACTGGATTATTTTAAAGTAAATCCCAGATGTGTTTGATTGCCTTTAAAGAAGGACTGAAAATAATTTTTACTAAGCAAAATTCTAACAAAATGAAATGATAGGATTCAATCTCTTCTCATGTGCTTTTTCAATGCAGCTGGGCTTCGGTCGGATTACTCGTCAACCATAGGATCTGGTAAATTCTTTCATGTGGTTCCCCCTCCCCCCATGTTAATATTGTTTTTGGCTGTAATTTTCATTTTCTAATTGATGGTATTTGTTAGTGCTCTTTTAATTGCAAGTGACAGAAATGCATTCAAACTGCCTTAAGCACAAAAGAAACTTGACTGGCTCATGTAAGTGGGACATACATGGAGTGTGCTGGCGTTAGTTATGGTTGAGTCTAGGATCTAAAATAAAAATATCATCAGAACTCTGCATCTCTGCCTACTTCTATGGAGCCTTCTTTATCAAGTGTGCTCTTCCACTGTATTTGTAACAAGGACCACCAAGCAGATCCAAACTTATAATTTATCATTTTCTAAACCATGATGAAAACCACCTCCACGTATTTCCTGATTGCTCTTGCAGAAGTCCTGGGGCTGACTCTCATTGTCTGGATTGACTGACATGCCTATTCTTGAAATGACTTCTTTGACTCTGATTGGCCAGCCTGGGTTATGTGCCCACCTCTGAAACTAGGGGTGAGTTTAACCCCAACCAAACTATATAGACAGAGTGTGGATAGTTTCTAAAGGCAAAATGCTGGGCTGTTACCAGAAGGCAGGGAAGTGGACCTAGGCTGGCCATATGTCCTTCACATGACCTCTTTTGCCCTTTACTTTTCTATAAAGATTTCTGTTTTTATAAAAGTCATTCCTAAAAAAAAAGAAAATAAAGGAAAATGGTGCTGTCTCCACAGACAAAGGCTGCTCTCAGTACTTCTATGCAGAGCATCTGTCTCTCCACTACCCGCTGGAGATTTCTGCAGCCTCAGGGAGGCTGATGTGTCACTTCAAGCTGGTGGCCATAGTGGGCTACCTGATTCGTCTCTCAATCAAGTCCATCCAAATCGAAGCCGACAACTGTGTCACTGACTCCCTGACCATTTACGACTCCCTTTTGCCCATCCGGAGCAGCATCTTGTACAGGTACGATGCAGGTACTCTTCTTGGTGGGTAAAAATATTTTTCACAACCTCTGTTTTACAGTATCTGTGTTCCCCCTGGATTTTTTTTTAAAAACAGTTTTTGTGTGCACACATGAGGTCAATGGCTGACCCGTGCCCTATTTAGTATCCCCTATACTTTAGTACCCTCGCCAGAGCCTATCAGTCTCAATGTTTGTTTTCCACTTATAGCAAATACTCTCAAAGTCAGTACAGCAAGAACGTCAGCCAATATACCTGAAATATAACAGATACTTTGTTTAATTTTACATTTATTGGAATAAAAATGAAGTCTACTATTTCAACAGTGTGAGAATAAATATCCTATGATGATTGCATCACATTAGTAAACAATTAAATTTTTTTTCTCGTTACAAAGATAACACATGTTTATTGTAGAAAATTAGGTTAGAGGAAACGGTATCAATTACTTCACAACCTCATTATTCAGAGCAAATTTCTGTTATATTTTAGCATAAATCCTTTCATTCATGTATGTGTAATTACACACACATATACATACCCTAGTATTTTTTACTTAATAGTAGATATTTATTTATGGGTGCTTAATATTTGGTAAACTAATAATGAATTAGGCTTCATTAAGAAATTATTACTCACTGTGCTAAAAAGGTACATAAATCATCCTATTATTTTTAACCGTGTCTATGGATGTATGCAACAATGCTTTATGTGTGTATGCAGGTATTTATATTTTGGGGATGAATGTGCATGTTAAAAATTCAAACACTATATAAGAATATGCAGTGAAAAGTAAGTTTGCCACTGATGCCCATTCCTCCATCATCAGCTTCTTTTCATCCTTTCAGACATATTTACTTATCTCATTTAATCCTCAGCAAAATGCTATGAGGAGCATACTATTATTATTACTACTGAGGCAGGAGAATAGGATCTGAAGGCAGGGAACTTAAGGCCAATTAGTGCTGACTTCCTAAAGCTGATTCAAGGGGAAACAAGAAGATCTGGGGGCAGGGAACTTAAGGCCAATTAACACAAACTTCCTAAAGCTAAACTAAAAGGAAAAGCCCGGTCACTCTACAACCCTGCCGCTTCCGCCACGTCTCAGGTGGAAAGAGAAAGCACCCTGGATTGGCTGGGGGTCAAGCCCGGGCCATTCCTTCATCTGCATACCGCACCAATTCACCTCAGCCTTTAATTAGCCATGGGCCAAACCCTTCATCGAGATAAGGGGTAGCTGATAGGGACCTCACAAGGAGTACTTAAAACCCAGAATACTTTGTAACTGGGCCCTTGAGCCGCTTGCTCTGGCCCACTCCCACCCTGTGGAGTGCTTTAATA
Source organism: Homo sapiens (assembly GCF_000001405.40). Taxonomy (NCBI): domain Eukaryota; kingdom Metazoa; phylum Chordata; class Mammalia; order Primates; family Hominidae; genus Homo; species Homo sapiens. The sequence goes on from NC_000003.12 coordinate 112,049,308, forward strand.
AATCCCTGCTTTCCTTTCTCATTTTTGTGTTTCATTCCTTTGTTGCTTTGTGCATTTTGTTCAGTTCTTTGTTTAAAATGCCAAGGACCTGGACAACACACATGGCCTTTTTTTCTGGTAACACTACCATTGCGTAGAAGAGAAACTGGTGCTTACAAAGATTTAAGCCTGGCATCTTTCATCCATTTGCGTGATGGAGCTGAATTTTGAGTCCAGTTTTCCTTAGAGCAGAGTCCAGGACCTTAGCCATTAGATACACTACTTTTATGCCGTATTTGTGCCCAAGGAGCATACAGTGACAGCCATCCCAGAGAATTCTCTGGTAGAGGTTCCTACACAAAAATGTATCTACCTTTTCTGGCTCTGTAGTGCTCTGTGGCTACTAATGGATGAGGATCTGGCTGGGAGAGATTCCCAAGAACTGAGTGGATGGATTGAATGGATGGCCCAGGAAATGTGTGGAATCGTTTTGAATGGAGACCCATTTCTCAAATAACGTATTATTCATGTACTTTTGTTTTATTATCTGCTTTCAGAATTTGTGAACCCACAAGAACATTAATGTCATTTGTTTCTACAAATAATCTCATGTTGGTGACATTTAAGTCTCCTCATATACGGAGGCTCTCAGGAATCCGGGCATATTTTGAGGTCATTCCAGAACAAAGTAAGTCTTCCCCAATTATGGAGAAGTCACTTTTAGAAATATTTGTAATGATAGGCTATTCTTATCTTTCTGGAAGCTGTGTTGTAATATTCATTGTATTAGTCTGGGACTCTGAATAAAGGTCCAGTCAGAAGAGAGAGACCATATTAGTTATTTAGACAGAATGAATTCTGTAAGAACTATTAACTTCATATAAAGGTGTCAATAAGGTTACTCAAAAGGCAAAAAGGACAAGAAGAGAAATGTATCATGGATGTAACATGTGCAGAAAGTAACTATCATCCCTAAGGCTGGGTGAACAAAGGAAAGAGGTTGAGATTATTACAGTTTAGAGCTTAGAGGAGGGAATATGAGAGATGGAACTCAGGCCTCTGAGGAGGGATTGCTGTTCAGCTGCTGCTGGTGTCTCTGAGTTCAGAACTATGTTTTTAAAGAGAGTAATAGCATCTTGCAGATCTGCAGCCAAAACATATGATGTGAAAACAAATATAGAATTAGAGAATAAGCATTTTAGCTATACATCTGTAGGGTGGCATTCCTTTCTTCTGAAAAAAAAAAAAAAAACCCAAAGTTTAAGAAATGTATAAAGCTTGTCGATCAAGGAAGTGTGCCTTAGTAATTAAAGAAATGTATGAAGTGTATTTTCCATAATCTCACAGCTGCAAATCATTGTGTGTCACTGGGTATCTTTTCCAGAGTGTGAAAACACAGTGTTGGTCAAAGACATCACTGGCTTTGAAGGGAAAATTTCAAGCCCATATTACCCGAGCTACTATCCTCCAAAATGCAAGTGTACCTGGAAATTTCAGGTAGCCTAGTTCTACCAGTGTCTTAGAAAAATATTACTGCTCTATTTTTAATAGCATGAATTTCATTCATTTTTTAATTACAAAAGAATATTGCTTAATTTTATAAAATTTCAGTATTATTGAAATATATTATTTAGAATGCAACACTTTTCTGTAATTTCAACCCTCTGCCCACAAATTAACTACTCTTAGCAGACTGGGGCCTTTTTCTCAAATTTATTTTGTTGGTATTGAAAATGCAAAGGCATTATTGAAGGTTCAATTATTGTATTATGATAGAGCACATTTATCAATTTTTAATTACTTAATCACCAGCATTGTAATAGGAATAATAATAAAATAATAAATTGGATTAGGCAATACAGTCAGCCCTCTGTATCTGCAGGTTTGGCATCCGTGGATTAAACCAATCACAGATCAAAACATTTTACAAACAGACACAATAAAATACAACAATAAACAATAACACAAATAAAAAACAATACAATATAACAACTATTTATATAGAATATAATTGTATTAGGTATTATAAGTAATCTAGAGATGATTTAAAGTATATAGAGGATGTGCATAGATTACACGCAAATACTACACAATTTTATATAATATACTTCAGTATCTGAGAATTTTGGTATCTGTAGGGTTCCTGGAACCAATCCTCCACAGATACTAAGGGACAACTCTATTATATTTCAGTTGTATAAGCAAACCAGAGTGCAAATGTATACGAAATATCTATCTATCTATCTATCTATCTATCTATCTATCTATCTATCTATCTATGTATCTATCTATCTATATCTATCTCTATTATCTATCTCTATTATCTATCTATCTCTATCATCTATCTATCTATCTATCTATCTATCTATCTATCTATCTATCATCTATCTATCTATCTATCTATCTATCTCTATTACCTATCTATCTATCTCTCCCTCTGGTGCTAGATAGGGCATTTATGCTTTTTTAAAAAAAATCTTAGTAAACTGCTTTTTCTTTCTCCACCTATAATATCACATGGAGACAGGGCAAAGTGTCACCTCTGTTCATTCAGGATATACGTATAGACTCATTATTGTGTGGCATAGCAATTAGATGAATTAGATGTAAGTGGCAAGCAGTATGTTGTTTGCGTTTATTCAACATATTATTGAATGACTACTATGGGCCAGGCACTCAGGCACGATTCCAGATACTGGGGATCCACGAAATCAGACACAAACACAGAGCAGCAGCCCTGCTCTCATGGAGCTTACCTTCCAGTAGGGGAAGGCAAGTAATAAACAAACAAGTTAAATACGCGTAATATGTCTCGTAATGATAAAATGCTATGGAGAAAAATAAAGCAGGGAAGGGGGCTCTATAGCCTGAGTTGGGGGTGGGAGGTGTGAAGCATAACAAGTTAGGTGTTTGTTATCTTAAATAGGATGATCAGGGAAAGTCTTGCTGACAAGGGGACATTTGCGGATAAACCTGAAAGATGACGGAACTAACCTTGTGAATACCAGGATAAGAATGTTGCAAGCAAAGAGAACAGCTGAGCCAGGGACTCTGAGGCAGGAGGGTGCTTGATGCATATTTTTTTTTTGTGCATAGTCATAATAGTTAAATAGTTAAAATAATTTCATTACTCTACCCAAACCTGTAAGTTGGTGTCAATACCCTGATGGCATGTGTCCTTAAATTTAAAAAAAAATCATTATTACAAATATTTCCAAAGTAATTAAGAGATAAAGGTGCTGGACCCTTGCTCACTGCCAGGTTCTCAAGGCTTCAGGGCAGCAGAAATGCAGGGCCTCAGATAAGCAGCAAGTCTGAGGAGGAGAGGAAAAGAGGAGATGAAAGAAAGGGTTAGGGAAGGAAGAGGGAAAGGAAACAAATCTCCATTTCTTCAGTCTCTCCACAAAGCAGATTTACCTTCTTGAGCTTGTGTGATAGCAGAAAAAGACAGTGCCATTCTCAAAAGCTCTGTCGAATGTTTGAAATTCCTTTGAGATAAAATAAAGGTTGACTTCTTAATAATCCATAGCCTTAAAATGAAAATTTTAAAACTTTGTTGGGACTTTTAGTCAGGGTGTGAAAAAGAATATTGGATCATTTACTGTTTTGCTAGGGGTTGGGGGTGAGAAATGCTGAAGAAAAAAAAAAAAAGTCTTTAGAAGGAAAAGGACATCCCAGTGAGCAAGTGAGGAGTGGGAGAAAGGAGGCAGGAAACAGCAGGACAAACGTGTTAGCTGTTGTCATCTCTCAGAGAGGAAGTTTGTCCTCCTCAGTGTAGAGGTTAAATAAAACTGTTCCTTTTCAGAAAGCTTTGAAAACATCAGGGCATGTTACTGTGAATGGAAATCAGTGTAAAATTGACTTTTTTTTTCACCTGTAAAATAGCTTTGAATTTATTAAAAAAAAAAACTCGATGACTTAAGTAACAAAAATATTGACTCGTTATGACAAAAGTTTTTTACACAAAAGTTAGTTTATATTCTCCTCAATCCATCTTAGTGTCTGGTCCCATTTTGAAATTTGCTGAAGAGCAGTCAACCCCCTTTGCAAACTCACTTCCAGCTGAGCTTTAAGGTCTTATTTATCTGAGAAGGATTAACTCCTGCTACAGCTTAAAGATTCTTCTCTCAAGCTCTCTTGTCCACTCAACAATGCTTATTAAATGTCTGCCACGTGCCAGGCTCTATATGGGGATGCCTAGTAGCAAGATAAAGTTCTTGTTCTCATGGAGCTTACAGACTACAGGGGAAGAAGGAACAGATAAGTACAACCAAAAAAGGGTGTTGAGTTTGTATTCTGTTGTCTATATTTGTTTAGCACTTCAGTGTTTTTGGCAACATATTTTTATTTGCCCTTCAAAACACACCTCTAATACAGAAGACATATTCTTAGCACATTTTATAGGTATGGGAAAAGAGATGGGTTGAATCATTTGCTAGGGATCACTCAAACAGAAAGTGACCCAGGTAGGACTAGAAGGAATCATGCCTCCTCCATAAATAAATTCAGCCCCTTCTCCTTTTCTGGGTTTCTAAAGATGTTCTGCTTCCCTACGTTTCTTAACAATCACTTAGCTGAACATTTACCACCTCCCTTCTTTTTTGTATTCCAATACATTTTGTTATAGAATCTTAGAAAAGGAATATGCAGCAGTGCTTTGAATTGTTTTATCACAAAAGTCATCAGCACAGCACCATCCAATTTAGGTCTGCCAGGCATAAGCATGGATTTTTACGGGCCATGTAAGTCACCTCCTTATATCACTTAGGAAATGCACAAGATTCCCCAGAAGGGAGCTCCATTCCCTGCTTCTGTGAAGGAAATATGCAAGCAGTTTTACCACAGAAACTTTCACTGCTCATCTGAGGTGGGTTCTTGGGTTGTGTACACACCACCACTGGCAAATTAGGGGTGGGCTGAAAGATGAAGCCTCCTGCATCCTATCACCATCACTGACTAGAGAAATATTTAAATATTACAGGTCCAGATCGGGAAAATTCCTCCCTTTACTTGATTAAAGTTCCCAATGCAAAGGCAGAGGATAGGGAACAGAAACAGAGAACACAGAACATATAATAGTGGACTTATTTTTTGTTCATTTGTTGAAATAGCTTGCAATGCATTGTGAAACTAAATGTCACCCCTCTGTCTGTCAAGCAGGTTAATATAAGTAATGACTTTTGGCCAATCTGTATACAAATGTAGAATTGTGTGCAATTCTGTGTTAGTGGAATCAGTGTGCAAGGGGACTCATTTCTTTTCACTATGGAGGAACTCTGTGGATTGGAAGGTAGTGTTACATATGAATCCATTTTTATGTTGAAGCTGTGGAATCTAGTGAAAATGCCTAACTGAGCTTCTTGTAGAAGATTGCACTGGAAGATGTTCTTACATTATAAGATTTACATTAGTTACTTAACATATTTACTATCTCTCAGTTTGCTTTTTTTTTTTTTTTTTTTTTTTTTTTTTGAGACGGAGTCTCGTTCTGTCGCCCACGCTGGAGTGCAGTGGCACATCTCGGCTCACTGCAAGCTCCGCCTCCCAGGTTCACGCCATTCTCCTGCCTCAGCCTCCCGAGTAGGTGGGACTACAGGCGCCCGCCACCAAGTCCAGCTAATTTTTTCTATTTTTAGTAGAGACGGAGTTTCACCGTGTTAGCCTGGATGGTCTCGATCTCCTGACGTCGTGATCCGCCCTCCTGGGCCTCCCAAAGTGCTTGGGATGACAGGCGTGAGCCACTGCACCCGGCCAGTTTACATATTTTTTATGTGAAGAAATAACCAGATGAGAAGACTTAAAAAAAATTGATATGTGTTCTTATGAGCCCTGGGTTTTCGGTAAACATAAGAGAATCCTTTTCCGATTGAGCCCCCCATGTTGGTATCCAAGCAGCCTGATACACCGGGAAAAGGGTGACCTTCAGAGACATGCAGGGCTGGTCTGAATCTGTGGTCTGCATTTTTTAACCTTGGAAAAGTTACTTATCTTGGTTAGTCTTGGTTTTTACTTCTGTGCAATGGGATTCACACTACCTGCACAACAGGGTTGTTGTGATGTTTAAGTGAGAAACATAAAGTGCCTGATTCATTCTCCCTCAAAGGTAGGTGGTGAGGGGTGGTTTACTCTATTCAAATGCACATTGGAAACAAGCAAACACTTGCGCAGACACACACACAGACACACACACACACAGCATAACATATAATACGATGACATAACTAAAATGTCTTTCAGAGCAATACAAGTAATGGGTAAAATTCACCTAAAGAAAATGACAATAAGGTTGAATTACAAAGTATTACCTAAAACTGAACTTTATGTTATTTTCAAATGACAAAATGAACTAAAAAGCAATTCAATAAGGCTGAACAAAAAGGATGGGCAATGTATCAGGCAAGTATAAACAACAAAAAGCAGAGTTCACAATCAGTACCAGGCAACACTGAAATCAGGGCAACGATACCCCTGATTTACAAGTACCAGACAAAAAGCAATTTATAATGATGAAGACGATGATCCACAAGATGTGATTACGTCAATTGTTTATGCAGCAAACAAAACAGCAGTAATACTCATAAATCAAAAACAAGTGGAAATACAAAGAGAGAAGTGGGCAATGCCGGCTAGGCACAGTGCTCACGCCTATAATCCCAACACTTTTGGAGGCTGAGGCAGGTGGATCACTTGAGCCCAGGAGTTCGAGACCAGCCTGGGCAATGTGGTGAAACCCTGTCTCTATAAAAATTATTTTACAAAAAAAGTAAAAAAAAATAAGCAAAGAAGTGGGCAATGCTTAAATAAGGAATTTTAAGTCTCTTCATTCATGACAGAGATAGTGGAGGACAATAAATAAGGCAAAGCAGGATATTAAATATTGAATATCATACACGAGTTTCATATTATAGATATGCAGACTACTCCTTTTTTAAAGTGACCATGAAGCATTCATAAATTTGACCACAAAATTTAAAAAATTTAAGGCACTATAAATGATACTCTTATTCAACTAAGAATTAGAAAGCTTAAAAATGGATGAACCCAAATTTGACTCTCTTAAATATAAAAATTCCTTAAATAATTCCTGGGTCAAAGTGAAAATCAAAATGAAAACTTTGTCATATCAGACATAATACAGATGTATACCACAAAATGCAACAAAAAAGTGAGTTGCATAGTGTGTGTGTGCATGGACTGGTGTGGTGCATGCACACACACACGCACACACACACATTTGCTCATATACGTAGACAGCTTTCTCTTCTGAGGTCTTCCAAGAAGATCTAGGGGTGACTCACTAACAGCCTTCAGAAATACTGAATTTAATATGAAGAGGAGGCTGATTCATTTCTCCTTTATCTAAAGAATCTGAATGATGCTTTAAATCAGTTGTGTCATATGTACATTAAAAGAGTAAGGTGTTTACACTCATTAACAAGTGGGTGTTATTAAAGTTAAGTTCACACTAACAGGGAGAAACTGAAACCCAGAGATGCTGATAAGTCTCAAGTCACCCCGCTCCACTTGGGACCCAGCAGCTGCTCCCTGAATACATGGCTGCCTGCTTCCTTCTTCAGAACGCTCTCCTCCTTATCCCGCTTTGTTCAGGAGAACTGGTTTACCCCACTAAGGGCCACAGGGCGCAAGTAGAATGGCCTTAAAACAACAAGCCAAGGGAATAAGTAAATACATACTTTGATTGAAGCATTTTTTTCTGACTTAATGTTTATTTTCACAGACTTCTCTATCAACTCTTGGCATAGCACTGAAATTCTATAACTATTCAATAACCAAGAAGAGTATGAAAGGCTGTGAGCATGGATGGTGGGAAATTAATGAGCACATGTAAGTGATTTTCATATGTTTTCATATGTGAGGCATCTGATGAAAAGTTCATAGCTGTGTGTTCCTTGTCCTCAAAGAGTTTGCGCTTTACCATTTACAGTTAGGGAAACTGAGGGATATAGGAGTTATGTAACTTGCTCAAGGCCATGCAGCTCATGAGTGATGGAGGCAGGATTCAAACCCATGTCTTAGGGCTCCTGCCCCACCACTGCTCTCTGCTGCTGGGCTACAGATATGTATATTCCACACTTCACAAGAGTATTTGGCAGATGAGTTTTTCAAATCCTGGATCCATGGGGGAATATAATAAATTGGGGTTCTGCTGAAAAAAAATGTTAGAGACCATTGACCAATTCTGTGTGGTAGGAAAGTCCCAGTTGGCCTGGCTGGATCCTGAGACTGGGAAATGGGTTGAAGCTAATCAGAAATCTAGGGGCTTAGGGCTAGAACCAATCTACTTGGCTGTAGAACCAATGTACTAGGTGCTCACTCTCACTCTTAATTTGTCTCTTAATTATTGTTGTTGATTTCCTTCTAAATCTATAACAGATTACATAGGCACTGAATTAAATAGTTTTGTTTTTTGTTTTGGTTTTTTATTTTTATTTTTTTGAGACAGAGTTTTGCTCTGTCACCCAGGCTGGAGTGCTGTGGTGCGATCTTGGCTCACTACAACCTCTGCCTCCTGGGTTCAAGCAATTCTCCTGCCTCAGCCTCCCAAGTATCTGGGACTACAGGCACGCACCACCATACCTGGCTAATCTTTGTAGTTTTAGTAGAGATGGGGTTTTGCCATGTTGGCCGGGCTGGTGTCAAACTCCTGACCTCAAGTGATCCACCTTCCTAAGCCTCCCAAAGTTCCAGGATTACAGGCATGAGCCACCACACCCAGCCCTTGAATAGGTTTTCAAAAATACAGGATGCCCTGTCTTGACCACAGAATATCTTCTTAGTTCACTTTCAGAGAATTCTGTTAAGTTAAAGGATTTGCTGCTACTTCTTTGCTCATTGTTATTCTATGAGTGAAACCTTCCCTTTCTAAGTGCTTTTTCAGAACAAACTTCTTTCAATTCCTTTAGACAGACTACTTGCAAAATAACTGGTCCTGTCTTCATTGGAATAGGCTTTATCAAATTTAAGGACATTCTTGGATTCACTATTAAAATGCAGACTGTATTGTTTTGGGGAGTGTAATTGAATCAAGACTCTATGTTGTGGGAGTCAGAAGACCTGGGTTCAAGTTCCAGCTCTATCGTTTAGTAGCTACATTAACTAGGGCAAATTATTTAACTTCTTTGAGTTTTGGTTGGTGAAATGAGGTAATGATTCTTAATAAGTTTTTCTTGTTTGTTTTTTGGTTTGCATTTACGAAATCATGTATACCACAAAGCAAAAAATACTAGCTATTATTAATATGAATAACAAGATTGTTTTTGAAATGACACTTGTTGGATAAATACTATAGAACGTGCCCCCAAGGCTTTAAAGATACTGCATTTTGGTATTTAATTAAAATAGAGATTTGTAAAGAAAACAAATCTTTACAAATCTTTTGTGAAGGTGTAAGCCTGTGACGGAGCTGTGCTTTGAAAATGAGGAACTATTTTATCCCTAAATCACAACAACGACCCGGGATGTGTTTATTGCTGCCTAAGTAGGAGCAGAATCTGCTCCCAAGCAATACCAGGAAAGCTCTCTCAGCCCCATCCTTTCCTAAAGGGCCAGTTCTTCACTAGGCTTGTGGGCTGGCTGAAATCCTATCAGATTCATTTGATGCTTCTTTACCCTCAGGATTTAAAATGCCAGCCCTTCACATTATCAAGTACTTTTCATCTAAAAAGGAAAAGCTCTAATTGTGCTAACTAGACACCTTGCTGAGCAGTTAGCCTAAGGAAATTGAGGCTATAATGGGGAAGGAGGAAAAAGTAATCCTGACTGGAAGAAGCCTAATGATCTCCTCTAGACAGCCTGGGGGTGAGGTGTGAATGCTCAGGGCAGCTGGACTACGGTATATGAACCCCGAAGAAATGGATGGCCTTTTTACAAAGATTTAGCAGGACAGAACTGCTTTGGTGTGCTAGAGTTTAGCATCAGGCCAGTTGGCATCCAAATCTTGGTTTTACTTACTTGCTATTTGAACTTTGGCAAGTTATTTCACGTCTTTATGTCTTAGTTTCCTCACTTGTCATGTGTCTGTCTATATAAACTGACTCTTGCTGGCTTTCTCGTGTTTCTCAGTTTTAAAACTCATTTCACAAGCCACCATTATTCCCCATTGCATACTCTCCCCCTTTAAACTCCAGCCCAAGCCTGTGATCTCTTTCCTCTTGATTCCCCTTAACATGCCTAGCAAGGCTCATCTTTGCAAGGAAACTCTACTAAATGTTAATGGTGAGCACAAAGGAAATCACTATGAGATTCAGATAACATAATCAGCATGTTTTTATGGGCACAGGATTCTGATCTCAAGATGGCCAACTCTGACTCCAAAAGTTTGGCATGGCTTGGCTTTCAGGTGCCTCTCAGACCCTGGCTCCCAGTTAGCCAGAAGGACATCTGCACTTGCCATCTCTTCCTCATACCTCAGGAGTTGGTCTAACAGGTTATCAGTTCCTGTACTTCAGCCAATTGCAAAAGACTCTTCCTGAAAAACACATGAATGCTTTCCTCCTTTAATCCTTAAAATCACAGGTTATCTGTGCTCCTGAATGCCAGTGTCTGATCCATGGAAGATGCCTGTTTCCCGAGTGCTTTAGGGGCCTAGAGTAATTGGCATCACAGGTTCCAGTGGAGGTCATTACCTATTGGGGAACCTGCCCCCGATAGTCATGTAGGTTCTTTTCTATTTTCCCTAAGCATCGGCTGGGTTGAGAAATAAAGGGACAGAGTACAAAAGAGAGAAATTTTAAAGCTGGCTGTCTGGGGGAGACATCACATGTTGGTAGATTCCGTGATGCCCCACAAGCCGCAAAAGCAGCAAGTTTTTATTAGTGATTTTCAAAAGGGGAGGGAGTGTACGAATAGGGTGTGGGTCACAGAGATCATGTACTTCACAAGGTAATAGAATATCACAAGGCAAATGGAGGCAGGGCGAGATCACAGGACCACAGGACCGGGGCAAAATTAAAATTGCTAATGAAGTTTCGGGCACACATTGTCATTGATAACATCTTATCAGGAGACAGGGTTTGAGAGCAGACAACCGGTCTGACCAAAAATTTATTAGGCGGGAATTTCCTCGTCCTAATAAGCCTGGGAGCACTAAGGGAGACTGGGGCTTATTTCATCCCTACAGTCTCGATCATAGAAGATGACCACACCCAAGGGGGCCATTTTAGAGGCCCACCCTCAGGGGCACATTCTCTTTCTTAGGGATGTTCCTTGCTGAGAAAAAGAATTCAGTGATATTTCTCCCATTTGCTTTTGAAAGAAGAGAAATATGGCTGTGTTCTGCCTGGCTCACCAGCGGTCAGAGTTTAAGGTTATCTCTCTTGTTCCCTGAACATTGCTGTTATCCTGTTCTTTTTCCAAGGTGCCCAGATTTCATATTGTTCAAACACACATGCTCTACAAACAATTTGTGCAGTTAACGCAATCATCACAGGGTCCTGAGGTGACATACATCCTCCTCACCTTACAAAATGATGGGATTAAGAGATTAAAGTAAAGACAGGTGTAGGAAATCACAAGGTTATTGATTGGGGAAGTGATAAGTGTCCATGAAATCTTCACAATTTATGTTTAGAGATTTGCAGTAAAGACAGGCATAAGAAATTATAAAAGTGTTAATCTGGGGAACTAATAAATGTCCATGAAATCTTCAGAATCCACGTTCTTCTGCCATGGCTTCAGCCGGTCCCTCCATTCAGGGTCCCTGACTTCCCACAACAATTACCCCCAAGCCTTGTGTCTGCTGTCTCCCATCAAGATCTTTCAGGTTTCTCTGTGGGAAGAGCCTCATCTACACAGGGCGGTGGACTAACTTACGGGCCTGCAATATAATAATACTGTATGCTATGCTCCACTAACCACAGTGCTAATGTAGTGAGAATTATTAACAGGAGGGATATTTTCTCTAAAGGATACTGGGGGGCATTAGGTGATGAGAGGTAAGAAAAAATAATCAAGGTAGGGAAATATTGGAGACGGACATTAATTCTTTGAAATTTTGCCAAGGACAAGCCCTTATGTGCACGTCAGATTTCAATTTAGACTGAAATAATGTTGTCTTTTGCTTTTAGTCTTGCTGGAATTCTTTGCATATTTTCAACCTGATTGAATGAACTCCACTTTGCTTGGCAGAGCGGCTTGTTGACAAAAGCAGGCAATTCTTACATTACACAGGTTTTCACATTGTAAAAGGAGAGAAAACTGGGAGAATTAAATCCATATTTCTTTGGATCATAAGTGATGGTGAGGAAAGCAACAGGTCAATGGTACTATTATTGTTCCATTAAGCAGAGGAGAAAATAAAGAGGGCAGAAGTTACTTGATCACAGTCACATGGCCTAGAATGAATAACTACCATTAGCTCTACCATACGCATCTCTGTTTGTGAAAACCAAATGACCAAAGTATTAGAGAATTCACCATGAATGGGAATTCAGTCGACAGAACCTCAAGCTGTGTATTCTCCCCGACTCTTGTCTCCCCAGGTACTGTGGCTCCTACATGGATCATCAGACAATTTTTCGAGTGCCCAGCCCTCTGGTTCACATTCAGCTCCAGTGCAGTTCAAGGCTTTCAGACAAGCCACTTTTGGCAGAATATGGCAGTTACAACATCAGTCAACGTAAGCCTAGGATCACCTCCTTAGGAAAACTTAATACTTACATAGAGGATAACATTTTATAATTCCAAACCGTGAGAATTTAAGAAATGAATACTGCTTTATTTCTGCTATTTCCTTTTACATACTTATTTCTATAATAAATAATAATTATAAAATACAAATAAATATAACAAATATATAAGATTACATATTTATTACTACTATACTTTGAATTATTAAAGAAATAATATAACTTTTTAATATTACTGATTTATAGTTGAAAAATAATTTCTTACACTATTCCTTAAAGACAAGACATGTATTGGTTTGTAGTTCTTGCTAGCCATCATTCTCTGTAAATATGATGTTTACACCAACATGTAGTGGATCCAAAGCCAACACTTGTCACTCACTTTGGCCTGTGTTTGCACAGGAAGAGCTGTTTGGTAGAGGGAGTTCAAATATCAGCCCTCAGAATATTGAGTTTGAAATTCATACTGAAAACTACTGGAAGAGCGGCCAGGAAGTGCTCATCAGAAAAGGCAATGTGTGAGGGAAGTCATTAGAACTACAGAGAGTGGGTAATGACATGCTCAGGAAATCTTTGACCCATCTTAAGAGGGAAAAAGTAAAGATTGCCCACTGAAGAGTCCACAGGGATATGACTTGAGAGAACATTTCTTTAGACCATGTCCTTCTTTGCCAATCCCTAATAGATCTTCTTCTAGATTAAGAATATTACATCCTGAATTACAGAGTATTACAGTTTCCAGCAGAGTCACAGGTAGATAAAGCAAGCTGTCTTATTTTTAATTGTTTTTTTAAACCATAACTATTTTCCAGCTTCTCATCCATTCCATCATGTGCCATTGAAATAGTGTTTCCCTCGACCATACACTTTCCCCCATTCTTTTGCAAAAGGGGAGGAAGGATTCATTATTTCTCTAATGTTTACCTACGAACTCAGGATGAATGATTCAAGATCGGGAATGAATCTTGAATCAGGGAATGGATCATTAATCAGAAGCCTGGTTGAAGAGGAAAGACTAGTGGACAGGGAGGTAAGGGGCAGGAGTCTGGGTTCGAGGCCAGTAAGTAATCTCTCTAGGTCCAACGTGATAAGAGCAGTGGTTACTAATATGTTTTGGAGCACAGCTCACTTGAAAATGTAATTTAAGACATACAGGATAACTCATCTGATCACAGAAGATTCAGGGACACCAGAAGTCAATTTAAGATTCTCTAGTGCTGTCTAAAGACTCCACATTAGGAATGCTGGGCTCCCTTAGGTATGTTCCAACTTTCACATTCTTCAGGTATATGACAAAGTCACCCAGCTGAGACTAGACTATGGAGATAGTAGAAGTTTGCTTGTGCATATGACCTGAATGCAGTGCTCACAGAGAGCTCCAGGTGGATACTGCTTTCTTCTTTGCTCTTCTGTGTTCCGCTTTTTTGTCTTTCAATGACTGGCAGCCTTCATTTGATGAAGACACTATGTAATTATTACTGCTACCCTGCCAACTCCCTAACCACTTCACACTTTAAATTTGCTAATGTGGTCTAGTGATTTCAGGGATCTATCCAAGATTTTCTATTTTTTGATTTTTTGTTGCCCATAGCCTGCCCTGTTGGATCTTTTAGATGCTCCTCCGGTTTATGTGTCCCTCAGGCCCAGCGTTGTGATGGAGTAAATGACTGCTTTGATGAAAGTGATGAACTGTTTTGCGGTGGGTATTCAAGATTTTAATATGACTTTCTTATGAATAAGTAACTTCTCAGGACCATGATTGCTGCTGATATATATCCTTAGTATTTGTAGTTATTATCTATTACTGCATAACCAACTACCCCAAAACCCAGTGACTTAAACAATCATTTATTCTTGATCATGCATCTGTGGATTTTCTGGGATCTGACTAATCTAGGCTGGGCTCATATGGGTGGCTCTGCTTCAAGCATTGGGTCCACCTGAGCTTGGTTCTTCCAATATTGGAATCAGCTCTACTTTTGATGGCTCTTTTCCTCATTGAGCCAGTGGGCTAGTCATGGCAGTGGCAAAAGGAAAAGAGGGGAGAGCAGCAGCACATGGTTTCTCATAAGGCCTGGGCTTGGAACTGGCACACCATCATTTGTGTTACATTCTATTGTTCAAATCAAGTCACATACTTGAGAACAAAGTCAGGGGCAGGGAAATTCACTCTGTACACCTTGGGGCTATGGTAACACTGGGGTGCATAATACTACCACGGGGAGTAAAGATCTGTGGCTAATAATTTAATTTACCACAATCTTAAACACCGAAATCCTGTTTGAAGGCACAGATTCTCCATCTAGAGAGAAGCTCAGAATTTGCAGAGAAGTGCTCTTTCAGCGTGCTCCTTTATGAAGCCCAGATCCCATATGTTGTTTGTAAATAAAAGAGAACGGGTTTTGTGTGTGTGTTTTCTTTTCTTTTTTCTTTGAGACCAGGTCTTGCTTTGTCACTCAGGTTAGAGTGCAGTGGCACAATCACAGCTCACTGCAGTCTTGTCTTCCTGGACTCAAGCGATCCTCCCATGTCAGCCTCCTGAGTAGCTGGGACTACAGGTGTGCACCACCATGTATCACTAATTTTTAAAAGATTTTTATTAAAGACAATGTCTTTAATAAAACTGCCCAGGCTGCCCAGGCTGGTGTCAAACTCCTGGCCTCAAGCATTCTGACCACCTTGGCCTCCCAAAGTGTTGAGATTACAGGCACGAGCCACTGCAGCCAGCCCCATAAAAGAAAAAGTTTTGTTGTTATTTTTCTAACCTGTACAATTTGTATTGACATCACATTGGTGAAGACTAAGGTGTGGGGTAACTGGATATTCTTATTTTGGGTGGAGAATCTCTGTCTTAATTTTTCATGACTATTTGTACCTCATTCTTGAATCTATCTCTAGTTTCAGGGAGCAATATGGGAAGGACAATTCACTGGACTATGTGACACCATTGGCAGCATTTTGTCCTGAAGGTCCAGAGTGTTTAAATCAAATACAGTTACAATGATGATGCTATTTAATCTTTTGTGTATCCTTGGAAAAATATAGTTAATATGCTATATCTAACAGTGAAAATTATATTAATAAAAAATAACCTGTGACTATATACTTTATTTATTTATATTTTAGAGACAAGGTATTGCTCTGCCATCCAGGCTGGAGAGCAGTGGTGTGATCATAGCTCACTGCAGCGTCGAACTCCTGGGCTCAAGGGATCCTCCCTCCTCAGCCTCCTGAGTAGCTGGGAATACAGGCGCACACCACCAATGCCACTAACTCTTTTTTGTTTTTCATACAGATGAGGTCTCACTGTGTTGCCCAAGCCAGTCTAAAACTCCTGACCTCAAGCCGTCCTCCTACCTTGGCTTCCCAAACTGCTGGGATTACAGGCACGAGCCACCATGCCTAGTTTATACCTTATTTTTTTAATTGACAAAACAAAACACAAAATTTGTCTTAGCTTATGGTTCATTGATTATTTAAATCTATAGTATTCTATTTCTTAAGAAAATAAATACTGATCATTATATAATGACTGAGTTTTTTTACATTATTATTTTTTGTGCTGATTCTCCAAACAAAAATGATTATTGTTAATTTATAATAAGGACTGTTTTTTGGTAATCATTATTCCTCATTGTGCCATTTTTTGGAGCTATTCTCTAAGAGTCCATTAGGTATACTGAGGGACCTAATGAACAATTTTAGGGCAGCAATATCCTCCTACCTGCCCTCACAAGAGCTAGCTCTGAAAAAACAGGTGCAGATAGCAAAACTGATAACTATTCACAAAACCAGAAATGTCTAAGGAATCATACTTTCTAAATTTGCTTGCTTGTACTTGTTGCTGGTCTAAAAGCAATTCATGAAACTATTCCAAAGAGGAAAAACATGATAGATTTACATTAATATTTCCTAATTCAGGAAATGGATCTCATCAGACAAAATAATTCCAAAGAGACCACAGGGCCACATAAACCCAAAGTCTGTTATCCTTTAAGATCTCACATTCATGAATTCATTCAACAAACCTTGAGTAAACAACTGCTATTTGTTCGGGGGCTTGAGGTACGGAGATGAAGAAGACAAAATCTCCAATCTCAGGACACTCTTATTTTGCTTCAGAAGGTAGACGAGTTTGATTTAGATCACAGCTTATGATTTCTATCTCCCTTAAAATAAATTACTATGATGCATTTAATTGTAACTAAATAAACAAGCCATCAGAGTTTAACGCATTTATACAAAAGCAAAAATCAGATCTGACAAAACGTGCTAGAAATCACACCAAAGTTTAAACACCTACTTTTCCTCATGGAAGTGTCAGTTTTGAGGAAAATACACTTTTTGTTTTATAGGTCATCCTAATGATTTGTACCTTGAGACTGGCACTGCTGATCATCAGAGAACCCAGCTGGTGTCTCAGGCTCGTGAACTTTCTGTTTTTATTTTTTATTCTAGTGAGCCCTCAACCTGCCTGCAATACCAGCTCCTTCAGGCAGCATGGCCCTCTCATCTGTGATGGCTTCAGGGACTGTGAGAATGGCCGGGATGAGCAAAACTGCACTCAAAGTGAGGGAGAGTCCTCTGTGCCCTGCTGTTCCTCCTATGAAACTCTTCTAAATCAGGACAAAAATACCTCTGATGGGTTAGGGGTTAGGGCAATCAACTTGTCCCAGGTTCTCTGGAACTTCTCCAGTTTTAGCACTGAAAGTCCCTTGTCTTGGGAACCCCTTTAGTCCCAAGGGGACAAATAGGGACAGTTGGTCACTCTAAATGGAGTGGAATGTGTGTATGTGTGTGAGTGTGTGTGTGTGTTCATGTGTGAATACTGGCAGATTCTCCTTTTTTTTTTCAATTTTTAAAAATTTTATTTTAGTGTTGAAAACACTTTTTTTCTTTCTTTTTAAATTATTATACTTTAATTCTAGGGTACATGTGCACAACGTGCAGGTTTGTTACATAGGTATACTTGTGCCATGTTGGTTTGCTGTACCCATCAACTCGTCATTTACATTAGGTATTTCTCCTAATGCTATCCCTCCCCAAGGCCCTTACCCCCTGACAGGCCCTGGTGTGTGATGTTCCCCACCCTGTGTCCAAGTGTTCTCATTGTTCAATTCCCACCTATAAGTGAGAACATGCAGTGTTTGGTTTTCCGTCCTTGTGATAGTTTGCTGAGAATGATGGTTTCCAGCTTCATCCATGTCCCTGCAAAGGACATGAACTCATCCTTTTTTATGGCTGCATAGTATTCTCTGGTGTATATGTGCCACATTTTCTTAATCCAGTCTATCATTGATGGACGTTTGGGTTGGGTCCAAGTCTTTGCTATTGTGAATAGTGCCGCAATAAACATACGTGTGTATGTGTCTTTATAGTGGCATGATTTATAATCCTTTAGGTATATACCCAGTAATGGGATGGCTGGGTCAAATGGTATTTGTAGTTCTAGATCCTTGAGGAATTGCCACACTGTCTTCCACAATGGTTGAAGTAGTTTACACTCCCACCAACAGTGTAAAAGCATTCCTATTTCTCCACATTCTCTCCAGCACCTGTTGTTTCCTGACTTTTTAGTGATCGCCATTCTAACTGATGTGAGATAGTATCTCATTGTGGTTTTGATTTTCATTTCTCTGATGACCAGTGATGATGAGCATTTTTTCTTGTGTCTGTTGGCTGCATAAATGTCTTCTTTTGAGAAGTGTCTGTTCATATCCTTTGCCCACTTTTTGATGGGGTTGCTTGTTTTTCTCTTGTAAATTTGTTTGAGTTCTTTGTAGATTCTGGAGATTAGCCCTTTGTGAAATGGGTAGATTGCAAACATTTTCTCCCATTCTGTAGGTTGCCTGTTCACTCTGATGGTAGTTTCTTTTGCCATGCAGAAGCTCTTTAGTTTAATTGGATCCCATTTGTCTATTTTGGCTTTTGTTGACATTGCTTTTGGTGTTTTAGTCATGAAGTCCTTGCCCATGCCTATGTCCTGAATGGTAATGCCTAGGTTTTCTTCTAGGGACTTTATGGTTTTAGGTCTAACATTTAAATCTTTAATCCATCTGGAATTAATTTTTGTATAAGGTGTAAGGAAGGGATCCACTTTCAGCTTTCTGCATAGCCAGTTTTTCCAGCACCATTTATTAAATAGGGAATCCTTTCTCCATTTCTTGTTTTTGTCAGGTTTGTCAAAGATCAGATGGTTGTACATGTGTGGTGTTATTTCTGAGGTCTCTGTTCTGTTCCATTGCTCTATATATCTGTTTTGGTACCAGCACCATGCTGTTTTGGTTACTGTAGCCTTGTAGTATAATTTGAAATCAGGTAGCGTGATGCCCCCAACTTTGTTCTTTTGGCTTAGGATTGTCTTGGCAATGCAGGCTCTTTTTTGGTTCCATATGAACTTAAAGTAGTGTTTTCCAGTTCTGCGAAGAAAGTCATTGGTAGCTTGATGGAGATGGCATTGAATCTATAAATTAGCTTCGGCAGTATGGCCATTTTCATGATATGGATTCTTCCTATCCATGAGCATGGAATGTTCTTCCATTTGTTTGTGTCCACTTTCATTTTGTTGAGCAGTGGTTTGTAGTTCTCCTTGAAGAAGTCCTTCACATCCCTTGTAAGCTGGATTCCTAGGTATTTTATTCTCTTTGTAGCAATTGTGAATGGGAGTTCTCCCATGATTTGGCTCTCTGTTTGCCTGTTATTGGTGTGTAAGAACGCTTGTGATTTTTGTACATTGATTTTATATCCTGAGACTGCTGAAATTGCTTATCAGCTTAAGGAGATTTTGGGCTGAGATGATGGGGTTTTCTAAATATACAATCATGTCATCTGCAAATAGGGGCAATTTGACTTCCTCTTTTCCTAATCGAATACCCTTTACTTCTTTCTTCTGCCTGATTGCCCTGGCCAGAACTTCCAACACTATGTTGAATAGGAGTGGTGAGAGGGCACATCTTTGTCTTGGGCCAGTTTTCAAAGGGAATGCTTCCAATTTTTGCCCATTCAGTATGATATTGGCTGTGGGTTTGTCATAAATAGCTCTTATTATTTTGAAATACATTCCATCAATACCTAGTTCATTGATAGTTTTTAGCATGAAGGGCTGTTGAATTTTGTCAAAGGCCTTTTCTGCATCTGTTGAGATAATCACGTGGTTTTTGTCATTGGTTCTGTTTACATGATGGATTATGTTTAGTGATTTGTGTATGTTGAACCAGCCTTGTGTCCCAAAGATGAAGCCCACTTGATCATGGTGGATAAGCTTTTTGATGTGCTGCTGGATTTGGTTTGCCAGTGTGTTTTATTGAGGATTTTTGCATCAATGTTCATCTGGGGTATTGGTCTAAAATTCTCTTTTTTTGTTGTGTCTCTGCCAGGCTTTGGTATCAGGATGATGCTGGCCTCATAAAATAAGTTAGGGAGGATTCCCTCTTTTTCTATTGATTGGAATAGTTTCAGAAGGAATGTTACCAGCTCCTCTTTGTGCCTCTGATAGAATTTGGCTGTGAATCTGTCTGGTCCTGGAATTTTTTTGGTTGGTAGGCTATTAAGTATTGCCTCAATTTCAGAGCCTGTTATTGGTCTATTCAGAGATTCAACTTCTTCCTGGTTTAGTCTTGGGAGGGTATATGTGTCCAGGAATTTATCCATTTCTTCTAGATTTTCTAGTTTATTTGCATAGAGGTGTTTATAGTATTCTCTGATGCAGTTTGTATTTCTGTGGGATTGGTGGTGATATCCCCTTTATCATTTTTTATTGAGTCTATTTGATTCTTCTCTCTTTTCTTCTTTATTAATCTTGCTAGCGGTCTATCAATTTTGTTGATCATTTCAAAAAACCAGCTCTCAGATTCATTGATTTTTTTTTGAAGGGTTTTTTGTGTCTCTATCTCTTTCAGTTCTGCTCTGATCTTAGTTATTTCTTGCCTTCTGCTAGCTTTTGAATTTGTTTGCTCTTGCTTCCCTAGTTCTTTTAATTGTGATGTTATGGTGTTGATTTTAGATCTTTCCTGCTTTCTCTTGTGGGTGTTTAGTGCAACAAATTTCCCTCTACACACCGCTTTAAATGTGTCCCAGAGATTCTGGTACATTGCATCTTTGTTCTCATTAGTTTCAAAGAACATCTTTATTTCTGCCTTCATTTCGTTATTTACCCACTAGTCATTCAGGAGCAGGTTATGCAGTTTCCATGAAGTTGTGCAGTTTTGAATGAGTTTTTTAATCCTGAGATTTAATTTGATTGCACTGTGGTCTATGAGAGACAGTTTGTTGTGATTTCTGTTCTTTTACATTTGTTGAGGAGTGCTTTACTTCCAATTATGTGGTCAATTTTAGATAAGTGTGATGTGGTGCTGATAAGAATGTATATTCTGTTGATTTGGGGTAGAGAGTTCTGTAGATGTCTATTAGGTCCACTTGGTGCAGAGCTGAGTTCAAGTCCTGGATATCTTTGTTAACCTTCTGTCTTGTTGATCTGTCTAATATTGACAGTGGGTGTTAAAGTCTCCCATTATTATTGTGTGGGAGTCTAAGTCTCTTTGTAGGTCTCTAAAGACTTGCTTTATGAATCTGGGTGCTCCTGTATTGGGTGCATATATATTTAGGATAGTTAGCTCTTCTTGTTTAATTGATCCCTTTACCATTATGTAATGGCCCTCTTTGTCTCTTTTGATCTTTGTTGGTTTAATGTCTGTTTTATTAGAAACTAGGATTGCAACCTCTGCTTTTTTTTGCTTTTCATTTGCTTGGTAGATCTTCCTCCAACCCTTTATTTTGAGCCTATGTCTGTCTCTGTACATGAGATGGGTCTCCTGAATACAGCACACTGATGGGTCTTGACTCTTTTATTATTATTATTATTATACTTTAAGTTCTAGGGTGCGTGTGCACAACGTGCAGGTTTGTTACATATGTATACATGTGCCATGTTGGTGTGCTGCACCTGTTAACTTGTCATTCTTTATCCAGTTTGCCAGTCTGTGTCTTTTAACTGGGGCATTTAGCCCATTTACATTTAAGGTTAATATTGTTATGTGTGAATTTTATCCTGTCATTATGATGTTAGCTGGTCATTTTGCCCGTTAGTTGATGCAATTTCTTCATAGCATCGATGACCTTTACAATTTGACATGTTTTTGCAGTGGCTGGTACCAGTTGTCCCTTTCCATGTTTAGTGCTTCCTTCAGGAGCTCTTGTAAGGCAGGCCTAGTGGTGACAAAATCTCTCAGCATTTGCTTGTCTGTAAAGGATTTTATTTCTCCTTCACTTATGAAGCTTAGTTTGGCTGGATATGAAATTCTGGGTTGAAAATTCTTTTCTTTAAGAATGTTGAATATTGGCCCCCATTCTTTTCTGGCTTGTAGGGTTTCTGCCGAGAGATCCGCTGTTAGTTTGATGGGCTTCCCTTTGTGGGTAACCTGACCTTTGTCTTTGGCTGCCCTTAACATTTTTTCCTTCATTTCAACCTTGGCAAATCTGACAATTATGTGTCTTGGGGTTGCTCTTTTCAAGGAGTATCTTTGTGGTGTTCTCTGTATTTCCTGAATTTGAATGTTGGCCTGCCATGTAAGGTTGGGGAAGTTCTCATGGATAATATCCTGCAGAGTGTTTTCCAACTTGGTTCCATTCTCCCCATCACTTTCAGGTACACCAATCAAATGTAGATTTGGTCCTTTCACATAGTCGCATATTTCTTGGAGACCTTGTTCATTTCTTTTTACTCTTTCTTCTCTAAACTTCTTTTCTCACTTCATTTCATTAATTTGATCTTCAGTCACTGATACCCTTTCTTCCACTTGATGGAATCAGCTACTGAAGCTTGTGCATGTGTCACGTAGTTCTCGTGCCATAGTTTTCAGCTCCATCAGGTCATTTAAGGTCTTTTCTACACTGTTTATTCTAGTTAGCCATTTGTCTAATCTTTTTTCAAGGTTTTTAGCTTCCTTGTGATGGGTTTGAACATCTCCTTTAGCTCAGCGAAGTTTGTTATTACCTACCTTCTGAAGCCTACTTCTGTCAACTTGTCAAAGTAATTCTCCTCCAGCTTTGTTCCGTTGCTGGTGAGGAGCTGCATTCCTTTGAAGGAGAAGAGGCGCTCTGGTTTTTAGAATTTTCAGCTTTTCTGCTCTGGTTTCTCCCCATCTTTGTGGTTTTATCTACCTTCGGTCTTTGATGTTGGTGACTTACAGATGGGGTTTTGGTGTAGATGTCCCTTTTGTTGATGTTGATGCTGTTCCTTTCTGTTTGTTAGTTTTGCTTCTAACAGTCAGGTCCCTCAGCTGCAGGTCTGTTGGAGTTTGCTAGAGGTCTACTCCAGATGCTGTTTTCCTGGGTATCACCAGTGGAGGCTGCAGAACAGCAAATATTGCAGAGCAGCAAATATTGCTGCCTGATCCTTCCTCTGGAAGCTTCGTCCCAGAGGGGCACCCGCCTATATGAGGTGTCTCTTGGCCCCTACTGGGAGGTGTCTCCCAGTTAGGCTACACAGGGGTCAGGGACCCACTTGAGGAGGCAGTCTGTCTGTTCTTAGAGCTCAAATGCCATGCCAGGAGAAGCACTGCTCTCTTTAGAGCTGTCAGAGTGGAACGTTTAAGTCTTCAGAAGTTGTCTGCTGCCTTTGGTTCAGCTATGCCCTGCCCACAGAGGTGGAGTCTATAGGGGCAGTAGGCCTTGCTGAGCTGCAGTGGGCTCCACCCAGTTTGAGCTTCCTGGCTGCTTTGTTTACCTACTCAAGCCTCAGCAATGGCGGACGCCCCTCCCTCAGCCAGGCTGCCGCCTGGCAGTTGGATCTCAGACTGCTGCGCTAGCAGTGAACAAGGCTCTGTGGACGTGGGACCTGCCAAGCCAGGCATATGTGCCACATTTGCTTAATCCAGTCTATCATTTATGGACATTTGGGTTGGTTCCAAATCTTTGCTATTGTGAATAGTGCTGCAATAGACATACGTGTGCATGTGTCTTTATAGTAGCAAGATTTATAATCCTTTGGGTATATACCCAGTAATGGGATTGCTGGGTCAAATGGTATTTCTAGTTCTAGATCCCTGAGGAATCACCATACCATCTTGCACAATGGTTGAACTAATTTACACTCCCGCCAACAGTGTAAAAGTGTCCCTATTTCTCCATGTCCTCTCCAGCATCTGTTGTTTCCTGACTTTTTTTTTTTTTTTTTTTTGAGACAGAATCTTGCTCTGTTGCCCAGGCTGGAGTGCAGTGGCACAGTCTGGGCTCACTGCAACTTCCACCTCCCGGGTTCAAGCAATTCCCCTGCCTCAGCCTCCCGAGTAGCTGGGATTACTGGTGCACACCACCATGCCCAGCTATTTTTTTTGTATTTTTAGTAGAGATGGGGTTTCACCATGTTGGCCACACTGATCTCGAACTCCTGACCTCAGGCAATCCACCCGCCTCAGCCTCCCAAAGTGCTGGGATTACAGGCAGGAGCCACCTGTAATTACGCGCCTGGCCTTTTCTAGACTTTTTAATGATCACCATTCTAACTGCGGTGAGACGGTATCTCATTGTGGTTTTGATTTGCATTTCTCTGATGACCAGTGATGATGAGCATTTTTTCATGTGTCTGTTGGCTGCATAAATGTCTTCTTTTGAGAAGTGTCTGTTCATATCCTTTGCCCACTTTTTGATGGGGTTGTCTGTTTTTTTCTTGTAAATTTGTTTGAGTTCTTTGTAGATTCTGGAGATTAGCCCTTTGTCAGATGTGTAGATTGCAAAAATTTTCTCCCATTCTGTAGGTTGCCTGTTCACTCTGATGGTAGTTTCTTTTGTAATACTGGCAGTTTCTTATTGCTTACTTGCTTTTAATGATGCTCAGGATTGTAGGATACAGAGGACCTGATGTAGAGGAACTTGCCAAATACTGGAATGGAACACGTTCCACTCTCACCCTTGAAGAAACAAACCTCCAAGGTTGTGAACAAATGTGTTGTAATTCACAAGTCTGTCCATTTTGCCTCCTACTGATATAAAATAACTGAGCATGGCTGTGATTTTTGCTCAAAAGTTTTCTTGGAGAATAAGAGAAGGTAATAGCAAAGAGGCTGCAGCCTAAAGCCACTGATATGTCGCACTTCTTCATGTCTCACCTGCTATGGGAGAAAGAAGAGGTGGTTGGATTGATTCTCAACAAATATGCCTGCCAGCGTTCAAATGGCTTTTCTTAGGTGAAGAAATGGATCACTGTGAGGTTGCTTCTCTTCTCTCTGCCATTTATCCCAGAGCAGCAAATACCAATCCTGTGATTAAACCATTTTTTATGGGGTTTGGAGTTATTCATTCAAATCTCATTCACTCAAGTTTGTTTCTGGCTAAGGAAAGCTGTTTCTTCTTTTGTCCATTGTTAGGTATTCCATGCAACAACAGAACTTTTAAGTGTGGCAATGATATTTGCTTTAGGAAACAAAATGCAAAATGTGATGGGACAGTGGATTGTCCAGATGGAAGTGATGAAGAAGGCTGCAGTAAGTAGAAATTCATTCCTTTGGGTTCCTGTATTCCCTCTTCAGTTTACCTGTTTGTTATATTTTCATTCCCTTCTTGGTGTATTTCCCTTGATCGAGGTTGCCATAGCCAAAACAAGAATAGTAACTATTGACAAACTGAGTCTGAAATTGTTTCTCAGAAATAAAAACTCTGGAATGGATTCTGTCTTCTTGATAACAGCATTAATGAATTAAATTTTTAAAATGAGAACTTTCACTTTTTAATAATTTTAATCAAGGGAGAAGATCTTAAATAAAAACCTTGTGAGAAAATAAATAGAAACTGGAACGCAGTGGATGACCTGTTAATGCCTTATGTTACTAACAATATCAAGTGCTGTTTCTTTAGGCCTGACTCAATAACTAATCTCCCACATGCTCCTATTAGTCATGTGGCTACTACTTGGCCATGTGGCAACATGTAAATTATACATCTTTACCAATACTATTTACACTAGCAAACAATTGCTCTGATAACTAGTTTTCCCTGTAGGTTTTCATTTGTCCAGGTCTTATAAATCTTTTCCCCAATCCTTTCTGTCACATCAGCACAACTTCAAAGAAATTCTCAATTCATTTACATTCCTCTTTACCTGACAATCTAAATCCATAGGCAGCTGTTTGTGTCAGTTCAGCTGTTACAGCAGGTCCCCCTCCTCCTCTCATCTGCGTTGTGGTATAGAGACTGTGTCAGGGCATGCTTCAGGAAGGAGGGAGTGGTTTGTTTGTATTGGTTTCAGACAGACTCACATGTTCTCTGTCCTCTAGATAAGGAGATTTCAAATTGCTACCTAGTGAGTCAGTTCCCAGCCAGCACTAAAACTGGCTTAACTTCTAGTTTTTCTTCCAAGTCTACCTTTAAATCACATGCCCTTTCTCCACCAAAGCCTGCAGCAGGAGTTCCTCCGCCCTTCACCGCATCATCGGAGGCACAGACACCCTGGAGGGGGGTTGGCCGTGGCAGGTCAGCCTCCACTTTGTTGGATCTGCCTACTGTGGTGCCTCAGTCATCTCCAGGGAGTGGCTTCTTTCTGCAGCCCACTGTTTTCATGGAAACAGGTAGGGCCTCACGGTCCTTACTTTCAAGTGGCACTCTGTGGCCATAGACAATATATCTGCCCTCAAATTGTGGGAAGCAGATCCCTGTTGGGGACATTCAATCAATTCAATTGCACTTTCATTTTTTGGATCCCACGTGTGTGACAAACATTTTTTTTTAAGGTATTATTGGTATAAAAAAAGCACAAAGGAAACATCAAGAATGAATAGGCTTTTACTAAGGCTGGGAAAATAAGATAGGGCTTTTAACTCAGAGGGAGCAAACTTAAGAGAATGTGTGGAGAATGTGGAGAAAAATGGGCACTGGAGAGTGACTGGAGAATGGAGGTCCCCAATGGGATTATGATGGGATAGATGCTCTTCCAGCCAAGGGTAAGAGGACATCTTAGAAAATAACCTCACTTAAAATTTAAACTTACTATTGGAATCTACTGAATCTTAGGTTAAAAAAATCATTCACTTCTCATTCTGCATTTTTTTTTTAGTATTTCAATGAAGTTACACAGTTTGGATATTTGTTTCCCTGAAAATTATAGGATTTGTGTTAATTATTAAGATAGCTTCACATCTGTTTGATCATGAGTCTCTAATGCTGTGAAACTGCTCCAAATAATGTATTAACCCTAATATTTCTTTGGGTGTCCATTGACACTCATGAGACATCAGCTAAGCAAATTAGTGACCAAAATTTTGGGGCTTCCTCATTTTTTTCACTCCCACTCTTTACCCCACTGCTATGCTGATGGAGATGGACGCTTCACATGGAGATTACAAGTTCTTCTGTGACTTGTGCAAGGTCATGGAGGTCAAGATTGGGATTCTGGAAGGACTGATGGGAATGGCAGTTGGTGACCCTATGAATGGGCATTGTTGAGCAGTAAGAGTAGTGATCATTAAGGCTTCCAGTAGTTTGCCAGAAGGAATTTCATTAAATTCCTGCTTATAGCACTTTGATTTCTAATCTATCTTGGTATTCATATCATTTGAATTTGGTAGTAGGATTCTCCATCAAATGCCATTGTCAGCATGAATAGGAAGAATGTAACAAATTAATTCTAGTTACCAACATTCTTGACCTGTGTGTGGTTCATGAAATACTAGTGGAAAGAAAATGTCCAGGCATTTGCTTAGGACACTGTTGAGTGAATTTTCTATTACTTGCCACTCCTAATACAGCTTACGTCATTTCTGACTTTTTGAGGGAGACAAGGGAGGCTCACAGTTACGCTTTCTGCCATGGTCCCCGGACAAAGCCAGTGACTATAATAACACCCTGGAAGTCAGGCCCTTCTTTTTCAGCCCTCAACTCTTTAGAGTGCTTGTTTGCAAACTGTATGTGGTTCTTTAAGCTGCTAACTTTATGTTTCATTACTGTTCTATCAGGCTGTCAGATCCCACACCATGGACTGCACACCTCGGGATGTATGTTCAGGGGAATGCCAAGTTTGTCTCCCCGGTGAGAAGAATTGTGGTCCACGAGTACTATAACAGTCAGACTTTTGATTATGATATTGCTTTGCTACAGCTCAGTATTGCCTGGCCTGAGACCCTGAAACAGCTCATTCAGCCAATATGCATTCCTCCCACTGGTCAGAGAGTTCGCAGTGGGGAGAAGTGCTGGGTAACTGGCTGGGGGCGAAGACACGAAGCAGGTGTGTGTATGAATGAATGGTCATGCCCTTCCCCTGCAGAGGATGATAAGGTGTTTATGTAGTGCTTTAGGGTTCACAGAGAGGGTTTGTGTATATGATCTCCTTTGAACCTCCTGACAACTCTGGAAGGTTGGATTGGAGGAGGGTACTGTTATTTCTTTTTAATGATGCTATCCACCTGCTTTAAAAGAAGCAGGGCTCACCTTATAAAGAGGGAGAGGACTGTGTATGAGCAAGGCAGGATTGACTAGATAGTCATGGGCCCTTTTCAAACTCTGAAGGTTATGCTATGTTATTCACTAGAGAAGGAGCAATTCCTCCCTTTTCATTCAAAGAAATGATTCATTTATAAAGGAGAGAAGGACACACATGCACATCCCACTATGTCAACTCATAGGCAACAGTCTGGGAGACTATGTGGGTATGACCTGTGCCTGTGCAATTGGCCAAGGGATGAGAGTAAGGGCTGAACTTCAGACTGCCCTTAGTTTCCAGACCAGAAACTCAGGCCTGGAGGTTATACCTCCAGGATTTGGATTTGGTCCACCCAGAGGAGATACCTTTTTGCTATTTCTCTGACGGGAGAGGACATCTTTTCAATATGCATAAAGATCAGGCTGTATAGTAGGGAAGTCCCTACATCTACCCTGCCAAGGTTTTTCATGGTCCAGGATTCAAGGTGGGATTCTGAATATATAGTGAGGGGAAGAATCCAATGCTTTGTGAATGTATCCCCAAACGCTAGTGCTAATATTTTCCCTTGATCTTTCAATCACCTCACCTTCTTTTGCCATCCTTTTCAAGGGTTTAGGACACGTACAGCATCTGTAATTCCTGAACCTTGCCCTGTAGCCTCGTTTTGACACTCTAAAGTGTGGGCAACTTCTCAAAGGCAGCTTCTCAGTGCTTTCATTTAGTGATTGAAGTAGTAATACCACCAGCTTGGGTCCACTGAAGTCTCAGGGTCCCAAGGAGGGAAGGCAGCTGACTGTGAACACTTGTAACTTTGATAGGTTACTGTGCTCAGTGCTTTGATTACATTATCATATATCACAGGAGAAAAGCATCTGCCCAACCAACTTATCATGAGATGTTTTCTTTATAAGCCTGGGTATGTGTGTGTACACTTATTTTTCTGAATCATCTTAGCCAGGTAGGTTCAAAAGGAAGTGAAACAGCTATTTGCAAACTGTTAGGTTTTTATGGTTCATCAGAGACTCCCATATATCAGTTATGCTGCTCCATTTAAAGAGCTCTCTTGAATAGTAGATATTAGTAATAACTGTTGCTGACTTACCATCCTACGGAAAACAGGAGGGAAATGGTGAGGAATATGGCACAGTTGTTCAAGTAATTGAGTCAGACCTTGGGTCTGAATCTTGTGTTACTTGCTAGTGGTGTGTCACTGGGCAAGCCCTTTAATCTCCTAGCACTCGATTTCTTCATCAGCAAAATGAGGATAATAGTAGAATTTACCTCAAGGGAATTGCCGCTATGAGGGTAAAAGGAGATAATGTGTGTTAACTTTTCAAATGAAGTCCTGAATACATGCGGCCATTACCACTAACATCATTTCTACTTCCAATGTGTTTTGCAGATAATAAAGGCTCCCTCGTTCTGCAGCAAGCGGAGGTAGAGCTCATTGATCAAACGCTCTGTGTTTCCACCTACGGGATCATCACTTCTCGGATGCTCTGTGCAGGCATAATGTCAGGCAAGAGAGATGCCTGCAAAGTAAGTCATTGTACCTTTCCCTTGCCTAACATGTTGTGCTTTCCATAAATGCTTTCTCACTTAATCTACATAACACTGGGAAATAACCAGGGCAGGTATTTCCCTGAATTCACTTGAGCTGCTCAGATATTATTTATCATCCAATTGCCTAAGATCTTGGAGAGGTGTTGAAATAATTTATTCTATAGAACGCAGTTTTCTATAATGTGCTCCATGTATTTTCCTTCAATATTTAGAGGATGAGGTCAGCATTCATCATTCTGCCATAATTTTCTTATAACCAATTTATTTCCTATTTCCTTAGCAGCTGCCATTTAATTTCTAAAATTTGAAGGATTTTATTTACTCATTCCTTTGAAGTATATGCTGGTGGAAAGAGGAGAGGAATGGAGAGGTGACAAAGAATACTCATTTGTAGTTCTCTGGGTAGGCCCCTGGCAGTGGTAAAGTTGGAAGTCACCTTTGGGGTGACATTTCTCGGAGCCTGAGATTCCAATCTATGCAGTTACCTACATGATTGCCAAAGAGTAAATAGATGATTTAGAGCAAACTTGTCCAACCCACGGCCCACAGGCCACATGCAGCCCAGGACAGCTTTGAATGCAGCCCAACACAAATTCACAAACTTTCTGAAAACATCATGAGATTTTTTTTTGCAATTTTTTTTAGCTCATTAGTTATCATTAGTGTTCGTACATTTTATGTGTGGCCTGAGACAATTCTTCTTCCAGTGTGGCTCAGGGAAGCCAAAAGATTGCATACTCCTGATTTAGAGGGTGAGTAGGACAGTGGGAGCTGTTCTTTCATCTTTCCACAAGCTTAGCCATGATGCCACAAAAACTCATCCTATAATAATGACTTCTGTCTTCTGAGCTCCTATTTTGTGGCAAGCACCGTGCTAGGTTCTTTACATAAATTCATTCCAATCATTCTTTTTTCCTCATTTTATAGAAGAGGAAACTGGGCACAGAGAGGGTAAGTAAATTGCCTAAGGTCATACAGCTAGTAAGTGTAAATGTCTGAGCTGGGATTTGAACCCTTGCCTCTCTAATGCTAAGGGTACTCTATTTTGGGTGCTTCCCATAGCTAGTCGGTTACACAGCCCTGTTCCACACAGCCACAAGTGTTTACTTGTTAAACTTAGTAGAGTTGATGTGGTGGCAATTAAAATAAAGAGCCCAGCTTCCCTACTAGTTGGAATTTTCCTAATCAGGTATAAGATCATAATTTGGATACATGGGCAAATTTGTTGCCTCTGAGTAAGTTGCAAGATTATCTACCCTCTAAAATAGGAAAATAAAACCTAGATATTATAATTTAAAGGACTAATACTGTGGAAATTATGTTTATACTTTGAATTGTTTAAGCCTTTGCTTAGAGGAATTGAGATATCAGAAAGGACTCTCAAGTGAGAGTGATTTGTTTGTGATGACTGTGGACCAGCAGTTGTTAGGGTTTTTTCACTGGACCTGGCTAACTAAACAGGTCTCTTCTTCTCCATGGGGCTATGAGCTAACCACTAAAGTTGCATGGCCCAGAGATAGAAGTCAACCTTCCAAGATAACCATGCCTCATAAGGTTGTTGTGAGGATTAAATGTCTCTAAACGATTCTTAGCACATAGCTAGCACTAAATAAATTTTAGCCCTCACTACTACTACTACTACTACCACCACTACTACTACTACTACTATTACCACCACCACCACCACCATCACCACTAGTATTACTGAGGTTTATTCTTTGTTTAGGGCTATGTGAGAGTTGTTTTCTCCAGTAAGAATCTTCCAGTGTTATTCTTAGCCTAAAGAATCATGTTTCGTCTAATGAATGCAGCTGTTTGATTATAGGAAGAATAATTATAAAATGATAGAAGTTTCACATTAGTTTTTCACACTTCCCAAATTACAGAGTGATTAGCCAAGCAAAAACATGTCATTAGAGGACTCTTGAACACAATTCATTAGATACAATAAAGATGAAACTGATGATCATGGGACCAATTTACTTTATACTTACATTTTTTGTGTGTGTAGGGAGATTCGGGTGGACCTTTATCTTGTCGAAGAAAAAGTGATGGAAAATGGATTTTGACTGGCATTGTTAGCTGGGGACATGGAAGTGGACGACCAAACTTTCCTGGTGTTTACACAAGGGTGTCAAACTTTGTTCCCTGGATTCATAAATATGTCCCTTCTCTTTTGTAATTGTACCAGTTGTATTTTTACTGTGATTTATGTTAAAAATAGATACTTTAAAATGATGCAGTAATTGGCTGGGTGCGCTGGCTCACACCTGTAATCCCAGCACGTTGGGAGGCCGAGGCGGGCAGATCACGAGGTCAGGAGGTCAAGACCATCCTGGCTAACATGGTGAAACCCTGTCTCTACTGAAAAAAAAAAAAAAAAAAAATTAGCCGGGCGTGGTGGCAGGTGCCTGTAGTCCCAGCTACTCGGGAGGCTGAGGCAGGAGAATGGCATGAACCCGGGAGGCGGAGCTTGCAGTGAGGCGAGATCAGCCACTGCACTCCAGCCTGGGTGACAGAGTGAGACTCCATCTCAATAAATAAATAAATAAATAAATAAATAAATAAATAAATAAAATGATGCAATAATTACTAATAAAATGAGTCCCTTACATTTTTTTAACTAGAAATGTCAAATTGCATACATTTAATAATAAAATTAGTCCCTTACTTTTTTTCAACTGGAAGTGTCAAATTACATACATTTAATACTTATTGAAAGACAGGTTAATATGTGTTCCATAAAAAGTTTTCCCAAGGAAATAACTATATTCATTCTTAAGTACAAAAGGCTATTGATTCAGAGATGGAAGAAACCTAAAGTAATGTTATGAACCAAGCCTCTAAAATAAAATAAAAAAATAAGGGAGATGTTCAGGCATCCCTATTTTATGTCCCTATTCATGTTCAGATACTTATAAAAATTACAGCAAATTTGACTTATTAAAATAAGAAATTCCAGTAAAAAACATACCTGACCTTCAGCATTTTCAAGAAACTAAATGCACAAAATATCTCCTTTGCAAATGCAAATGAAGCAAAACTCAGTTATCGACAGAATAAGTACCTATATTGTTGCTTTACAAACCAATTTTATCTAAACATATCATAGTGGACCATCTTCAGCCATGGCACATGGTAATGTTGTGTACAGAGAAACCAATCAACCAACCAACAAAACTGACAGCAACCATTACTAAATGGCAGAATAAAGCATCATGGTAATTGAATCGAAAGCATGTATATGAGATTCAAAGAAATTGTTGTAATGCTGGTCAGCAAAAAAAAGGCAAAGAAATTTTTGAATGATTGTTGCAAAAGTGAAATTTTTCAGAAATATTATCATCTGGCTTTTGGTTCTTTTTAAAACCCCAGTGGATGAGACTTTCTTTTACTTTCAGACTCTTATAATACCTTACATAGTTGTAAGCCTATAGCACACTCTCAATGTATCTTAGTTCTTGATTTATTTTATCTTGATTTAGAAGGTTTCATACTTGATCTCAGAATATTCTTTTCATTAACAGAAGCCAGAATTGATAGTACCACCAAATGAGTGAAAACAACAGAAAAAAGAGTGATATTATTTGTTTTCCTGTTATAAAGTCAAAGAAGTAATAAAAATACTAACATCAGGTAGTGTCTATTAATAGAATAATGCACAGAACCTTAGAAAATCTTAATGTAACAGCAAAAGGAGAGAGAGCAAAAGGTGTCATCTCCCAGGCCAGATAAATTTTTCAGTTCATAGAATATACTTTGATTTGTTAAAAGACTGTTCCCTCAGATTAAGGATAAAGCATCTTAATAATACCTCTATGAATGGGCCCCAAAGGTTTCAGTAAACTGGCTATACGATAGTGCAATTCAGAGGGCCAAGTGTACCACTAATTCAAAAGGGAGGACTTTGCTACTGAATCCACTGGATAGAAGAGCGAATTAGGCTGATAGTTCTTATAATCTACATTATTTTGTCTGGATGGCTGTGACCTATATACAAGGTGAGTTGTACTTTTTACTTTATGGTCATTTCTAGGGCATAGAATTGCTCTTCACAAAATACATGAAAACCTTTGCATAAGTCTGTGATCTCGGTTAGGGGATGGAGGAGGGCTGGCATGATCCATCAGATTCATCAGAGGGAGTTTTTGAAAGCACATGTATGTACTACCTCTATAGGCCCTCACTGGTATTAAAGTGAGTACACGATATGCTGTAGCAGTGCTGGGGCAGGGAAAAGGTTGAAAAACAAACATAACTTGCTTGGATATTGCATGTTAAGATGCATTTAGAACCTGAATGATGTGGGAATATCCACTTCATTCTTGCAAAGGTGTGAAGTAAGGCAAGTCCCAAGAATGGTTTTGTTAGCAGAGCAAAATGGCCTTCATAAATTAAGACAGAAGCATTTCACGTGCCATATTATCAGGGAGAACTTGTAGGGACTCATGCCTTCTTTCACAGTGCCTTGAAAATAGCACAGTGAAGCACCACAAGCAACCATTTCTCAATTGTTTTCTACTTGATTAGCTTGAGTGGCTGACCCAGTTGCTGACGTTCGGAGTAGTATTGCTTGCCATCTGACAACACACAGGAACAAACTGTTGCGTATTCCAGAGTCACAGACCTATTTGAAGGGAATGAGATGCCTTTGGTGTATTGGTGATATCACTCTGATGATGTTACTTTGTTTTTCAGTTTATATGATAACCATTTAGAAAATTATTTGCTTCTAAAAAGGATTTAAAAAGAAGAGCAAGTACTATTAAAAAAAAGCAACATCAAAAATCTTATATTGGTCAGCAAATATAAGTATGTTTTAATTTTTTAATGTTACTTAAATTAGACACTTCAAACAAACTAAAGCAATTGAGTCAATAATAATTTTAAATTATATTAAAGAAATCTATTTTTGAAATAATAGTATATTTAAAAAGCCACCCTTATGTAAATGAATTCTGAAGGAATTACAAAAACAAATCTAGGTAGAGTTTGGTTCCTCATTCACAAATTCTTGACTTTCATCAGACTCGTTTAATCTAAACTTGGTTGTACCTCTAGGGAGAAACACCTCTTCCTAACTTATTCTGAATCCTTAGTGTGGAGTGAAACTGGCAGGATGAAGAAAGTCTTCAGGTAGGGTTGGGACTCTCATCTGCATTCTAGGTCAGCTGTCTGGAGATTAAGAAATTTGCAGTTAACAGGAACAGGAACAGGTTGCAAATAAGAATTTAGTTCAGGTAATATGGGAGGTGTCAGCAAGTGTCAGTGATCAGGAAAATAGGACAGCACAGGAAGAAAAACCAATATCAAAAGAAAACATATTGAATCAAGGGTTAGTGCTGGGTGCTAAGGGTCGGGGGAGAGTGGGTATTAGCCACAAAGACACAGTCAGGGAATGTAATGGAGCATTTACTGAGATCCTTTCATTTTTCAGGCACAGGAATAAATTCTTTACCTTAATCTTCCTGACTCTGCTAGGTAGGAATCATTTTATAAGAAAACAAGCAGACATTGAACAGCTTGCCCAAGAACACACAGATAGTGAGAGTCTAAATTTGATCCTAGTTCTGTCTGCCTTCAGAACTTATATTCCTTCCACTGTAACATGAGAACAAGGGTTAGGCATATGGAATTATAGAAATGCATTTAAATCTAATTACAGAGTATATAAACCTTGCTTAACAGTACTCAAAAGGCATTAGAAGATGTGGTTTAGGGTGTGCTTGAGACAGGAACAGTTGCTTTTTGATTCTCTGGGGGAGTGAGGGAGGCTTTAGGTATCTGTGCATGGAGAAATCAGGCATGGAGATAGCTACTATCCATCTGAAGTGAGAAAAAAATCTCACATTTAGGATGAACTTCTGCAATCAAATAAGGGAACTATGAGAAAAGTTTTCTGGACCCTGGGTAAGGATGGGGGTGGGGAGAATCAGAAGTTTGAGAGGTGTCAGTGCTTCCAGTCAGGTCTGCATGTTTTCGTGACTACAGATCCTATCAAGACCTCCCTGCAAATTCCCACACCCTTCAATGGCTCTAGTTCTTTATCAGTCTCCAGTCCCTTTTAGGCCTAGGAGTGTTAACAGCTTCTCGCTATTGCTAGTCCCTGGGTACGTCACCATGCCTTGTTGATTCCCTTAACCCTTGCTCCTTGGTTAAAAAACCTGTTCAAAAATCCCAGCTGAGAATGCAGCCTGATTCTTGCAAGATCCACCTGTTGGAGCAGAAGTCAGTGCAGGTCAGCAGATGAGTCACTGCAGACTCCCCTTAGCAGGCAGATGGATCCAAAGTTCAGGGGATCTGGTAGCAGGCATCAGACTGCTGGAGACAGGATATCTAGGCTGTGTCTCAACATCAGGTACTGAAGATGCCAGACTTTTGGACTCAAGTCAACATATTTGGAGTGGAGCTGATTTATATGCTTCTTGTTAATGGTCTGGTCTTAATGTGTGTGTGTGTGTGTGTGTGTGTGTGTGTGTTGCGTGGAGGGTGAGAAGTAAGGAGCAAGACTATTCGGAACAGAAGCTTGAGAGTTGAGGCCCTTGGCCCAACCCATGCTGTGCTTAACAAACATAATTCCATGCTAACTAAACCGGAAGTTCTGAACTACAGATAGGGTGTCAAGGAGATTGTGTGTGCGCGTGCATTGTGTGTGTGTGTGTGTGTGTGTGTGTGTAAGGCCCCTCCTCTCAAAGATAAATAATAATGGTCATTTATGAGTGCTTGCTGTGTCAATCACTGTTCTGAGTGCTTTGCTTACAACAACCCTTGTAATCCTGGTAACAACTACATTTAGGAGGGTACAAATATTACACCAACTTTCCAGATGAGGACGTTGGCACAGAGAGATGAAGACCGAGGTCTCACAGTGAGGAACCCTCTGGGTGGAGAATAACCCAGGTACACTGGTTTTAGAGTCCGCTGTCCCCAGCACCACACAATACTGTCTCTGTGCCTGACTCTGGACTTGCGAGGAAGTGTGTTGGTGTATATTATTCACCTTCATGCACTCAGAACCTAGCACCATGCTGGCACGAGGCATGGTTATTTGTTGATTGAATGAATGCACTTTTGCTAGGCCGCGAGGACTGTGGCAAACCCCAACAACCAACAGTTCGTAGGGTTAGATCGCAAACTTTTCTCCGTTGGACGGTGCTGCCGGGCCCACCCTTTCCTTACCACAGCCCGGCACCCAGGCAGCCCCTAAACGGAGATGGTCTGCATCTGCAGGCGCGGGGAAAGGCATAGCAGGCAGCGCCCTGAACAAATCAGAAAAACAGCCTTCGGCTCTGGAGCCCACTCCGGCACGGCCTCAGGTGCTCTACCCCGCGGGATCCAGGGAGTGGCCGCCACTCACAGTTGCCCCTCCTGTCCGCTCCGGTCCGCTCCCGCCGCCCGAGGTCCGCGACGCCCCGCCCAGTGGGTGGAGTGTGAGGCGGGGAGGTCGCTCGACTCGCCGGCGCTGTGGCCTCCCGCGGAGCCGCTCAGACTTTCCCTGCCGGCACATGGACCTGGCCCAACCCTCACAGCCAGTAGACGAGCTGGAGCTCTCGGTGCTCGAGCGGCAGCCAGAAGAGAACACGCCTCTCAATGGTGCCGACAAGGTCTTCCCTTCTTTGGACGAGGAGGTCCCCCCGGCCGAGGTAAGGTCCCCTTGGCGCTGGCCCTAACTTGCCGGCGGCGGGACAGTAGTAGGACCCGGGCCTGGCACCCGCGAGTTTCGGGTTTCCAGTCAGGCGGGGCGTCGACGGCGCCGAGCGAGGGTGGGGCGCGCTCGAGTGCTCTGAATGGAGCCGAGTCACCGCGACACCTTTCGGCCCGAGCAGTCCCCTCCCCAGCCCCTGGGGTCCTCCAACCCCTCTGACCCCCGAGGCGCTTTAGGAATCCTAGTGGTGAGGTGTGGCCGCTGCTGTCTTCAGAGAGGTATTCCGGAGATGGAAGTAGTTTTTTAAAGTTATGTAACTTTTAATTCAGTTTTTCTTTTTTCCAGTAGGGAGAATGAGAATGACAAATTGAGTATCCTCCTTCTCTCAGAATCTCTTCTGTCCTCCTCTTACCTTCACTGCCTTGCCACTTCTCTCCCTCCCCTCCACCCACCTCGCCGCAGCCCCCAGCCTTCTTCCATGCCTACCATCCGCCAAGCACTTTCTGCCTTCTCCCAGCCTGGCCATTGGATTCTGCCGGAAGAGAGATAGGGGAGAGCACAGAGGAGAGAAAGCGGTCAGAAGGGGAGAAGGGGTAGGGCTGGCGTAGAGATGGGGCGGGCGGGTTAGGGGGTCGGCGCGGGGGAGGTGAACTTGCCCTGCTCAATTGAAAGAAAATAATTTCAAAGTTCTTGTCTCGAAGGTTGAGACTTCGCCCACCTTGCTTTTACCTCCTCTCAATCCCTAAGGAAGTCCCTGGCTATTTTTAGGCCAAGCTCTTTTCTGATTCATCCCTAGCAATGATGGGAACATTATTCACTCTCATCAAAGACTTGTAAAACATCAGAGCTTTGACTTCCCAGCCATCCACCTTCTGATTAACTCCTAAGATTGGCTTGAGGTTTTCTGGGTGCACAGAACTCCCCATATAGAGCCCCGACCTGATCTTTCTAGGCCCCACTCCTCCACCCCCAACTTTTTGGCTGCCCAGCTGTTGATTTTAGGGATAAGCAGGAAATTCAAAAGTTGAAAGCATTGCTTTTGTTCTACATTGATTCCTGGAACTATTGCAAAGTCTGCTTTTATAGGTACTCTGGAGAGTAATTTGGAAACTTATTTCTGAATAAAATATGAATGCCACAGAAGAATGAAGGTTGAACAAAGATAGTCTGGTCACCAGTGCAAGTGGCCACAACTGTGAACTGGCTGTATGAGTCCTCCAGGGCGGTGTCCAGGAATGGGAGTTGGAAATACTTGCCTCAGATTAGATGGACCCGCACACCCTAAAGACTCCCTAGCTTGGGGCTGAATCCAGAAATCTGGTGACAGTTTTGCCACTAAGAAGTGTGTCCCAGAGGCAAGCCTGTCCCGTAGTGGTAATGTGTGCCTACTCGGCCTTCTGTGAGGCCTGGGAATGCCTTGTTGAAAACAGGTGGTGGGTAGAACAAGCCAAATCCATGCAGGGTTATCAGTATTCTGTAATTGTTTAGCACCTACCCTGTAGCAATGGTTCTTTAATGTTCTCATGACGTCCTTGTTAGTAAGGTATATACAGATACCCTGGACTTCTTTGTAAGTTAGCTTTGTAGGTCACCCAATAGGAGAGCTGTCCTCAGTAACAGGATGGAGTGAAGGTGAAGGGCTACAGGAGTACTTGGAGTGTGTTCAAGGAATGCCTTGAACTAATCTCATCTAATGTGTTAATCATTCTCTTTTGTCCTATAAAATAAAGTGAAGTGTATTTCAGTTAGAAAAGTCAATAAATATAGGCTCATTAAAAAGATTCAGACACTTAAGAATTTTGTGTGTTGGTCTCTTTGAACTGTATATTAAGATTTCTAATTTTGAAATGTAGCTGAAGTCCATGTATTTTCATTAACCCTGTTTAGTAACTGTCTTGTGACAAATACTTTTGATGCATAAATGCATTTAATTATCACAACTAACTTAAGAGGAAGGCGTCAGTATTCTGGTTTGTCAGATTGAAGATGCTGAGTGAAGAAATTGAGGGAGGCTCAGAGGAGTTACCAAAATCCTCAAGTTCACTCAGTGGTGCCTCTGAAGCTTGAACGTATGTTTTTTAGATCTCAAACCTTTGCTGTTTCTGTTGATTTATTCTATCTATCTATCTATCTATCTATTATCTATCAGCATTTAATTTAAATATGTTATATATAATTTATACTCATTTGTTTATAGTTGCCTAAGTTATTAATTATTACTAATTTCTATAAGTTAGGTAATTTATAATTAGGCAATTTAAGTGAGCTAGGAGTTGAGTATCACATCTGGAATGATGGAGTTGCAGGTGGATGGGTGAGGAATCGGGAACAGTTCTGGAATGATTGGGAAGAAGACATCTCTCTTCTTCCTTGGAAGAGCTGTGGTGGGAGAGTGAACAAAAGCAGTAGAAGGAACTTCTTTGCCTTTCTTGATGTGTGCTTGGCACTTGAGACAAAGGAATAGAAGCCACTGAACTCCACTTTGCCTGCTGTCACTGTAAACATGGCAATATGGCTGGGTCAAAAGTGAAAAATAAATTATGGGTAATAGAGTGAGGCTGGTTTTCTTTTATGGCTTATTACAGGGGCTCAGTTTTCAAATAGAAATCCCAGAGGCATTTTAAGAGATGGCAACATCATTTGAATAATAACAAACCAGTAAATTGATAGTTTTGAGGCAGGTAAGATTTATTTCAGGCCGGGTACAGCGGCTCACGCCTGTAATCCCAGCACTTTGGGAGGCCAAGGCAGGTGGATCATCTGAGGTTGGGAGTTCGAGACCAGCCTGACCAACATGGAGAAACCCCGTCTCTACTAAAAAAAATACAAAATTAGCCGGGTGTGGTGGCGCATGCCTGTAATCCTAGCTACTCAGGAAGGCTGAGGCAGGAGACTCGCTTGAACCTGGGAGGCGGAGGTCGTGGTGAGCCCAGATCACGCCACTGCACTCCAGCCTGGGCAACAAGAGTGAAACTTCGTCTCAAAAAAAAAAAAAAAAAAAAAGATTTATTTCAATGAGCTAGCTAAAAATTAGCTCCATTGCCACGTGTTGTTCAGTTTAGGACAAGAATCAACTGGCTCTTTTGTGCTTGGATCAAACAAGTGGATTAAATCCCACAATGAGTATTATGAAGAGTTTCCTACCTGTAAGAAAATTTTCCCTGATCTATATAATATCTGCTTCTGATTGAGTCAAAAAGAAGAAAGGCTTTTTAGATGTAAGAGATAGGTATCCTGCCACTGTTGCAGGATCCTGTGTCATGTATTTAGACCTTTATCTAAAGACGGATGTAAATATCCGGGGAATGTTCATAGGAAAGCCCTGAAAATTCTTGAGCCATATAATATGATCACAGAATATAAGATGCAGATTGCAAATGTAAATTATTAAGCCATGTAAAACAATAATAGAATGTAAGATGCAGTTGCAAATATCTCCGGAAGGCACCTTGCAGAAGAATCTATGTGTGGCCTCTCCTCACGATCTAGAATTTGGGCAAGAGAGATGAAGCCAGTGAAGAAGGCAGTGTGTCTTCATGATCCAGTTTTGAGGCAAGACTCAGATGGCACAGGTAGCACACACCTACTGTGTCACAGGCTCTTCACCCTCAGGGCACATTGGAATCTCCGGGCGTTACTTCTAAAAGATACTAATTCCTCAGCTGATTCTAATGGGCAGACAGCTGAGAAGCACTGTACAGTCTATTGTTTGGCTGGGAGTGTCTGACAGTTTCATGTGCTTTTTTTTTTTTTTTTTTTTTCATTTGAGAGAGTCTCACTCCTGCCACCCAGGCTGGAGTGCAGTAGTATGCTCATAGCTCACTGCAGCCTTGACCTCTTGGGCTCAAGCGATCCTCCCACCTCAGACTCCTCAGTATCTGGGACCACAGGTGTAAACCGTCATGTCTGGCTATTTTTTTATTTTTATTTTTTGTTGTGACAGACCATTTTATAATGACATAAAGTCTGTGAATATTAATCATGTAAGGGATAGCGCTCAGCGGTCTTCCTCTTAGAGCTGAGGACAGGTCAGTGAGGGCACTAGGCTACAGGAAGAGGCATTTCCTATAGATGACGGCTGTAAAATTTTAAGCTGAGTTCCTCCAGGAAGTCATAGAGTAATTAGTGGTTTTTTTCAACACACCAGAGTCCTAATTTGTGATCTCTAAGGGACAGCATAAATAAAGGCATGAGAGGCCAAGGAGGTGCATTGACACTCATTCTATGGCTCATTTGAAACTAGATATTTCCTTTTGTGCTAATCTTTATGGGTCCCAGCTGCCTTTTATGAGGGCTGAAAATAGCACCAGGGCTTTGGCCTCAGGAGCTCTGTAAATGGGGAGATGTTTCTGTCCCCTGAGAAACTGAAGATTCTTTGTACTGGGATGTCTTTTTCCCGTGTGGCTTCCCCTGGCTTTGAAGCAGTTCTGCAGGTTTTGAGTGGGGATGAGAGGTGACCCTATCCCTGGATTCCAGAAATGCACTTAACTCAAGAGGGATTTCCTCTGTCAAGATATCCCTAGGGCCTTTAAGTGCTCCCCTCGCACCTCTGACAGGCTAGGCCTCAGAGTCAGTGTAAAGTGCACTTGGGAAATCCAACATTTGTCCCCTCATCTAGATTTTCTCAAAGTCCATTCTTAAAATTTCTGGGAGGCCTCTACAACTAAACAGCCCACAATCGTTAAATGTATATTACTTGTAGAAGGCACAGGTGTGGAATATAAGAACAGGGCAGTTTAAGAGCACCCCTCCTCTATGTGGTTTCAGTTTACGCAGGAAGATAAGGCCAGGCTCTGTTTGTTTTTGAACCTGAAACCGGACAGGGCAGTCAGTGGCAACAGCAGATGGGCTATGTGGACAGCTCAGGTATTGGAAGATCTCACTAAGGGCAGGTGGGGAGGGAGGCTTCCACCAAAGGGGAGATTTGACCTAACTCCCGAAAGGTGGGAGGCCTCAGACCAGAGGTCTGCCATGGCCTCCTCCCACCTCCCTTACAATCTGGTCCACTAGGTGCAGGTGGGGCCTAGGTATGTGTCAGTTAAAATCCTTACCCAGTGATTCTGATGTGCAGCCAGGCTTGGGCACCTCTAATTGAGAAGGTTGGAAATACAGTCCAAGTGTGGACTGACCGATTCGTTTTCTGATGGCCAGCACCAAAATAAGAATGGCAGAGAAGGCCAGTCGCGGTGGCTCATGCCTGTAATCCCAGCACTTTGGGAGGTTGAGGCGGGAGGATCACGAGGTCAGGAGATCGAGACCATCCTGGCTAACACAGTGAAACCCCGTCTCTACTAAATATACAAAAAATTAGCCGGGCGTGGTGGCGGGCGCCTGTAGTCCCAGCTACTCGGGAGGCTGAGGCAGGAGAATGGCGTGAACCCGGGAGGCGGAGCTTGCAGTGAGCGGAGATCGTGCTGCTGCACTCCAGCCTGGGCGACAGAGCGAGACTCCATCTCAAGAAAAAAAGAAAAAAAAAAAAAAGAATGGGAGAGAAAGCAGGCCAGGTGGCCAGGTGTCGGTCAGGAGCGAGTCTCCTCGAGTGCCGGCTGCTGCTTTGTGGGATGGTGAACGCTGAGGAATGACTGAGGCGCAGTTGCACCCTTTGGCCGAACTCCCAATAATTGTTTAGCAGATGCTTTGTGTCCATTATCTCTAGTTTTTGCAACAGTCCTGTGAGCTAATTTACTATTTATATATTTTAAAGCTGAGGACTTTGGGGCCTATGAGTTTCAGTAGCTTGCTTAAAGCCACCTTGCCTTTAAGTGGTATATCTTGGTTTGGAATCCAAGTGTGTTAGATACAGACACATTTTTTCCCCATTGTATTCTGTTGTTTCCCATGGTCTCCATGAAAGAATTATCTAATGGTGGAGTGGGAAGTAGGAGAAGAGTCATGGGACCATATAGGGTAAGGTGGGGGCCCCTCTGTGACACCCTCATAAACCGGAGCTCTGCACAGTGATGTGGACAAAAGGGAAAGTTGGAGAGCTTTGTGGAGACACACAGCAGGGATTGGTTCTGGCTCATCTCTCTGAATTGCGTCTTTGAAATGGACTAGTGCACACCCTGAAGGGCTGTTAGGGTTAAGTGAAATGACGCTGGTGCTCAATAAACCATAGCAGTTGTACTTGTTTTCATTGACCCCTCCTCTGCCTCACTCCAGCCTTCTCACTCCAGCTTTGCAGCTTATTTCCTGTTGTCTCTTGCAGCTGTCCTTTCATTTCCCTTCCCAACCCTTTTTTACATAGAACCTAGGCCACAGCAGTAGCCTTGTAGCTTTTTCTTGGTGTTTCCACTCTAAACCACACATGATTTTCCCTTAATTTTCAACTCGGCTCTGGTGTTTCAAAACCTTCAAGTTTCCAGTGCACACCCAATTAAGTCCAATCTATTCTGGGACAGCTATCAACACCCTCTGAGTGTGCTCCCAGCCTTTCACTCTCTCTAATCTTAACTTTCATTATTTGCCTCTGAAACCCACATTCCAGTCGGCAGGCTAGTCTGCTGGCCGGTTCCATTACGAATCCACACTTTGGATGCTCTTTCCTGGGTTTGGAATGCCTTCAAAAATCCATCTTTCAAAATCCTGCCTATCCTCCCCACTTCAGAGCCCCCAGAGGATTTTCTTGCTAACTTCTTGATGAGGTTCTGTTCTGCCTCTGATCTCTCTTTTTGAAAACTT
This sequence comes from Homo sapiens, assembly GCF_000001405.40. Lineage (NCBI taxonomy): Eukaryota > Metazoa > Chordata > Mammalia > Primates > Hominidae > Homo > Homo sapiens. Next base: position 112,093,229 of record NC_000003.12, read on the forward strand.
GATTCAGTAGAGTGTTGCCCTAAGGTCAGGGTCTTGCTGCCTTCATTTCTGTGTCTCTGGCACATCCTAGGTATTCAGAACTGTCTGTTGCAACACAATGACTGCCTCACAATCTCCCTCTGCCTTTCTAGGCTAACAAGGAAAGCCCCTGGAGCTCCTGTAATAAGAATGTGGTTGGAAGATGCAAACTGTGGATGATCATCACCTCCATTTTCCTAGGTGTCATTACAGTGATCATCATAGGCTTATGTCTTGCTGCAGGTAAGAGGATTTAGATGTGAATAAATAACACATTTTAAGAACTTACTTAAGGCTTGTGACTTACACTGAAATGGAAGATGTACTCATAGCCATTTCATTATTTATAATGTGAATTTAAGACCGGCTTGGAATATATTGTATGGGTGGGAGATATGCCTGATTCTTGTGTTTTTGTTTTCTGTTGTTGTTGTATTTTGTTGTTTTATAAGCTCCAGAAGAAATATAGAAACCAGTGTTTTACTTTAAACTCTGCTCATTGGATCTTGAAGAGGTTTCTTAATGTTTCAACTTACTTAAACACTGATTTATATTTTATTTATATCCTGATACCTGTTGATTTGAATTCTTTTTCTTTTCATTTGTTTGCTAAAAATAATTATACTTCATCTGGTGTGTCTGATATATTACTATGATGATAAAATAATAAATAATGTATTTGAAAGAGTTTTAAAAAACTTTGAAGAACCATGTGTCCATAAGCTGTCATTATTTTAACTTATTGTATTTATTTATTTTTTTTTTTGAGAGAAAGTCTTACTCTGTCACCCAGGCTAGAGTGCAGTGGCACGACTTTGGCTCGCTGCAACCTCTGCCTCCCAAGTTCAAGGAATTCTCATGCCTCAGCCTCCGAAATAGCTGGAATTATAGGCATGTGCCACCACGCCCAGCTAATTTTTGTATTTTTAGTAGAGACGGGGTTTTGCCATGTTGTCCGGGTTGGTCTTGAACTCCTGACCTCAAGTGATCTGCCTGCCTTGGCCTCCCAAATTGCTGGGATTAGAGGCATGAGCCACCATGCTTGGCCCAATTTTAACTTGTTTTAGAAATGACTGTTTATTTTATTAGTGTTGTATGTGTGTATAAAACAAAAAATGTATAGAATGCTAACTATATATGACTACATCTATTCCATATATTATTTCATGTTGTTGCTTATTTTGATTGAAAAATGATATATGTTCAGTTACCCATAAAACCCATCTGTAATATTAATATTTGGTCATATTTTCTTCTAGTCTTTTGTTTAGTTGCATTTCTAAAATAATTTGAGATTAGATTTCTTTATAGTCTTGTGGACTACCTTTAGGATTTTGATATTATGTTTAGATCATTTTGCCAAGTCATTAAAAATTATTTGTGAACATTATTATTTTTATGATTTGCATGATACAGTCTTCCACATCATTTAAAGTTCTTTAGGTAGTTACCAATTTTTTAATGATTATTAGTATTCGTTAAAGTTTTTACATCCTCCAGTGGACAATCATTTCAATTCAAAATGGGAAAGAAGAAAATTGTTTTTATTTATATGTGGGGGTGATGGTAGAGAGGGGCTCGACTGAGGCTGGGATACTCCCGAGCATGATCCAGCCTTCATGCGGCATGGGTTGAGTCCAGCTCCCAGTTACAAACCCAGTCATAGAATGAGAAGAAGAAGGGGTAACTCCCCAGTCTCTCCAGAGGGAGTTCTCAGGAATTTTCCTCAGAAACTACATTTTCCATTTACCGCTTGTTTCCCCTTCTCCCAACCCCTTAATTTCCTGTCTTAGAGTTTTGTAATTCCTGAAGGAATAGGAAAACTTTGATGACATCAGCCAACCTCCAGCACATAAGTTTCCTGGCCAGGCACCATATCTACGTATTTACTTAGGGCATTGTTCAGGTGTGTTGGATGACTGTTTGAGGATATAAGCTGGTGTTAAGGTAGGAAAAAGCTAATGAAGTGTGCTGCACCTCCTCCGTCATGCTGAGGACAATAGTTTTGGTGTGAGCATTGCCATACTTCCTATTCATATCAATTCCAACACATGGATGTTGAAAATGAGGTTGAGTAGCACAATCTTGTCCTGACATAACTAGTTGGTGCTATCCTAGAAGTTGATATTTGGATCCTGTTGGCATCTGGGGCCTATCATAAAGGATGATTCAAGAGATCTAGATGGTTTAATATTCAGGATTCTAAAGCGCAAGACCCAGGATCTGTCTTCCATTCTCAAAAAGTCATCTAACCTCTTCACCTCACAAAGAGCAGTCTGCAAGAGGAAGGTATTTCACTTCCTTCCACAGTTTTTCTGGAGATGTAAAAGGTTATGGGATAATATTCAGGGAAGAATTTTTTTAACACTTGTAGTGCAAACTTTATTTTTAATTTAACTGTAAATTTGTGTTCGAACATGTCAATGCTGTAAGAGAGATTTTTTCAAACTACTTTTTAAATCAAGGAAATACTTGTATTTTACTTGGCATCTCAGCTCTTAGGTATTTGATCCTGTGGGGAGAGTCATGTTAGACGTGGGGGTGGGGGGAGATACAGTAGGTTAAAAGGGGTGGGGCAGGGGCTCCCTTCTGTGACAGTCCCAGCCTCACCTAGAGCAGTTCCGTAGGCATTTTTTGGGGATGATCTTCAATAATCAGCCACTTCCTAATTGCCAAGCCCATTAATATGAATCAGATATTTGTGGAACTTTCAAGTACTGCATGGGAAATGTTGTCTGGGGATAAAAACACTGTTGGGAGAGTCAAGGGCTGTGCCTGTGGCTGTCTGGATTTACTGGGTGACTAAGGTTCCTCAGGAACTATATTTGCCATTCATTGCCTGCTTACCCTTCTCTAGACCCCTTAATCTCCTGTCTCAAGGCTCTGTAGTCTTCAGACTGAAGCTTGGAGGCGGAAGTGTTAACTTTTGTTCTTCAGTAGGCAGGTCTTTGCAAAACTACCCAGAAAGGCTGAGGAAGCTGAGAGGCTAAAGAAAAACTGACAAATCCAGTTACTCAGAAAGAAACATTTAACAGGGTTTTAGGAACAGAAGCCATGCGTTGGGCAGCAGTGAGAGGAGATGGTGCATTCCTGCACCATTACCCCAAAGGCCCAGGGCTTAAATACCACAGAAAAAGGGTATGCATGCTTCAGAAGGGATGTGTTTTATAATTGCATAAGGGCAAGATTTATGGCATGTAGATAACGTTAAGGTTGTTTAGACCTGAGGGTGAGATTTATGGTAAGTATGTGCTCTTATACATGCAACAGTAGATGAAATAGAAATCTTAGAGGCATTTCCAGAGCTGGGATTAATCAGAAGTTAATACAGTGAAATAATAACTAAGACGGAATTTCTTTAGCCTTCAAAACTGTGCAGTTGGGGTGGACATAAAATGGGACAGTGAAAGCATCTCAGAACAGAAAGTTGGGGAGGGGACACCTGGGTACCCAGGGCAGGGTGTCCAGTGGGGAGTTATATTTTTTCACTCGAATTAAGAATTGTCAGCATGTGGTGATAATAAAAGCAGACCAACTTGTAGTAGGTTTTATTATTGCTGCTCATTCTCTACAGACTGTGCAGCCTTCATTGCCTGTACATGGGTTGGGCTTGCCCACTACTCTTCCCTTGTATGCCATTGAAGAATGACAAATTCAGGATCATGGCTTAGCTTAAAGCACTGAGTAGGGGCTTTGTATGTGCTAGGGAAAAGAGGCTACCTGTCCACCAGACTCACAATCGACATGGAAATTTTTTTAATGTCCATTTTTATGAGTGGAACCCAGGGAATTCTGTTATTTGAGACTCTTTAGGGAAAAGGTATTAATGGATTCTTTCCTTCCTCATAAGGAATTATAAATTTCTTGATTTGAAAGGTACAGAAACAAAAGCCTTCATCTTTTTCTCAAAGTCATTTTCTTTCTGGATAATTTGGAGGATCAGTTGAGTGTTCTCAAGGGTTCTCCTTTCTTCAATAATTCACCCTAGTCATGGAGAGGTGAGACCCTGAATAACACTTTACTAATGAAGTTTTGGTTGGGGCAAAATATTTTAAATATTTCAAAAACAAAACTGTGACAAGTAGGTGGATGCTTAGAAACATGATTTAAATTGATAACATCCTGGAGACCCTCATGTGATATCCCCCAACATTATACCCCAGATTCTTGCCTGACCCTAATCTCTTAATTTATACACCTTTTATGAGTAGGAACGCTGTGGTACTGAGATATAAGCAACGACTTCCTAAGTGACGTTGTGTTGAGTGGATTTGTTTGCCTTTCAGTTGTGAATAAGAGCTACATTTTATGATGTCATGTGGTTCTGGCAGACTGACAGTTTTCACAGGGTAATGCTCCCTGGTGTAGGGTGACTCATGGGAAAATCCTAGGCAGACAGCATTAACAAGCTATAAGCTGCCAAGGTCCTTTGGGGCAGGAACATGAGAGCAGTGCTAGACCCAGTACCTTGAAATTTCTTTCCATTTTCACCTGTTTATCTTTTCTTCAAATCGCTGATGTTTCTCTACCAAGATGGACACCCTTACCTGTGGTCTCCATATAATATCTTTCAGCTTCCTCTGACCCAGAGATCTTCAGATATCTCCTCCTCTCTCTAAGCATCCTCAGGTTCTTCTTAATTTATGCCTAGTGTTCCATTATTGGAATGCTAATCATGTAGAAGTTATTTATATCTTACTGCTCAAGGTCATCACCAAAGTCTGAATGCAAAAATTCGAAAAGTTCAACCTCAGGTATAAATGGGTTAACTCTTCAAATGCACTAGCATCCTCTCTCCTTCAAAGCAATCTTCCATCAGGATTCTTGCTACTTCATTTAGATATGTGTTTTTCTCTCCCTTCTTTCACTGGCACACTTCCAGAAAGAAAGGTCTGCATTTGAATCTTGCCTCCTGCAGACTCCCAAACCTCTTGTATCTATTGGTTCCCAATTTTTCTTCCCAAGATTACTAGCAATTGTCTGATCGTGGAAGCCAACATTTCTCTGTCTCCTGCCTTATTGTCAGCTTTTAGCTCTGCCAACTTCATTATACTCTTCTGAGTCTATAGAACTCCTGGACTTTAGGTTGATTTTGCTATTTTTGCTCTTGGCATCTGCATTGTGGGTTCATGAGGCTTCTCTTCAGCTTCGTGACTTTTCACATTCTTCATTCTTTTTCTTGGAGAGCTCATTCACTCCCAGGACAGCAGCCATGCCTCCAAGAAGGTGACTCCTAGATCTACATCTGTACAATTTTCCTGAGTTTTGGAAGTACTCTTGGCTAGAGATATTTATCTAAAAATAACTGTCATCATCTCAATTATTATACATGTGAAACTACCATTTGTTTGTATGCTATTTTAGTCTGCTTGGGCTACTATAACAGAATATCATAAACTAGGTAGCTTATACATAACAGAAATTTATTGCTTACAGTTCTGGAGGCTGGGAACTCCAAGATCAAAGTGTCAGCACACATTTGCTGTCTGGTGAGGGCACACTTTTTATTTCGTAGATCATGCCTTCTAGCTATATCTTCTATGGTATAAGGGGAAAGGCAGCTTTCTGGGCCTCTTTTATAAGGGCACTAATACCATTCAAAAGTGCTCTCCCCTCATGATCTAATCACCTCCCAAAGGCCCCACCCTCTAAGACCATCTGATATTGTTTGGATTTGTGTCCCTGCCCAAATCTCATGTTGAATGATAAGAGGGGCCTGGTGGGAGGTGATTGGATCATGGGGGTAGATTTCCCCTTTGCTATTCTCATGATAGTGTGTGAATTCTCATGAGATCTGATGGTTTAAAAGTGTGTGGCTCTTTGTTGTTTGCTCTTTCTCTCTCTCTCCTGCTCCCCCATGGTAAGACATGCTTGTTTCCCCTGAGCCTTCTGCTATAATTGTAAGTTTCCTGAGGGCTCCCATCCTTGCTTCCTGTTAAGCCCGCAGAACTGTAAGACAATTAAACCTCTTTTCTTCATAAATTGCCCAGTCTCAGGTAGTTCTTTATAGCAGTGTGAGAATGGACTAATACACGCTCACATTGGTGGTTAGATTTCAACATATGCATTTTTCGGGGAGACACAAACATTCAGACCATAACATATCCTTCATCCCAATTTGTTCATCTTTTCCCCATTCACTCACCCTTTATATAAGACCAAGTTTATTTTAGTTCTGCTACTATCCAATTGTGTAACTTTAGGCAAACTTGTCAAGCCTCTGGGCCTGTTTTCCCATTTATAAAATGTAAAGGATTTCGGAATCTGAGTCTATAAATATACCTTGACCCTAATACATGCTAATTCATTGACCTGAACAAATTATGCATTTTCTCTAAGCCTCAGTGTCTTCATTTAAAAATGAAAACAACAATATTTAACTCATTGGGTTAATGTGAGGATTATGTGAGGAAAATATATTCATAAGGTGCATAGTAGAATGTTTGCACGTCATACTTAATACAGTAGCTATTATTCTTCCTGTTCCTGGGCTTGATATCTTGGAAACCTTTTTGATTTCTTCTTTCTCATATCTAGATAATGGCCAAATCTTACCAGTTATTCCTTGGTAGTGTCTTGATAGCAACTTTCCCACTTACTACAAGGCACCATGCAGGATACTTTATGCATGTTGGTTTTCATCTTTACTATCACCTACATTGTAGGTGTTGATATTTCTGTTGGAGAAGTAGCTTCAGAGATTTAAGTGACTTGCTCAAGGTCACCTGGCTAACAAATAGCCAACAGGAGTTCAGACTGAGTCTGGCTGCCTTTAAAGCCAGCTCTGTTTCTACTATCCTGGGCTTTCTCATTAATTTTTTCTTTTTGTTCCTTCTGCTGTCAGTCAAATCAGTCTGTTCCAAACTTGTGCCTGTTGGCCTCTCTGCCTCATCTCTCCTCGTTTCATTTATCCCATCCATGACCACCCGATTAACCTCCATTAAACACCAGCCTCTACTTTCTTCGTGGGCGATGTTTAACAACACTCCATTACCCCTTGAAGGTATCTGGCGTTTAAGGGCTCTCTCTCTAGCTTAATTTCTTATATTCTAGCCAAAGAACTGTTTTCATGTTCCTTCAACATACAACACATGTTTTTGTGATTTTTAAAAATATGTTTTTTCTACACGAATAAGTATAGCCCAGATTATCTCATTAGTGACATAAAAACTCTCCTGACTGAGTAAGCCTGTCGTTGTTACTATTGTTATTATTTTGACACACACAACTATTTAGATAGGTCTTGGTACAGATTCATGATTTGAATGATACACATTAAATATGTGTCAGAGCTATTATGGGAGGCCTGTTTTCACACTTGGCATCTCTTCTCAGTGTCCTTGAGTTTAGCAGTTATTTGAACCTTGTATCTATCCTCTTGGCATCCCCTATTGTTTTCTGAGGCATTGATATCTATTATGGAAATCTACATGGTGGGTATAGAGCTCAAAGATACCCATTGAAATATTATTTATAGAAGTAGAAAGCTAAAAATGATAAATGTCATATTTAAGAAAATAGGTGAGCCTATTATGAACATTATGAAGCCATTGAAATAATCTTTGCAAGGAATTTTAAGCACATGGGAAATGGCTTTTGATATGTTTACAACAGAACAATCAGGATAAGTAAGCAATAATGGCAGCAAACAACAAAAAGCAGGATATAAATTACCTATTTGTTAGGACCTTAAATATATAATATCAAGTATAGGAGGAAAAAACCCTCTTGATTGCAAGATTATTCGTATTTTTTTCTTTGCTTTGTTACAATTTCCTGCACTTTGCAAAATTTTTTGCTATGAAGGCGTAACTTTTTTTTTAAATCATACAACATAATGTCATGACTTATAACAATTAAGGACGCAGGGATAATTCCCTACGTTTGGGGGTCCCCAAGATTACTCCTAGATTCAACAATTTGCTAGGAGGATACACAGGACTCAGCATGCAGTCCTACTGATCACTATGATCTATTACAGCAAAAGGATACATTACATCAAATGATTAATTACAGCAAAATCCAGAGAAAACCAGGAGCAAGCTTTCAAGTGTCCTCTCTCAGTGGAGTTGCACCAGACTTGTTTAATTCCTCCAGCGATAGGCTGTGACAACACATGTGAGATCTCATCTACTAGGGAAGCTTATTGGAGATTCAGTACCCGGGGTTTTCACTGGGGCTTGGTCATATACGTAGCCTCTGCCTACTATGCACTAAAAATCCAGACTCCCAGAAGGAAAGGAGATGTTAGCCACATTGTACAAACAGTTGAGGCACAGTGAGCCCCTCTCATCAGGGGAAAATCCAGGTTCTCAGACACCAGCCAGGACCAATTTTGAGGAGGCCTTTCTTATGCTAGCAATCTCAGGCCTGCTATATTAACTCTTTTCTGCACATTCCTTGCTCGTAATGCCTCGTATTTCCAGATGTCATCACAGAATAAGTAACCGGAATACCAGGAATCTTCCTCCTTTTTACCTGTCCTTCCATCTCAAACACTGAATTTATTCCACTATGGTCTTAAAGTCTATGGCAATATAAGCACCTGGTTCCTCCCACCTACGCCTTTCTCAGGGCCAGAGAGGTAGTCTCCTGTGTGGGACCAGCTGGTGAGGCTGTTGTGGAGCCAGGGGAGCATAATTAGCACAGTAGTGCTAGCTTCTGGCGCCTGGCTCCTCACTTTGTGTGATTTTCCTTTAGTTCCAACTACTTAAAAATCAATTAGATGGCAGTCATTAAACACAAGCAGCAATACATAACTAATTGTCCCAGGAATGTAATTCCTGCACACCCTGGGGCTCTGAATATAGTTTAGCTTCCCTTCTGCAAGCAGAGCATGTCAACATACCTGTCCTGTGAGACATAGTCTAGAGTGATGACTTCATGCTCATCCTCTGTCTTCCTGGGGAGACTTCAAGACATGGACTCGCATGCTCATTTTCTAGTCACCTCTGTTGTTTGAGTCGATGATGTCACTTCTTCATGGTGGTCTTTGCCAGCACAGAATTGGGAGGTGAGTCAATGCAGTTACTTGCTCCCACTTCCTGTCCTTCATCACTCATTGTTTTAGGCAAACTCGTCAACCCTCTGGGTCTGTTTTCCCATTTATAAAATGTAAATGATTTCGGAATCTGAGTCTATAAATATACCTTGACCCTAATACATGCTAATTCATTGACCTGAACAATTCCTGCACACCCTGGGGCTCTGAGTGTAGTTTAGCCACCCCCACCGTCTCCCAGTACCTGCCTTGACACCTGTGTACCTAGCTAAGCTGCAGGTTTAGTCTAATAAGGAAGTTCATATTCTTCCTACTCCCTTGGGCCCTTTCCCCAGTCTGTATTCAGTGGAATCTGAGACCCCTTTGCCATAAAACAAACTTTTTATTTTGATAGAGGCAAACCCCTGTATTTTACTCAATTTTGCTGAGTGGAGAAAGCATTTCTGCTTACACTTGCTTGCTGTGTTCAGCCTTTACCCTTGATGCTCATAGTTATGTTTAAGTATGGCAGTCAATGGAATAAATAAGTTTATTATTATATGCAGGTGTTTACTTTTGTTTTTCATTTCCACCTCCCCTACTTTCTTTAGTAACTTATGTTGATGAAGATGAAAATGAAATACTTGAATTATCATCAAACAAAACATTCTTCATCATGCTGAAGATTCCAGAGGAGTGTGTTGCTGAAGAGGAATTGCCTCACCTGCTCACCGAAAGGGTAATTCCATCTTATATATTGCCTAAGGAGTTCTTGACATTAGAATATGAATTTTGCTAGAATAATTGGCATAGAGCTATAGAGTAAGTAGCTTCAATTTTGGATTCTTTGTCTGGATTTTAGCAGAAAATGATGCTTATAAATATATTTTATGACCAAATACCACATGTTCTCACTTACAAGTGGGAGCTAAATGATGAGAACACATGGACACGAAGAGAGGAACAGACACTGGGGCCTACTTAAGGGCGGAGGGTGGGAAGAGGGAGAGGAGCAGGAAAAAAAGTAACTATTGGGTACTAGGCTTAGTACCTGGGTGACAAAATAATCTGTACAACAAACCGCCATGACACGAGTTTACCTATAGAAGAAACATGCACATGTATTCTCCTGAGCCTAAAATAAAACTTTGTTAAAAAAATAAGTAAATATCTTTACTGTAGTGCAAAGCCAGAGGGAAGATTCCTGGCCTCCAGCTGCATAAATGCTGGAGGACACTGTTCTTTTTACTCCCTTAGGTCCTACATTTAATTCAACCTATAGTATTCATTGAGGGTCTGTGATGTGCTAGACAGCATGCCAAGTGCCAGGGCCACATTGTCTGTGCCTTCAGGGGTCTCACAGTCCAAGTACAGGAAGTGACTAAAAAGATCGTTTTATAATAGTGTGGTATGTTCTAGTGTGTTGTACAGTGGCAAAGGAGGGGCATCTGAGCTACCTCAGGTGAAGATGAAGGCATGAAAGGCCTGTTAAGTGAAGTGATGCTCAGGATGAGTTTTGAAATGAGGTAGGAATGTTCTAAATAAAAAAGCATGGGACATTAAAGGATCTGCAAAGTAGTGTACTGTGGCCTTCCCATGCTTTGTGGTGACAGCTGGCAGAGATAAGGCTAAAAAGGAAGGCAGGCGTCAGGTCATGAAGGCTTTCCCACTCTTCAATAAGGCACCAAAATATTTTAATCAGCAGATTGACACAGTTAGATTTTTCCTTTTAGCCTTTCTGTGTTTTGGTGGAGAAAGCCAGGAGGAAGAGATCAGTTAGAAGGTGTTACAATAGTCCAGGTGAGAAATGAGGGAGACTTGAACTAGGGCAGTGTCGGGAAAATAAGGAAGATTTGCGTGAGATTTAAGAGGTATTCTCACTCAATAAGAGTCCATGACTGATTGGGTGGTGGTGAGGAGAGCATGACTCCAAGCTCCAGTTGAGTGATTGGGCAGATGGATGGCGGTGTCAGTCATGGGATGAGAAACCCAGGAGAATGAACCCTCTGTGGAAGATGGAAGCTCTGCAGCCAGACTAGGACCGTTGGGTGGGGCATCCTGATCATCCTGTCAAAGACAAGGTGGTTCACAGCCAGACCCAGAAATTTTGATAAGAAAATCTAGGCAAGAGCAGGCTGCCCTCCATTAAATTCTTCTCTGCCATTGCTAGGTTGAATGGAGTGAGTGCTGTTTATCTAACTTCCATTCGATTTGATTCCTACAAAAGCTCCTGAAGAGGCGATTCCATCCAGGTCACATCAGAATCAGTTTCTGGGTACCCACGCATGAGATTTCATTGCTTCTTTTATCACAGGAGTTGGTATCCTGTGATGATTACTCCAGATTTCTCTTTCTCCTTCTCTTCATTTATATCTTTAAATTTTTTTTAGATTGTTTAAATTTATTTATTTATTTTTATTTTTTATTTCCGTAGGTTTTGGGGGACCAGGTGGTATTTGGTTACATGAATAAGTTCTTTGGTGGTGATTTCTGAGATTTTGGTGCACCCATTACCCGAGCAGTGTACACTGTGCCCAATTTGTAGTCTTTTATCCCTCACCCCCACCACCTTTTCCATCAAGTCCTTGAAGTCTCTTCATTTATGTCTTATCTTCACCTCCTTTTCTCCTTTCCTTCCACCTGCTTCCTGGGGCAAGTTGCTGAGTGAGACGCTTCTTGCTACTTTCCTCTTGGCTGCTTTTTTAATGGAGAGGTTTTTGCATTTGCTGAGCAGAAATAAGATGAGTCAGCATCCACATGTGTCACCTGTTGCATAGTAGACTGTCTATTTCAAAGGTAAATGAATGTTCATTTTTCATTTTACAACCATATATCTTGCACAGAGTCAGATATGAGGAAATTCTGCGGGTATTTTGAGCTCATCACTAGGTAGTGGCAAAAGAACAGGGACTGACATTGATGCCTGTGGTGGGTCCACAGATTTCTTTGAGCCAGTTTCTTCGCTGATAAATGGAAACCAGTGCACTTTCTCTGTGTATCTCAGGTGCAAATGAGATTACATAAAAATAACTTGAAAAACATTTTAAAAGAATTATCTTATTTACAAATGATCAAAGTAAGGCATAGTGAGGTGACAGATTCCTGCCCTTCATTCGTCAACCAAATATGCTCAGGAACAAAAATTAGCACCTAAAGGTATTGCTGTCTTATTGTCAGGTCAATAACTCCTTTCTTCCATTAGGTCAAGTTTCAGAAGTTTCTGGATATAAAAGGTAAATGGAAGTGGGTATTTGTGGGGGAAAAATTATTTTTTTCTCTATACCCACATTCAATGCAGAACACTTCTTTGGCCGTGTGTGTGTGTGTGTGTGTGTGTGTGTGTGTTTTCCACACCAACCAATTATCTGCCACCAGCTGGGTGTCTTGCAATCCAGTTCAATTCTGACATGATCTGCCTGGAGTTAGTGCAGACCCCATAGTTTAAGGGTTCAGCCCCACAAAACTTCCCTCATTTAAGATGCCAGTTACGGGAGGCTGAGGCAGGCGAATGGTGTGAACCCGGCAGGCAGAGCTTGCAGTGAGCCGAGACCGTGCCACTGCACTCCAGCCTGGGCAACAGAGCGAGACTTAGTCTCCAAAAAAAAAAAAAAAAAAAGATGCCAGTTCAGTTACAAGTCTAGGTTGTCACTTGTGCTTCTGACCAACCAGCTGCAAATTGGAGGTCTCCAAAACCCCCACCTTGGGTTTGGTCATTTGCTAGAATGGCTCACAGAGCTCAGGGAAGCATCACATTTATGGGCACACTGTAGAAAATAGAGGATATCAAAAGCCAGATAAAAAGGTACATAGGGCGGACACGTGGGACAGAATGTGGGCATCCATGTCCTTTCAGGTGTGCCACTCTCCCTTGTAAATGTGTTCAGCCACCTGGGAGCTCTCCAGACTCTGTCTTTTAGGGATTTTTATGGAGATTTCCTCACATAGGCATGGTGGATTATTAGCTTGCTTTCCAGCCTCTCTCCCCTCTGGAGGATGGGGGTGGAGGTGGGGCCAAAAGCTTCAGATTTCTTCTTCTTCTTTTTTTTTTCTCCAGACAGTTTTCACTATATTGCCTAGGCTGATATCAAGCTCCTGGCCTCAAGCGATTCTCCCTGCTCAGTCTCCCGAGTAGCTGGGACTACACGCATGCACCATCCCACTCCACCACACTGGCTGAAAGTTCCAAGCTTCTAGCTGCGGCTTGGTCTTTCTGATGATCAGCCCCCATCCAGCAGCCCGCCAAGAGTTGCCTCATCAGAAATAAAGACACTCCTATAACCCAGGAAACTGCAAGAGATTTAGGAGCAGGTCTGTGTCAGGAGCTGGAGTAAAGACCAAATGTTAGAGTAAAAGATGTACCCGGCGCCCCTGTCACTCAGGAAGTAACAAGGGTTTTAGGAATTCTGTGCCAGGAACTGGGGCAGAGACTAAACAGTATACATATTGTTATTATATCACAGTATTGGAACTTTATGCCCTTTCCCTTGACTTTTCTAAACACAGGCCCTGCCATGTGTCACTGCCACAGTGTTTTCCTCTCAGGGTTGGGGCCATTACTCTGCTTAAGCCAGCCTGTGTGACTACCACACCCTGTGCATGGGTTAGGAGTTAATGATGGCACCTGCCTTATTCTGGAAGCTGGTCTCTAATTAGCCACTGCATCAGACTCAGCTAATCAATTCGCTGAGCTCCTTGCTCAGTTTGCACCAAGCCTCATAGACATTGTGTGGGAGACACAAGACTAAGGGTTGAGGAACCACCCTATTTCACTTCTTTGGGCCCAAAGTGGACAGTGTGACTAACAGCTCCCCAAATGTAAATATGTCCTAAGTACAGCAGAGGAGCATGATCAAAAAGAATCTTCGAGTGAACACTAAAAATGATTTAGTCGACCACTCCATATGTTACCTTAAAATTTTAACTTAAAAATTTGCTGAAAGCCTGTTATGTGCAAAACACTGTGCTGGGCCCTAAAGATTAATAAAGGAAAGAAGGGAAGGAGGAAGCAGAGAAGACTGGAAGGAAGGATAAATATCACCTTTGCCATAGGAAGCTCAATCCAAAAGGAAGAGAAAGACATGAGTGCTTGACATTAGTGCTTGAAAAGATTCTCCTCTGCAGCATCCTCATCCTCCTCTCCATCACAGCATCCCCGTGAAAGCTGCTTTCCTAGTTCCCGAGTTTTCTAAATGACTGTCAGCCTATCGGCAACATCCTGTGCATTGGGGCTTAAGAGCTGTACAATGACTCAGTCATTTTCTCCGAAAGTTTTTGTCACTTTAAGCTTCTTTCCTCCTTGATATTCAGGAGACACTTTCCTTCACTGTATATATATCAATTTCTTCTTCACTGGGTAGTGTGGTCAGATGGGAAGAAGCTGGTTTTTAGTGTTCATAACATGTAGGATTGAATTTTGGCTTCTCCTTTTACTAGCACAGTGACCTGGGACAGGTTTTCTTCATCTCATGGAATGGAGTGCTGTTTAATTTTCCAGTAAAAAGGGGAGATATATTAATGCCTGTTTTGCCAGGTTTTTATAAAGATCACAACAGTAGTGACAAGATTAGAAGAGCAGAAATAGCAGGCACTCTCATCTTTTGTTCTCTTTGAGATATGGGTTGTACATGTTGAGTTAAATGGGAGTGTATTGTGGAAGTGCAGCGTCCTTGACATTCCATTTGGAGTTGAGGGGAAACAGGGTAAGCTCCCCATAGGGCACTGCTGTTTTTTGTATGTTCGACTGCTTGTTATTGAATAAAGTAATAGGTCATTAAGCCATAATGGCTGTAGCTGGGGATGGCACATGTTCCTAGTACTACTAGTTTAGGATTCAGATATCTGAAACACAACTACTCAATGCCTGGGAAAAGATACTTGTAACATAATATCAACAACTAGTATCCAGAATATAAAACTAACCACTTCAGATAGATAAGAAAAAGACAGATAAGCCAAGAGAAGGAAAGGAAATGAGTGAGAAATTCAGAGATGAAAAGTCCCAAAGAGTTAATAAACATGAAAAGATGTTCAACCTCACTAGTAAGCGAGGCAGTACAAATTAAAACAATGTGAAGCACTATTTTATACTCCTCGGAGTGGTAAAAATTTAAGTTTGGTAACACTAAGTGCTGGTAAGGATGTGGGAAATGGATATTTATACATTGCTGGGAGGGGTGGGAAAGGGAGAACAATTTTGTGAAGTTGGAGATGCACCTACCCTTAAACCCAACAATTCCTTTTCTTGGCATATGCCCATTGGAAACTCCCGCATGTCCAAGAAGAGATGCATGGAGACATTAAGGATGATTGCTTCAGCATAAGTTGTGATGGGGAAAATTGAGAATAGTGCATGTGATCATCATCAGAGGAATGGATAGGCTGGTATACTCATTTAAAGGAATCTGTGCAGGAGTTAGGTGAATGCCTTTCATTGAGATTTACTTTATGGGTAAATCTTAAATGTAATTTTGAGTGAAAAAAGGCAAGTTTTAGAAGATTATGTAGAATATGGTGCCTTTTATTTGAATAAAAACACAAATTATATTTTGTTATGATTACATAAATAAGTAGTAATTTGTAAAAATATGCAAGGAAAGGATGCATGCCAGCTTCAGAATGATGGTTAGTATTAAGAAAGAGAGAGAGGAGGAACTGAATAGTATGTAGGAGTCACTTTAGCTTTATTTTGTTTCTTAAATTAAAGGGCTGAACCCAATATAGCAAATATGAAGACATGAAAGCTAGGTAGTGGAAACACAGGTGTCATTATTTTTTATGATGCTTGCAATATTTCATGCATAAAATAAAGCCTCCATATTTTTGCAGTTCCCCTCTTTGTCTCTTTGTCCAGGGGATGTGCTAGACCCATGGCTTAGCATGGCTGTTTGTCTTTACACTGAAGCTCTGGAGAAGGGAGAAAGAAGCCCTGGGCTAAGCAATGTCCCAGGTGCTAAGTGGTCTGTGCTGCTGCTGTCCAGCAGCCATTTTGGGGTCTTCTCTTCTCTCCTTCCTATGGTCTGTGAGGCCTGTGTGGGCTCCAGCTGCTGATATTCTCACCACTAAGGCCACAGGGTGCCAGTGCAACTTCTGAGAGAAACTGAGTCATTTGGTCCTTATAAATGGAGTTCTTTTGAAGTAGCATTAACTTGAGTTTTGATTTATGGTGGGCTCAATTCTTGATCCAGAGCTTCCAGATAACGTTGATTCCAGGCTGGAGTGGAATCTCCTCTGCCTTAGAAGCAGTTTTGCTTTGTCAGGTGATGTGTAATATGATCTGTCGGTAATGTGTGTGGTTTAATTTGCTTCTGTTTGTTTAGCTCACAGATGTGTACAGTACATCGCCCTCTCTGGGTCGTTATTTTACTTCAGTTGAAATAGTGGACTTCAGGTAAGAGTGTGGAACATTACATTTTGCTCTCTTTCTCTGGAAAGAGATCCCCCCACCCCACCCTTCGTCATTTACCTAGCAGGGATTCCCAGAGCCTCAGAGCATGAAGGGAACCTGTAATAGAATCACAGAATGTCAGTGCTGGGAAGGTCTTTTACACCAACAGGCTCAACTCCCTTATTTTACAAATGAGAAAAAGGAAGCCCAGATTAATGGTATAATTCAACCAGGGTCACACAGAAGAGGGGAAAAGCCAGTCCCAGGTAAACCATTTCTGTTTAACAATGAATGCTCAAATAAGCTAAGGGTAGAAGTAGAAATAGATCTCAGGTCGTGCTGTGATGCGAGTGATACATGTATAGGCATTTGCTTTTGAGGAGCACAAGTAATACAGGAGTACATTCTCCTTGTTTAGTATTAAAGATGTAAAGAGGGGCCGGGCGTGGTAGCTCACGCCTGTAATCCCAGCACTTTGCGAGGCCAAGGCGGGCAGATCACTTGAGGTCAGGAGTTCAAGACTAGCCTGGCCAACGTGGTGAAACCCTGTCTCAACTAAAAATACAAAAATTAGCCAGGTGTGTTGGTGGGTGCCTCTAATCCCAGCTACTCAGGAGGCTGAGGCAGGAGAATCTCTTGAATTCGGGAGGGGAGGTTGCAGTGAGCCGAGATTGCGCCACTGCACTCCAGCCTGAGTGACAGAGTGAGACTCTGTCAAAAAAATAAAAATAAATAAAAATAAAAAAAAGAAGACATAAAGAGGTATGCACAGGAAAAGTCTCCCTTCTGCCTCCTTTCTTCTCCACTGCCACCACCAATAACTAATGCCATTCCCTTCCATGGAGGTAATAGCTGTCAAGAGTTGAGTGTAATTACTTCTGTTCATGTATCTACCATAGGCACCACAAATACTACACACACATAGGATATACACACCCATATGTATTTTTTATTTTTTAAATTTCCTCCTCATCTTTAATGTTCTTGAGATGTAGGCATCAGGGTGTATGTGTGTAGAGTCCATTTATTATCCTTTTACATCATTGGGACTATTGGAGATGACTTAAAATTTATATCAAAGCTTCATTATCCATTATGCCTGAGATGTCTCTGGAATATGACCATCAAAAGTTGTATTATATTGAGATTCCCCCTTCAAACTATAAGTTCTCCAAACCCTAATATTAGCAGACCTGGGAGGGGAGGCACATAAAGCAGGTGGTAGGTAGCACCATGGTGTGGGGCCAAACAGACCTGAAGTCTACAGATACATATGGTGCAGGCTGCCTTTGATCTCCTTCTTTAAAGACCCCCAATGGGCTGGGCATGGTGGCTTACACCTGTAATCCCAGTACTTTGGGAGGCTGAGGTAGGCAGATCATGAGGTCAGGAGATTGAGACCATCCTGGCCAACATGGTGAAACCCCATGTCTACTAAAAATACAAAAATTAGCTGGACGTGGTGGCGCGTGCCTGTAAACCCAGCTACTTGGGAGGCTGAAGCGGGAGAATTGTGTGAACCAGGGAGTCGCAGGTTGCAGTGAGCTGAGATCGCACCATTGCACTCCAGCCTGTGACACAGAGAGACTCAAACAAGACAAAACAAAACAGACCCAGTGTACATGGTACTTACGGTGACATCTCTGCACTTTATTTCAAGAAGTCCAGGCAGAGGTCCTAAAGTATTGAATTGAGGAAGAAAAGCCATTGCTTCCCAAAGGGTGCTGCTGCACATGGGTGGGAGGCGGCTAAATCCCTGGCACATGCATTTGTGTCTACAGGGGCATTGTGACCTCAGCCCTGGACTGGCCCAGCTAGAACCTGGAAAAATGCCCTTTGGTTTATTAGCTGCTAGACTCACTCCAGTGGTGGGCAGCTGGGCGAAAGGCCCTGAAAGTTGCTCTTTTCTCAAAATTCAGCCTCATGTAAATTTACCCTGTGACCTGCCATGGGGGATTAGGATGGGCTGGCCAGGCCAGGCTAGGTGGCCTGATTTTCCCATTCAGCTTCTGACCTGGTCTTCTGAAAGTCAGACTCTGGCCCTCTTCATTAGCCAGCCCAAGTCCTTGCCCCTGGGAATGCAGGGTGGCTGGCTGTGTAGGTGTTGATCATCATTAGCGATAATTAGAGGGCAGAGCTCAGGGAACAAGTTATGACACCTGCAAACTAGGTTAGCTGGATTGCAGTTTGAAAGTGCATTTTTTGGCCCTCCTTTAGTGGCATCCTTGAAACTATGAGTTTCTTCAGAGTCCTGACTCTCCATTATTCATTTGATCTGCAGGATCTGGCACATCTCCCAGCCGTAGTAGAGTTTATAAGCTCAATTGTCAGCCACCTTGTAAGATCGAAGAGTATCGGCCTATGTGACCTGTAGCCAGAAGAGGGAGCTCTTTGCCTATCCTTAGCAGGGGCAGTGGCCTGATTCACACTAATGGGACTGGTGCATCTGCAAAACTTCCCCAAGGTGATAGTCTCAGATGTGGCCTCCTGCTCATTATTTTATTGCTGGTTCTTAATCTGGCCCATCTTAAACCAAAGTAATAGGATAACTATGAATAAACTAAATGTTGAAGTAGCATTTAAAGAGTAGCATTAGACACTAATTAATGGAGGGTAGCCCTTGATTATTTTTATTTTGGAAATGGGAAAAAATGTTCTAGGAAGATGAAAATTCCCTTTCCTTAGGTCCCATTACTGAGAGTTACAGGGCTTGGTTATCTTGCCCTAGGGGCCTCTGGAAATGGGACAGAAAAGTTTCTCACTTTGGGGACAAACCAGGGAAGCCTGATTTGTTGCTGATACACAGGGTGGTCTCTGTCAACGTTCAGAAGTTCTGGACCCAGCCAATGGTAGGAAACTTTGGCTGTGCCTTAAACATTTTCATAGGTCAAATAAAGAATTGGTTAAACTAAATATCCCTGGCACACCTTTGTGGGGGCAATGCTGAGAACATGAAGAAGGAATGTGTGTGGAGAAAAGGGGAGGCTTCCCTGGCTTGCCTTAAGGGATGAAGGCTGGGGTTGGGACAGATGGTGGGTCAAGCCTGGGATCTTCTCAGCATCTTGACTGGAGATGGGCACCTCTACCTCTACCTCTGATGGCCTCTCCCAGTGGATTCCTAGAGGATAGGTACTAGGTGGAAGGAGGAGGTTAGGATCACCTCAACTTTTTGTGATGAATCTATGGAAGAGGATTCTTATAGGACAGTATGTTCTTCCAGGACAGAACATTCTTTGCTATTTTGTACTGGAAGAACATGCAAAACTAAAAAAAAAAAAAGTTATTGCTTAAATTCATTTCTTGAGTTGCAGTATGATGCTGTTTATGTTTTAATGTCTTCCATTGCCTTTCAGTGGTGAAAATGCCACAGTAACGTATGACCTGCAATTTGGGGTTCCATCAGATGATGAAAATTTTATGAAGTATATGATGAGTGAGGAGTTGGTGCTGGGCATTTTGCTACAGGATTTCCGTGATCAGAATATACCTGGTTGTGAGAGTCTGGGGCTTGATCCAACATCCCTCTTGCTCTATGGTAAGTAGAGCAAGTAAAGAAGTCAGAGTTGTGACAATAAACAGGTGAACCAGATTGGGGTCAAATTGGCTTGGTTCGATTTGGCAACTGTGGTGACTTGGTACTGTGTCAGACTATTCATTTATTCACTCATCCCCTCAGCAGATGGTGTTGCTGTGAGGTGATGTTCCCCTCTCTGTGGAGGCTACACAGTCCGTGCCCTCCATAATTAGACAGTGTAGTTGGGGAGCAATTATGGAAAAGATAATTCAACTATAAAGATGAACATTGCTACATGTTTCCTCATGCAGTTCACCCACATTCTAAGCCCTGTATCCTACTTTACAACATGATTAGCAACCTTTATGGAGATACTGTGGTTTCACAAGAGAAGTAAGAATTGAAGAATTGGAAATAAATGATACAGCTAAATTGCTGAAAGAGTATCTCAATATGGGGAACCTATTTCTTTTTCTGTTGAAGGCCACTGAGACCATTAAGAAATTAATAGAGGGGTATACAAAGACAAGTTTATTCCTTTCCTTAGAAAATTATGACAAATTTACTTGTCAACTTTTAAAATTAAGAACAGAACAAGGAAATAGATATGTTCTTTAATAAATGTAACAAACACCCCATTTATCAGAATCTGAGAACTTTTGACACTCAGAACAAAACCTGACAGAAAGGAAGGTCAGAAGGCCAAATGGCTTCAAGCCCTCAAAATATCCTTCCATTGCTTTGTAGTGAAGCTCTGGCCTTTGCTGCTGATCTCACTTTCTGATACCTCGCTCGGAGGCTTGTTTGCTCTTATTTAGCCCCTAATGCCAACAATCTTGAATATTTTATGTTCTCATCCACAGTCCATCAGAATCACTTTCTCCACATGAGTAGGTTCTCAGTAAATACTAGTTGAATGAATGAAAGGCAAATTAGAAGTAGTTGTGGTTGGCAGCAGGTGCATTAACGGTCTAGAATCAGAAGCATGGAACAGGGGGTTAAAAGCACAAGTGTTAGTGCATAGTACAAGACAAGGTGTTTATTATGATGATGACACTGTTTCTTGAGGATGAGAGGCAAGAGTAATGTTGGCCTAAGAAGGCAGAACGTTATGTAAAACAGTTCTTAAGAATGCCATTCAGAAGGCCAAATTTTAGCTCACTGGAAGTCTCATAAATGGAGATCTTCCTCACAGAGCATCCTGAATAAAGTGTGTCTGTGGGTCAGGCAGACACTATATGTGTGTGGAGTGAAGAGATTGTGCCCCAGTTACAGGAATTAAAAAAAAAAAAAAAAAAGCCAGGCGCGGTGGCTCACGCTTGTAATCCCAGCACTTTGGGAGGCCGAGGCAGTTGGATCACCTGAGGTCAGGAGTTCGAGACAAGCCTGGCCAACATGGTGAAACCCCATCTCTACTAAAAATACAAAAATTAGCCGGGCATGGTGGCAGGTGCTTATAATCCCAGCTACTCGGGAGACTGAGGCAGGAGAATCACTTGAACCTGGGAGGCAGAGGTTGCGGTGAGCCGAGATCGCATCATTGCACTCCAGCCTGGGTGACAAGAGTGAAACTCCATTTCAAAAGAAAAAAAAACCCAGAAACCTTCAGCCTCCTCCCATGTGAAGAGGCCTGCGATGCCTGTGGGGGCTGCTGCTGTGGTGTGGTTGGTCTTGATTTTCTTAGGCCCCTTGCAAAAATTGTTACTGGCTCTTTCCAAATGGAGGCCAGGGAGATGGGCAGAGGTCTGAGGAAAGGTTTAAGAGGCTTCCAAGGCTGAGAGGTTCAAATAGTACAGGATAAAGGGCAGGCTGCTTGTGAGACCTGAGGAGGGCTCCCAGAAGACCCTGAGCTTGGCCAAAGAGACTCAGCTGTTTCCCCAGGGCTTGGTGCTCCAGCAGGTGCTGGGAAGGCAGCTGTGAGTGGAACAAAGTCTCTGCTCTTCTGGAAATTGCATTCTTTCTCTCAGACATTTCTTCTGACGGGACATGCTGAGAAAATGTGGGGTTTTCTGTGACCCCATGTCCCACTTTCCAGAGCATGAATGTGCAATATTTGAGCCATTTTATGTTTTCAGAATGTGAGTGTCACTGCCCTCTCAAAGGGAAGGGTGCACAGAGAAGCAGTTGGGAAGTGAGGAAAGAAGAAGAGGGACTCATCGCAGGCATGCAGGCAGATGGGGGATGAGCTCAGAGGCAAACTCTAGAGAAAGGGAAAATGTGTCAGGGAGAGGCCCAGGGCCCTGGGAGGGACCAAGAGGGATGGAATGAGTTCTTACGCCAGTTTCTACGTGCTCATGAGCTGTGGGCTTGGGGGATTACCATCCCCGCCCTGTGATTACCCAGGCAACTAGTTTCCCACAATGGTAATGTTCTTAGTCTTCAAAGAGCAAAGATTCTTAAAATTGTTTGGTTTGTGTGCTCCTTAGAGAATTTGAAGACAGCTGTGTACCTTCTCCCCAGGAAAAAAAAATGTACCTACTTCTCCCCACAACACAAAATTGTACAGACAATTTCAGGGATTCCGAGTATTTCCCTGAGGCCAGCCTATGGTCCATTTGGGGTTTGTATATGTGCGCTTTAGAAGCAGAATCCAAAATTAGATTGTAATTTAGATTCCTGAGGGGTTTTGTGTGTGTTTGCTTCTCATTCTCTAATTTGGAAATACGGCGATTATTTTGACCTGACTGCATGCATATTTGGATGCCTTATAAAAATAAAAACTTAAAATATAATGATAAAGGAATTTTTTAAGTCCATCATCCCTCACCCTTCCCTATCTTTGGTCTTCTTCACCTCCTAGATGAGTGGGGCCCTGGGCTAGGAGGGGGAAGTCTGTTTTACAAAGGTCGAAGAATAGGTCAGCATCATGAGTTATTTTGGACACAGAGGAGGTACTTGGTACTGTTCTCACATGGGAAGGAGTCAGCTAGTAGACTGAGTAGGGAAAAAGGGCAAAACCAGGATTTTTGTGAGAGAGAAGAGGAAAAAGCCCCAGGTAGGGAGAATAGTGAATCTTGTCAGTCCTGTCAGTGGTGGCGAGGCTGGACTCCTGGTCTGTAGACCCCGGCGGGCTCCCCCTGTGTTGTGTCTGCTTGGGGCTTTGCATCTGCACCTGCTGTGCCCTAGGGTTCACACCATTTCTCTCATCAGAATTTCTCACAGTATATTTTACACGTTTTAAAAACGGAAATTTTAGAGTTTATGGTTAGATTATGAAAAGGGACTGGATGTTAAAATGTCCTTAGCACCCAAAAACCACATCATCAAAATTATTTCTCATGCATCCTACCCAAACAAATAAGCAAGAAACAATAAATGTCATTTGCCTTTTGAAATGTATTCAGAGCGGTGTGTGTGTGTTGGACTGAAGACTAAATTTCCTCTGTTAGGAATGTATAAACCTTGCAATTTTATCTAAGATTTTACACTAAAATTCAATGAAATGAAATGAAAACGTAAGCATTTAATAGTGGTTTTAAAAATCAGTAACTTTTGTTCATCTGTGTTTTCTTTTTAGAATGAAGTGATGGAGGCTGGTCTCTGTCTGAAAGCAGTGCTCTACCAAGTCCTGGAGATGAAGGGAATTCACTCTGTTTTGCAGAAAAGATTCTGTGGATTAATACAGAAGCACCAGCAACACCAGAGGGGTGGAGACTCCTTTCTCTCCCGATTCTACAGTCTGGCTCTAAGCCCAGTAAAACAGCTCCCGAGCACTGCTTCAGCTGGGTCCAGTCTTGACAAAGGCAGGAAGCCAGCTAGGGTGGGGGCGATAGGGTCAGCGGGTATGTCCCACTGTTGGAGGTCACTGGTATTCTGTTTGTTTTTGTTTTGTTTCGTTTTGTTTTTTGAGACAGGGTCTCGTTCTGTCGCTTAGCTGGAGTGCGGTGGCGTGATCATGGCACTGCTATTCTTGAAGCACTCCACCCACCTGGGCTACTTTTTCTTTAGTGCAGAGGTGCACTGTCTTCTTTTAGGTGGGATCGCGTAAGCATGAGCTGGTAGAGCACGGAGAGGCAGGCAGCCAGGTTACGAAGACTAAGCCAATTATTCACTGAAGTCATCCTCCTCCCCCCCACCATTCGATTTGATCTACCTCTAAGCCAGGCTGTGAAGAAAAGGAAGGCACTTTAGAAGACCTCAGCAGTGTGGTTCTGTGTCTACTTCCATGACCTGTACCTGAGTATCTTAGCCAGCCAGCCTTAGGAACACCACCAAGGTTACTTTGAAATCTATGTATATAGCTAGTTACAGACGGGAGCTATGTGTTTCTTCATTATTTTGCAGCTCCTCGTTGTTCCTGTGATTCCTGAACACCTTTTTGGAAATATGGGTCTCTGTGAGTTTTGAGCACACTACTATCACTTTGGATAGTCACTCCATTTATATTTTTATAAACTTCCATTAGAGAATCATTAAGGCTGTTTAATATCTGCTCTGGATATTACGCATTGGCTTTTTGTTGCCTAGTGCTACAAACCTTCCTGTGGGACTCAGTGTCTTCAGGCAATGATTGTGTATCCTGTTACAGATGGTTGTGATACAAGAAGAACCACTCTTCTTTGAAAATAAACTCTTGGAAGCTTTTGCCAGCTATTTGGGGGGTAGGAGGAATATTAGCAACTGTATTGGTTGTCTACAGATACAGAATTGCCTGTTGTGAGGGAACTGATTGTTTTGTTGGGAAAAGAAATTTACCAGGAGAAAGAGTTTTGTGCTGTATTGTGAGAGATCTCGCCTCTCAGTTAAATGAGCCCTGGGTTAAAGTCAGTGTGAAGGGCAGCTGTGTGCGGGCACGAGCCAGAGTGTCTGCCTCAGACTAGATTTGACTTGAGTTCTTTATGACCCAGGACTCTGGATAATGTGAATTTGCTTTCCTATTTAACTAGAAGATACATGTACTATAGATCATTGTCTCATTTTAGTGATTGTTCCTTAAACTAGTGAAACTAGTGGATTTCTCTTCTTCCTCTTTATTTTCTGCATGTTAAATGTGAACCTTAGTGTATTTGTATTTTGTAGAAAATAATGAAAAATTTTAATGGAGAATGATTTAAAAACATTTACAATACATTATTTTTGCATCTGTGTTGTTGCATTCCCATTGGCTGAGCTTTGGGCTGGGTTTTTGTTTGTTTGTTTTTTGCAGTAAATGGTGTTGAGCATAATTTTTTTCATTTCCCTTAGGGCAGCTTCCTCTTCTGGGTGAATAAGATCAAGCCAAGTTTGGCTGGGGCGGCCTGGGTTCTCCCCTCTGTTCCAGCAAGAGCAGGCAGAGGCCATCCCCTCCTCTTTCTCTGAGGCCCTCTCTGGCAGGACTTGGTATCTGAAAGGGCTTGGACTTGAAGGAACAGCCTGTTCATGTCTGGAGGCAGGATTTGGTTTTGTTCTTCCCTTCTTGTTCAGAAAGCACCAAGATGCAAGTACCTTGTCTTGGGTTTTGACCATTTGCAAGTCATAGAGAGGACTTTCCATAGATTTGACTTTTCTGCCCAAATGGTATGGGAAAAAACTAACCTTTGTGACTAACATATTTGGTGGTGTTTGAAAAAAAACGGCCCTTACAAATGCACTGTTCTGCTATAGGAGATAAATCTACTGGTCATCACACAACATCATGATGAGCATAATGCCTGGTACATAGTGAGGTTTTAATAATTGAAGGATTTGAGAAGAAAACTGCTCTTCTCTGGATGTCACTTAGATATGGATAGAATGGCAACAGCCATATCAGCAGAACCTGCTCCTGTTCCTCTGCCAACAAAAATTCCAGCCATGTGTCTGATTCTTTTTTGCCTTTCAATTTAATTTAGTTCTACAGATTTGAAAAAATGATGTGTTTTATGGAAGGCTATGGGGATACTAGTGGAGAAGACAACAATAAGAAAAGAAGCTGTTAGTCTTATTAAGGAGTCAGGATCAGTACAGATGAAACAGGAAACAGCAGAAAAAAATACCCAGGGGTCAAAAACAAAGGCAGTCTGGGCGCGGTGGCTCAAGCCTGTAATCCCAGCACTTTGGGAGGCCGAGGCAGGCAGATCACCTGAGGTTAGGAGCTCGAGACCAGCCTGACAAACATGGTGAAACCCCATCTCTACTAAAAATTAGCCAGGCGTGGTGGCAGGCGCCTGTAATCCCAGCTACTCAGGAGGCTGAGGCAAGAGAATCGCTTGAACCTAGGAGGCAGAGGTTGCAGTGAGCTGAGATCACGCCATTGCACTCCAGCCTGGGTGACAAGAGTGAAACTCCATAACAAACAAACAAACAAACAAACAAACAGAAACAGTAGGGTTGCGGGTGGTCAGAGAAAAGAGTGGTCAGTATAATCAGAGGACGTTTTTTTGTAGGAAGTAGGACTGAAGCCGAATCCTGAAGCACTGGTGGGATTTGAATAAGAAGATTTGCCTTCCTTTACACATGTTCGTGTCTTCTTAGGATGAGGTACATATTCTCTCTTTTGTCTTTTACATGTGAATTCTGGACATGAATCCTGTCCTATTCAGAGTCTGATCAATGCTAAGAAAAAATGGGAGAAATCTCTCAATGTCCTCCTTCTCCTCTCCCATCACTCTTTCATTGCTTTAAAATAAGTTAATTTACACTGCATTGTGAATTAACAATTGCTGCATTGTTGGCAGCTTTATCCACAGACATCCTTGAATCTTTCCTTTGTGACTAGAGATTACAGACTCAGCTTCAAAAGGCACCTCCCTCATCTCACAGTTGGGAAATCAAATTCTGGAGAGCTGGGAGGACCAGCCCAGAGTTCCACAGCTTGTTGAGGGCAAAGCCTAGCCCACAGGGCAACCACATACTATGAATGGCCACCAGCTCAGGTAGGATCCCCAGAGGCAGGCTCAGTTCAGGCTTAGCTGACATCTGGGAATCCCTAAGGAGCACAAGTGATCAGGGGTCAGGGGTGAATGGAGAGGGAGGGCCCTCAGACTGCAGGAGGCTTTCTATGATGATGATGACCTCTCAAGGCTTCACCAAGTGCCTTGCAAAAGAGAATTCTGTAGGAAAGTAGACGGAATTTACACTGGTCCACTTCACAGTTGGCAGAGCCAAGGTACACTCAGATCAAGTGGGTTTCTGAATTGAGGCTATAGGCTTGGAAAAGAACAGAGATAAGTGGAAACAGAATCTACTTTTCCCTGGAGCCCTTGTGGAATCCTGGAGACTTCTATTTCCTGTTCTGTCCATGCCCTTCCCCATCCCTGAGACTATCCGAAGCATCTATCACTCAAGTTTGTCCTAAAAAACGTTAGCATTTCAACTTGTTGTCAACAGATTTTCCCGCCCTATCTTTGCCCTCTTCCTATTTTTCTCTTCTGTTTTAAATAAGAATTTATTCACAGAATAAGGGATTATTTATAGATGCTAGTATGTACGTGAAACGGAAACCACAAAGTCTGCAGTTGTGGCATAAATTGTGCCTCTGAATTTTGGCTATGTAGTTTTAAGACCAGCATGAGGGAGGAGGAGTTTTCTGGTTATATTTGTGGCTCGAGAGAGTAATTTAAATGCTCAGGCTCAGGTTCTTTATCAGGGACAGGGACTCTTTCACTGAGGGGTTGCATCCCTAACCCCCGCACACATCGTATACAAATGTGTGTGTATGTGAATGTGCATTTTCTGCAAAGGGAGTGCACAGCTTTCATTAGAAATCATGAAATGTAGGGGAAACAGGATCAGTGTTACATACAGACATAGTGGGTATTTTGGGACATTAAAATTTATTTACTGGAAATTTGAGACATCCTACATATTAAGTATATTACACTCATATCAGAATTTTTTAACTCTTTTTTTGTTCTTAATATTATTTTTGACTGACAAATCATAATTGTGTATATCATATTGGGTATCTTGAAGCACTCCCAAATGGCTCCCCTTGCTCAAAAGTAATTCCCTTTCATAATCCCTCTTATAATTCCCTCTTATAAATCCCTGTTATAATTACATTATAAGAACAACTTTCTTTGGTTAAACATTTATATTTAATGTGTCCCTGATAAAAGGCATATACTGTTTGGGACAGATAATGCTTTCACAGGATAAGGTTCAAACAAATATAACTTACTATGTCATACTAAGAATATTTCAACCAGTCTACTTCCACAATGGTCCAGTGGCCATGTGAAAAATTCTAGCATAAACTCATTGATTTGGTGTTTCTACCTTGCTGGAGGACTGCTGGGTGACCCTGAATAGCCAGCTGTATCAGCATGGTTTTTTTCCGTACATCATAAAAGATTTTTGTTTCTCTATGCTCTTTGATATCATTTATTCGGCATCTGTAATAGATGATTGCCTGCATTAGATGTAATCCTCCTGTTGATGGTGAAGAAGCTGAGCCTCCAAGTAGCATGTTCAAAGTCACAGATGGAGGAAGAGAGAGAACCAGGATTTGAGTGACTGATGATCTGTCGCTGGGTCTACACTCTTTCCTCTAAGCCATGTTACATCTTGTACAATATCCACTGCTAACTGAATATTTCCTTTTGAGGATCTGATCCTGGCCAAGGATCAGCTAGAGTTCCAAGTGAAAGAATTTTGCTAAAAGTAGGAAGTTAGCAGAGGAAGAGATACCAAGATGCAGCTGGCTCTTTAGCTGAAGACCATCACCTGGCTGAAGGCTCCACAAACCTGTGACACATGCAAGCTCAAGCCATTGCATTTCTCCTCTTTTGGGAGTCAGCACATTTTACATAGGAAAGTTATTTAGCTTTGGTTAACTTTGAGAAGAAAACAGTAACTAAACATAATGTACCAGGTTCCCTGTCGCTTAGCTGGTCCAAGGGCCTGTCTAGTAAACATAATGTACCTACTGCTTTCTTAAACAAACCTCTTTTAAAACAAACTATTTTAGCATCCCTAAAATTAGGACAGTAGCCGTGAGTTAAATAAAACAGCAAGTGGAAGACACAGGTGTGAATACAGAAATAGTAGAATTTGCTAAATTGCCTTGGTCTCACTTATCCATTTGTGATTTAATATTTTTATGCCATTTTATTGGTGCTTGCTCTTATGCATCAGTAACCAAACACATTTCTGTTAAGTTTCTCTCAAACTATAATCATTTAGGGCAGGTGTCTGCAAACTTTTTTTCCAAAAAGTGCCAAAGTATATTTATTTTGGCTCTTTAGGGCCTATGGTCCATGTCACAATTACTCAACTCTCCCATGGTTGAACAATCATAGATAGTAGGTAAACAAATGAGTGTGGCTGTGTTCCAACAAATCTTTATCTATAAAAACAGGGAGTGGGCTAGATTTGGCCTGGGGGTTATAGTTTGCTGATCCCTGGTTTAGAGGATAGATATAATTTGAGGAACACTAAGGAAAAGATAAGAGAAAGTAAATAATCAGGACACATAGAGGAGTGCTTATCAGAGAAGGTATATATGTGTTAATTTCCTATGTGGACATTTTATTCATATTTTATACATGACATTATTAAATATATACATTTAGTATACATTTAATATATTGCAGAGGGCTTTCTATTTAGCATACTGGGGGAGCACTAAATTGGAAGTCAGTAGGAAATCAGGCTCCAAATTAAGTTTTGCCACTAACTTTAATGTATCATTAGGCAAATTATCCTCTCTGAGCCAAAGAAGGGTAGTGGGATTACGGGATCTCCAAGGATCGTTCTTCTTAACATTGTCTGATGGCATAATTGTCTTATTAAGATTTCTAGGGAGAAATACAAAGTTAAAAATAAAATCATATAGGTTAAAATTATGTAAACATCTGGCCTAGAGCCTCTTGATTCAACTCACATAACTAACCAGACCATGGGGGCCAACAGGTCAAAGGACACTATGTAAAAGACATGACTTAGACACATGGAGTGAGAGGAGCAACACAGGCTCCCATGGGTGGGGACTGAGCTGGAAGGTCACAGTAATGAGTGAACTCCCCCTTGGGCACACTTAGTATGATGAGTAAAGCTTCCTTGTGACTTTAGAGAATGATCATGGGAACACTTTATAAGAAGATCCCAGACAGAAGAGCAGAGCCCCTTGTGGTGTGCATAGCTTTAGGGGAATCAGGGAGCCCCTCCTACCACTATACTCTCCAAACCATGTAGAACCAAAGATGGTTACCTCTTTCTCAAATGGTGTTGTTCAGGATAAATGGTTGATCTTTAGATTTTGGCTTTTGCGTGCTAAGAGGGCTTGTGGTATACAAACCATGCTCTGCAGGGAAAGGGTTGTTGTGGGAGATAAGCTGGAGGGACTTTGTGTCCCATCCCTGCTTCAGGCAGATCCCCCATCCCACCTTTTATTTGTTGGTGCTAAACAAATGCTAGTCCAGCCACTTCACTATAAATGGGAAAACTGAGTCTCAGAAGGGGCCATAAGTGGACGTGGCTGTTGCAGAAAGTGAGAGGAGATTCTGTGAGGCATGAGAAGTTCATATTCATCTTCTGGGGATCGGGCATGCCTGGGGTCTGTAGAAGGCATATGTAGAAGTGAATACTCAGTCTCAGTTCCTCCCAAGGACTCTCTGGGTCTCTCAGCTTTGCAGGGAACATTCTCATAGTACTCTTCAGCAGAGTTCCCTGATGGCCTTGTACAGAGAACCCGATGATTGATGAGGGTATAGCACAGCTCCTCTGAGTAGGTCTGGTCAACATTGTCCTGCTTGTCAAAGAAGAACCATCATCAAGATTTGGTCTCTTGCCATGACCTTTACATTTCAGTCTCAACACAGGCTTGACCCTTGGTCAAGTCTGTCTTCTATGACCACCTCCTCCCCATCTCTTGGCCATTTTTTTCTAAATGGCTGCTTCTACCCCAACCACTAGGCTAGCTGCAAGAGTGCTTAAGGTCTAGAGCCTGCTCAGGTGCATCCTCTGCCCCTTGTTCCAGAGTGACCTCTGACCACCTGATATAGTTTGGATATTCGTCCCCTGCAAATCTAATGTTGAAATTTTGTTCCCATTGTTGGAGGTGGTGCCTAGTGAGAGGTGTTTTGGTTATGGGAGCAGATTTCTCATGAATGGCTTAGTGCCATCCTCGCAGTTATGAGTGTACCGCCTGAAGAACCATGAGCCAAATAAACTTCTTTTCTTTATAAATTACCCAGCTTTGCATATTCCTTTATAGCAACACAAGTGGACTAAGACACTACCCATATAATTCCCAGTCTCATGGCTCTGAGGATAGCCCATTCTAATAAAAAAGAATAATCTGGCTGGGCACGGTGGCTCACACTTGTAATCCCAGCACTTTGGGAGGCCGAAGTGGGTGGATCACCTGAGGTCAGGAGTTCGAGACCAGCCTGGCCAACATGGTGAAACCCCATTTCTACTGAAAATACAAAAATTAGCCAGGTGTGATGGCACACACCTGCAATCCCAGCTACTGGGGAGGCTGAGGCTGAGAATCGCTTGAACCCAGGAGGCGGAGGTTGCAGTGAGCTGAGATCGTGCCATTGCACTCCAGCCTGGGTGACAAGAGCAAAACTCTGTCTCCAAAAAATAAATAAATAAATATAAATAATCTTATGATATCTTAATGTGTTTTGGCTGTGATATTTAATTACCCTCTAGAGATATTTATGTTATTAAATAGGGAAGCGACTCAAGGGAAGGTTTCACTTATGATGGGATATCAGGAGATAAAAAGCAAAGCAGCAAAGTACAGGGGGAAAAGCATGGATTGTGAAGTGAGACTTGGTTTTGAATCCTGGTTCCGCCCCCTTTTAGCTATTTGGCTTTGGGGAATTGTCACTTAATCTCTCAGTTTTCTCATCTATAAAATCGGGGGATGGGATGGATTATAGTAGCAATATTCAAGGGTTGTCGTTTTAGCTACATGAGTTGATGTGTGTAAAGCACTCAGCATGTTGTCTGTCATAAATGAAGTGGTCAGTAAATTTAAGTTCCTTTCAATAAATTATACAGCAGAAGTGGCTGCTGCTTCTGCCACCCGGCCCTGCACCTGCCACCCGAGTTCACAAGCACTGACATCTAAAGTCTTTCTCCATGTAAGGGTCAGAAGGGATCTCAGAGGCCAACTTCTCCTGCCATTTAGGGTGTCTGTACTTCTATCATCATCTCAAAAAATAGCTTAGAGATGTTCTTATTACCTGGATGGGAGTAGATGACATTCTTTCATCTGGAGAAAGAAAATACACTCAATGAATTTCAGGTTATGGGGAGATTTGAAGGGAAGAGCAGGGGAGGCTAGAATATAAATAACTAAAAAGCCAAGAAACAGCTGGGGTAGCTCTTCTCAGGCTATTCTGATCTACAGCACATCCCTGGGGAGTGACAGGACATCTAAACAAGTCACAGCTAGAGCTGTGCTCAGCCTGAGAGGTGAGAGGGGGGAGACACATTTGGTTAGTCTTTGGAAAGGAAATCACGATTTCTTCCTCCAGCTCTCTTTCCCTCCTTACCTAGCCCCGTCTCCTTCCTTACACAAAATTGATTTGTGTTCCTTACACAAATTCAGTGCCTCTGCACCAGGCACTGGGGAGACAAAGGAGAATCAGAAACATTCTCTGTCCTCAAAAGGCTCACAAGCTAGCACAGGAGACAGACAAGGGGCTCTGAGAGATCCACACTGTGGAGCAGAGGGCCGTCGTTTCTACTCTAGGTGACGGGATGGTGGTGGTGTGATAATTGGTGTTCAAGGAGTTTTGCAGAGCAGGAAACTCTTAAGCTAAATATTCCCATTCCTATACCTGCTGGCAGATAACAAATGAGCAGGGCGATTTTTCAAAGCCTAGTTAAAACCAAATGGCTCTGGCCATTCAGCAAAGAGGCAAACTGACACCCTTGCTACCCTCTTGCAAACACACCAATTCCATAAACAAACATGTGCCCTCACATGAAAGTCTACAGAGGAAGCTACCATATGGTATATGGATTGACATTCTCTCGGTCCTCACATCCTGGATTTCCACATCTCCATAAGCTCCTATAGGCATCTAAAACTTCCCTGATTATCATTATAAGAAAAGCATCTTCAGCATAGAGTTTTAGCATCTGGTCTTATTTCTATTACGTTTTGCTCTGATGGAAATTGAGGTTCCCTGGGACCCACGACTCCTGGAGTGAAGTGGCTAGGGTGGGAGGCTGTATTATTCATTTACACATCTTGCAGGGCTAGATTTTAAGATTCTATGTAAATGAATTAGGTTCTCCTCTTTAAGGAAGGAAAAGTCAAAACTCTTCCATTTTTCTTCTTCAGAAACACAATGGCTTGTCCTCAGGCCTACACTTTCTTATTTTTATTTTTAGGTGTGATACAATTCATCACACTCTCCTTCTAGAATTCTTTCTCCTTAACTTCAGTGCTATTCTATCACCAGAGACTACTGCACCAGCCTCGTAAGTGTTCTTCTGGTATCTGCTCTTCCGGCTCCTTGCTGCAATTTGTTTTCTGCACAGGAACCTGGGTGATATCTTTAATACAAATCTAATCATACTTGCCCCCGCCTCCCCACTGTGTAAAGCCAGTATCTCCTGCAGCTGTCAGGACAAAGATGAAAATCTTTAACTTGGCCAGGAGGCCCCACCCCTCCCCTATCCCAGGCTGGCTTTCTTGCAGTTTCTTGTAAGTGCCTTTCTCCTCCACCTTTTGTATCCTTGCCCCCAGTTACTGCCTTCAGCCTCCAGGCCTCAGGCACTAACTGAGGAATTTGGAGATTAATGAGCCAATTCCTGCTTCAATGAGCTCACCATCTACTGAGGACAAAGGACATGCAATTGGATACAGTAAAGCAAAATGTGTAGATATTGTAATTGAAATATGCCTAAGGGGCTTTGGGAACATAGAGAAGAAGTAGTTTGGAAATGTAAGTCTTATCAAAAGTGAAAATACTAGGAAATCAATGACTTACTTTCGTTTTGGGAATCTTGCCTCTTTTCAAAAATGAGTATTTTTTTCCTGTAAAAGAAAAGCAAAGCAAATTGTTTTAATATTCAGAAACTCTCAAAGGAAATGACACAAGCCTACAAAACTTACTTTTAACTCTTTGTTAAAGTTATATACCTTTTATAATACCTCCTTCAGCATAGATGAGTTAAGTAAAAAAGAAAAAAGTAAAAGATGAGGCCAAATAGAAATATATTCCTTTGTGCCTCTTTCTCTCTCTCCTCCTCTCTTTCTTTTCTAAATCTGATAGGGAATTGATTTATAGATGGGGAAATATGGTGATAGAGGTTACTTTTTTGGAGACTTTTTTTCTGACAAAGTATCAATTTCTTTTCTATCATGTGAGTGAAGGAGCCAGGATTATTTTCAATCTCAATTCTAATCTATGATCTCCAAAACAAACAAACAAATAAACACACTCTTCGCATAAGGGAACACTGTAAAAAGACTCCCTGAAAAAATGTGATATAAATATAATGGAAGCCCACTATCGTTTCAGTAGACAAGAACATCTGCTGTGAGGGTAACCCTATGTCCTGGTTTGCCTCAGTCTGGTGAAGGTCATTATCAATCACTTAGCGAGCTTTAACTATTTTTAGCATCCCTTTCACTCTCAAAGGTATCTTAGTTCAGATGATAAATTATACTATCACCCCGACTATAAGTTCTATGTGCAAGGGATAGAAATGTGTGCTTCGGAACATGCAGACTCAGATTTGCAGTGTGAAAAAAACGTATGTTTTCTACGTTAGTAGCTAGTTTCATCTTTGCTTCTGAGGCTTTCCTGTTTGAGGAGAGCATGCGACCCATGAGACTATTGTTCCTGTTTCTCATCAAATTGGAAGGATTGCTTCCCTGATTAACTCTTAGGTGATTGTATCTGGGCTACTGACAGGCTTCCACTGTGGCCACAGACAGTCACAGGTAACTTACAGCAAATACCACATTGAAACCACACTTAGGGAAATAACTCCTAAAAACAACTGTCCACTC
The DNA here is from genome assembly GCF_000001405.40 of Homo sapiens. Classification (NCBI taxonomy): domain Eukaryota; kingdom Metazoa; phylum Chordata; class Mammalia; order Primates; family Hominidae; genus Homo; species Homo sapiens. Next base: position 112,128,015 of record NC_000003.12, read on the forward strand.
ACCATGGAAGGCAGAAACACCCTTCAGCGATATGGTGATCCCAGCATCTAAAATACCCAAGAGAGATGGCAAATCATAAGGTTGATTTCTGCAGCTTTGTTAAGGTGACTCCTTTCCTTTTGCCATTTCTGTGGAAAACTTTTTTTCTCCCCGCAAGCGTGTTTCATTCTAGATAACTTGGACACATCTCTCATGGTAGAATGCCTTTGTCTTCCTAGGATGAAGATGATACTATCAAATTCCTAATCAGGAAAAAAGCTTTCTGCTGTGTTCCCAGCAAAGGAAAAATGTTTCCTCACTCTCAATTCTGGTAATTTCCTTGGTTCCCTTGTAATGAAGAACACGTAAGTGTTATCCCCAGGAAATCAAGGTACAAGTGTATGGAAATTTTACAAATCATTTTTTTCAGGTATGGGTTAGGCAATATCAGTATTTTACTATATTCTGAATTTCTCCAATTTACAGTATATTGCAATTGTTTGCTCACTTGTCTATATTCTACACTAGAATGTGAGCTTCACAAAGCTGGGGACCATATTGATCTTGTTCATCGTGGTATGTATTTCCAGTCTATGACACAACATCTGGCACACAGTAAATGGGTTTTCAAAAAATATTTGATGAAGATATGAATACAGAATGAATAGCCAAGGACAGGACAACCCTGGTGCAGGAGGTCAGCAAATCTACCACCTTGACTCCAACGATATAGTTAAATAACAGGACTTCTCTCTCTTATAGCACAAAGGCTTAGAATCTCTCTGCAGTCCTGCATCTACATTAATGTATAAGTATCATTCTGTACATTTTTCTGAATTTGAGGCATAGTCAACTACCTACATGGTTGAATGTGAAAGCCCTTTATAAAGTAGTATCAGTTACAGTATGTAAAAATGTTTGGAAAACACCATCCAAAAATATCTCCCCCCGTGAGCTTTCCCATGAAGTTTCATCAGGAGGAGCAGTGGAGGAGAGGCTGACTGCATCGTGACCTTGGCTGTGATCACCTGCTTGGCTGAGCATTCTGACAACCTCTAAGATCTATGCATCATCAAAGCCTTTGGGGCCCAGAGGCACAGCTGCAGCTCTTCCTCTTCTTTAGGTTACCTTCAATGTGCTTCAGACCGTTTGCTTACATTATCTGCTTTGTTGCTAAGGAAACATCGTAAGAAAACTACTGAATCACACCAAGTTAACAAACCAGATTCACTGAGGAGAAATGAATGAGATAAGAGGAGGGGGATGATTTTGAGAGATATTCTCTGAACTCCTGAGGCCACAGTTTTTAAATCTATAAAAGAGGATGTATATACTGCTTACACATGGAGTTATAAGAATAAGCTGAGGTTAAATATGGGCAAAAACGATCTGTAAGCTGGCTGTTTCTCCTACTTGACTTTTCTGCAGTTTATTCTTGCATTTCAACATGGTGGTTTTGGTTTGGGATGGGTTCAGATAGCCTCCAAGAAGCAAGCTAGACAAATCTCTATACCCTTAGGCTACGTGTCAGGAATTTGAGGTATCTGTCTCTTTCACAATGCCTTCTCTGGCTCTCTGGTCTACCCAACCTCTCCCTTGTTATAATGCCGTGGCCCTTCTGATTTATTTCATCATTTGAACTGTATGCCTTAAAATATGCCCAATGATACCCCTGAAAATATGTAATTCTCAACTTGAACTGAAAAAATTCACCCTGTTGAAAGGAATCTCTGGGTCTCCAGCCCCTAACGCGGGCATTGGTGTTAGAAAATAACAACAGTGCTTGTTTTTTAATTGCTCCTCTTTCAAAATCTCCTCCTGAAACCATGTGAAAAGCACAGATAACTTTACAGGCCACAGAAAAACTGACCTTGTCAGCCCTTAGGATTCTTGGATCCTGGAACATTAGTTCCATATTTTAATTATTCCTTTCCTTAGAGAGAATTCTTTAGGGCTGGACATTTGAAAGGTCTGTTCAAAAAGAATTAATGAGGTGGTCTTTGTTTAACAACATCAGGGCAATCACAATGGTGTCTCCACAAACTTTCTAAAAATTGTCGTAACATGGGGCATGTGGTCACTTCAGAAATAGACACCTATAGCTTAAAATAAAATGGCTAGGGTGGAGGTTGAGCACAAAGGTACCTGAGATAGACAAACAAAATGACAACAGGAAATAAGACCTTTTATTTTATAACAGGGCATAACAGGGACTAGCAGGGTCTTAGTTCCTGTTGCTAGGAGTTACATTAGGCTTCTAGCAAAGTAGCATATCTCCTGTCCAAAGTTTTCAAGCATTTTATCTTTTGTCCTGTCTTCACATTTGTTACTATTGCAACTGCTACTGGTCTAAACAGGGCCCTCTCTCACTGGGATGTGAAGTCCAGGGCTTGACATACTTCGTTCTCCTTGGGCAAGGTCTGGGGGGTGTTTGGTTGATTTTGCTCTCACCTGGATGTTCTCTGTTTGGGGCTTTGCATTCTCACATTCCAAGGCATCTCTTGAGTGTTCTGCTGCCGCCTGAAACTCAACATATCAGAAACAGGCTAAGTATTTCCTAAACAGGCCTGTCACTTCTTTTCATAATTTTTCCGACTTTCCTCATTTCTGCTATTTGTGTGTAACTCAGAAATTGACTGGTTGCCCTCACACATGTTAATACTGTTTCCTCAAGCACATGTCGCAAGCTACCTTTGATCTGACATGCTCTCCATTGCCACAGCAACAGCCCACTGATGTTCTCCAACCTCCATGAACAAGTGATCCTAAATCATCTGATCCCAAATATCCAGGGATCCTCGTCATGACCCTTGAGAGTATCCGTGTCCAGAGAGAGGCCTGAGGTCCTCAGCTACCATCTCTTTGGTGCAGTTCCAGGAGCTATGCACAAGTAATGGGGAAAGGTACTGGCTTTGTCTTGTGTAAATCACACCATCTTTCACAGAAAGCATGGAGGCCCAGAACAAGGGACAGAAGGAGAAGAAAAGGATTGAATAAAGAAAATAAATTGGTTCATTGTTTGGGTTAGATTTCTGTATACCCATCTTCCCACTTGTTGGGAATTGGGAGTATGAGGATAAAGAAACTAACACTTAAACACTACTTACTATATGCCAATCATTTTGTGTGTTATATTTCATTTAATCCCAGAATAAATCCATAAGATAGATATTATCATTATATTTTTTATACTAATGAGGAAACTGAGGCCCAAAATGCTAGGCAACTGGTCTGAGGATCCACAGCCACTAAGGGGGAAAAGCTGGGTTTGCTGCTGGCAGGTCTCTTCCTCTGAGACTGAGCTCCTCTCATGAAGGGATGAGTGCCATTCTATTCTGTGCAAAATTTCCCTGACTTCTTAGCTTATTTGATCTGGAGAGACACGGTTGGGGGGGTATGCTGACTAGATGATAACTGGGTGTTGGGGTGACAATGAAAATTAGATACCAATATATACAAGACTTTTGAATACGTTAACGGAAACATTTTATTTAATTATTTTAATGAATTTATTTTTAAGACTGGGTCTTGCTATGTTGTTCAGGCTGCCCTCAAACTCCTGGGCTCAAGCAATCCTCCTGCCTCAGCCTCCTGAGTAGCTGGGACTACAGGTGCATGCCACTGCACTTGGTTCAAGGGAGACCTTTTAAATCATCATAGAAATAAAGATGTTGGGCAAACTGATCAACTATTTGGAAAAAAATTTACATCTGACACCATATATTGAATATATGTTGCCAAATGTAAAATAACAAAATCAAAACTTATGTGAGTTGATTTGTCTTATCTTAGGAAGAGCAAAGAATTTTAAGCATGAATGCAATGGCAGAAACCAAAAAGCTTTCTAGATTTAAAATCGAATTTTCTTTAAAATAAATAAAAAACCATAAGAAGTCCAAATAGCATAAGATGTGTGCACCTTGGAAAAAGGTTTTTTTTCTTACATAAAACAAAATTTTAAAGTAAAAAAATTTTTTTAAAGTTTTTTTGCACTTATTCAGTGCACGTGATATGCCAGAAACAATGCCAGGAACCAGGAATTCAAAGATAAATAAGAAACAATCACTACATTTGAGCATCTCATATCTAGTAATAAAAATAGTAATTTATATAATTGTTAGAACAATGCTAGAGTAGAAGATTGACAAGGGGCTGTGACAACCCAGGGTAGAGAAGTCTCAGACAACATGATTCTTAGGAAGGGACATGAGATATTCCACAGGACCACCAATCCTCTTTTCGGCAAGTGGTCAAAAGTGGGCTACCATTTTTTCCTGTGTTCCACTCTCCAGTAGCATGAACTGAGACCAGGGATTCCAAACATAACCCTGTGAAGACCCCCTCTGGCTCGCTTACTCTCTCTAGATCACCCCACTTTATACCCTAGAGATTACCTTGTCTGTGGTGGCACTATTTTGGTGGCACGGCTTTGATATTAAGGAAGATGATGGTCAGAAAAAGAAAGCAGAAAATATCTTCTAATTTTGAACCCTACTTTATGTCAGGCACTATGCTAGCACAATACACACTAGAACTCTCTAAGGTAGATATTGTATTATTATTTCTACTTAAAATAAAGAGGCTGAGGTCCAGAAAGTAAATCTGAGTTCTGTGCCTATTTAATCTAGATGACCTCTGCTTACCTGCTTGCAGGGAGTGCACATCAAAGGAAGACTCAAGGTGGCAGGAAGCTTGCTGTTTATTTCAAACTTAAAATAGTGGCTGAAAGAGGGTGGTGATTTTGACCTCCTTGTGGAGCATGAGGAGCTCAGGAGAGCATCTCCTTCCCGGGCTTTCAGAAAGTTGTTTCATTTCTTAGGTGGTAACCTATTATATAGACCTTCCTTGGTAAAGTCTTTCCACCTTTCAGCTATTCTCCATCAGCTGCTCACCATGATTCTTGGGAGAAGGCAAAACCTATGGGAAATTTAATGTGGTATCTGGCACAGAGTAGGCACTGAAGGCTTGGCAGTTTCCTTACCCAACTACTTTCTACCCCAACTTAGTGTGCTAACTGTATACTAGCTTTCTTTTTCTCTTCCTTGCTGTATTGTCCTGTCCCATCTCCTCTGCTCTCCCACAGGGAGTCTAGACTTACCTGTTTTCTCTCAGCAGAGAATTTCCCATCCTCTCAGTCCTCTCAGGGCTTCCCCTCCGTCCCTTTACCACTTCCTTCTTGCCTTGTGCTCTGACAGGGCAACTCCTGACTTAAAGAAAGGGCTGTGTGGCTCTGGCCACCCGTGCAGAGACAGCAGAAAGGAGAAGGGTGTCTCTGCAGAGGGAAGGAAGAGGCTGGGGGAGGAGTGTTAGAGGCACGCATGTGCAGAATGTCCTAACATGTCAGTGCCTGAACCAACCTGGCTGTTGGCCATAACCAGCAACTACCCGTCAATGAGAGCTTCGAACCTCTGGGGAATCCCAGGTCTGAAATTACAGATGGGCCATGGGAGTTTTTCCACTACAGATATTTACGTTTATAAATCACGTTGTCTTCTTAGAAAAGTCAGAAGGAGGTTAAAACAGTCAAGCCACAGACCTGTAGAAAATATAGTATCAACAACTCTCAAATCTGAAAACAAACACCCAGTAACAAAATGGGCAAAATATTTGAACAGACATTTCACCAAAGGAACTATACAGATGAACATTAAAAGATGCTAAACATTGTAGTTATTAGGGAAGTGTAAATCAAATCCACAATGGAACACTTTTACATACTTATTACAATGGCTATAAAACCCTGACAATATCAAGTATGGCAAGGTATGCAAAGCAACTGGAAGTCTCATGCATTGCTGATGAGAATGCAAAATGACAGCCTTTTTGGAAAGAAGTGATAAGGACAGAAGGCAGGGCTTTACTGGGTAGAAGAGGGTGGTTCACTGGCAAAGGTCCCACCCTCAAGCCTTGAAACCGAAGCCCTAAATGAGAACAGTTATCCCTGTTATCCTGCCCAAATGTTACTCTTTAGCCTGTCCAGCCCCCCTATCCCGTGCCCATATAAACCCCAGACCTCAGCTGGCAGACAGACAAGCGGCTGAACATCAAGAGGAGAAGAAGCAACTGAGTGTCAGAGATGTGGCTTAACTTCAGGTGGCATGACTTCAGGGAGGAGCCCGGCCAGAGACAGCAGACTTCAGGGAAAGGTCACTTTCTTCCTGCACCATCCCCTTTGCAGCTCCCCTTCCACTGAGAGCCACTTCCACCATTTAATAAAATCGTCCACATCCATCAACTTTCAAACCATTCATGCAACCTGATTCTTCCTGGATGCTGAACAAGAACCTGGGTACCAACAGGGCAGGGTGTAAAAGGCTGCCACCCTGACTCTCCATTGAGTGGGTTAACACTTAGCTGTCCACGGATGGCAACTGCTAAAAGAGCATGAATTGTAACACATCCCTAAATGCTGCTGTTGGGCTGGAGCCCAAAAGTGCTCATCGAAGCCCTGGCACCCGCTTGCCTGCGTGCTCCCGCTCCCACAGAGAGTTTGAGCATGGTGGTGGCCAAGTAAGTAGGCCACACCCCTGTCGCAAGTCCCGAGAAGGGGTCAAGGGAACTCTCCCATCTCAGAAGTATGGCAATTTCTTATAAAATTGAACATAGGGTTACTGTACAACCTGGCAATTTCACTCCTAGGCATTTAGCCAAGTGAAACTTATGTCCTCTAAGACTGTGTGTACAAATTTTTATATGTGCTTTACTCATAATAGCCGAAATACCCTGGAAATAGCCCAACTGATCTTCATTGAGTGAATTGCTAAATAAGCTCTGTGTTATATTACATCCACACAACAGAATCCTGACCATCATTGAAAAGGAGTGGACTATTAATACATGCAATAACTTGGATCAATCTCAAATGCATTACACTAAGTGAAAGAGACCAGACTTAAAGCCTACCTTCTGTGACATTAGAGATAAGGTGAAACCACAGGAACAGAAAACATATTAGTGTTGCCAGGAGCAAAAGGTGGGGGAGGTGTTGACTTTCAAAGCACAGGAGGAAATTTTTTGTTGTTGTTCTTTATCTTGATTGTGTTAGTGCCCACATGACTGTATGCATTTCTCATAATTCACAGAACTGTATACTAATAAGGGTGCACTTCACTGCACATAAATGAATCTCAACAGACAAAAGGTTAAAAAAGAAAGAAATCTCGGGACAGGAATCATGGATTTTTGTATTATCCTTGTATTTGATGGTTGTTTCCAGTTTGGTCACTCATCTGTTTGTTCATTCCTTTAACAAGTATGTGTCGAGTGCCTACTATGTGCTGGGCACTGTAGGTTCAATGGTAAGAAAAGCAGATACAGGACTGCTCTTGTGAAGTTCCTTGAAAGAAATAAAACAAAGTGCAAAATATTTTATTGCTTGTCCTTGAGTAATGTAAAGGTCATATCTAAAACAGGCAGGAGAAGGATGGGGAGTGGGCTTAGAAGAAACAATTTCAGAGAAACTAGGGTACTAGCTGTGCAACCCCAGATTCATCTCACATCATTCTTATCCTTATGGCTGCTCTCCAAACTTCCTTTTGGCTCTGTGAGGGATTTCCAGGAGCACCTTATTAAAAATGGAAGATTTTATTATAAAAGATAAGCCATTATTGATCATTCACTTTTCTAAAAAAACACAAATGTGAGAATAAAATAAAAACACACAAGACTCACTAGCCCCTGCAAGACAGAAAGCAGCCCTGGACAGAGAGCCTCCTTATTATATACCTAATGCCTGAACTCACACATTCTAGGGTTTCATGTTTTGTTACCTCTTGCAAAGGATAGGAAACTGGCTAGAAAATTCATGTAAAGGAAGGTCACAACTTTAAAGCTATCTGACGCTAATGACTTGTATAATCTAGTTTGCAGCTCTGAGAGACAATATCAAATAAGCATTGTCAAATACTACTCCCACCTAACCTTTGCTGTCATTGTTCTTTGAAATTATCTTTGGGATTGGTTATGTTCTCTCACTGTAGCTTTCGTTTATCTCAGAGCACACACCCTAATGTCCATGTGCAGTCTCCATGCTCAAGTATTCCAGAATACAATTTTCTGGAGTCTAACTTCAGTTGACACCTGACTCCAAATTGCAAATCTACCTCCAACCAAAAAGAAATGAGAAATTAGTTTTTAAGGGCAATTAGCAAATATATTACAAAAATAATTTCAGATAAACGCTATGTGACAAATGGTGCTGTCAAGTCCTCTTATGTGAATACTAGTCATTGTTTGTCTTGAGAAAATGTGTGCAGTGGAGGATATCTTCTTGGCATATAAAAGGGGAAGATTTCTTTCTGTTTTAGTAATCTCTTTAGGGGATTGCCTGTGGTGTGCATTACATTCTGGTTGAATATTCAGAAATAAAAGTGTTTTCTTTCTCTTCTATTTTTGTGGTGAGGTTTTCTGAAATAGCAGGAGATTTTGCTTTTAATTCTATTTCCCCAATAGTAGCTCCATTAATTTTTTTCATGAATCCCTCATGTAATTGACTCTAGGAAAGATGTTAGGGTGGTAAATTTTCTTATTCTGTAAATATTTGAAATTCAGGAAAACCCTCCCATCAATAAATTAAATGAAGCATTGAAGTAAAAAAGAATATTCTTAACAAAGCTTATATTGAAAATCAGGTTTCCACAGCATATAGATCTAAGAAACCTGGGGGTACCCTTGTCTGTTTCTCCTATTCTCCTCTTTCAAAACCATTTCCTTTCCCAGGCTGGATAATTACAATAAAAAATAGAGTATGTGTTCCAAATTATTGAATGCTTCTTCCTTGTGTATGGAAAATCTGGGATGACAACCAGTGGTCTGCCATTTTGTGTACGAGAAAAAGAGGTATGTATGTGTGGGAGTCGGAAGGAATCTTGGTATACTATTATAACTAACCTCTCTCTTCCCTATTACCTTCAGAAAAAAAGAAAAACAATCAATCTAACCTAAAAGTGCCCCTTCCTCAGTGGCCTCAGCACATTTTGCACTACCTAGAGGCTAGCAGCAGGGGACCAGAATGTCTTAGCATTGTGAAAGAGAGACCACATGGACAGGGTGCTTAGCCAGTGAGTAGGGCTATTGTTGACTTCCCACCAGTATGAATGAACAGATCCTAGACCCTAGTTGGGGCAGCCTGAGCAGACACAGCCTGGATGCTGCTCCATGTGTGGCTTAATTAGTTCCACTATTGTCTAAAAGAGTCTTTGAGTCCAGAGAGCCATGGTAGGGTGAGTTGGAAATCAATCTGCCCATTGTAATTTAGGGGAAGGTTAGGAATTGCTTTCAAGCTTCTGTTTTACTCAGGCCGCTAGATGGAGAAGCTGAGCTGTGGAAGTGTTAGCTATCAATCACTTGTGTAAAGTAGCATGAAAGAGCAGGATATTTATAATAGATTTACTGCTGTAAAACTGACTCTGGACTATAAATAATATATCTCCTCTCCGTAAATGAGTAGAGCAACACACCCCCACACAAAGAAGCCCAGATAACAAATCTTTGAATCATAGATTCACTCTTTATTCTTCTCAGTGTTTAACTCCAGTGCCTAACACGTGTAAGAAACTACATTTCTAACACATGTAAGAAACCGTATGTGTTGAATTGGAAATAAAAGCCTGGATATTTGTAAGCAGATGATAGGGAAATCAGAGAACGTTTGGGTTGAGATCTTTAAATTTACTTTCCTATCCTTTGGCATTGCTGTAAAGAATTAATGACCAATGACTGTTTTGCTATATCCTTTGAAGATCATAGAAAAGTATAATTACAATAAGTATTTGTTGAGAGCTTTCTAATAATCCAGTAATTCTGTTAAATGCTTTAGATACAATTTCTAATTTCTTCATGTAAGAATTCTGTGGAATAAATACCATTTCCTCTTTGTTGTAGATGAGAACACCAGGCTCAAGTGACTTGCTCAAGGATATCCCAATAGGAAGTGACAGAGCTAAGATATAAGTTCAAACGGGGTGTGGATATATCTATTTGTTGTCCTATTTAATAAGTACTCATAGAAAGACGTCTTAGCTTGACTTTGAAACCTGGTCTACATCACTCCAATGTGTCAATAAGGAGCAGTATATTTGCATGTAGTGTGTCAAGGCTTCCCAGTTCTTACGCAGTTTTCACAATCTGGGCTGGCCTCAGCACAAGGCACGTTAGAGACCTTTAGGGTAAGAGTGAGTGATAAGAGTGATTCTAGATACTCCTGCAGTTTCAAAGGCCTAGATGGGATAATTCTAGCCCTAGCCCTAGCCCAAGCCCAGTCACTTTCTGGCAATGGTGAAATGAGGGAAGGGAATTAGGAGAACTAATTATACAGAAAGAAAATTATTTTGGGGCATTTTATTTTGGGAAAAGAAGTGGTTTATTTAAGATTTCTTACAGAACCAGGAGTCAAATAGCTTAGTTAAGACTTCCCTATTCTGCTTCCCTTTAAAAGAGGGCAAAGGCTGCATGGTGAGAGAGTACTGAGGAATCTTCCTGAATAGAACTTTCTACCTATATACTTTGTGATACAGAATATGAGCTGATTAGTGGTCCTAGCTAATGTCAGATAGTTGTGTGTTTGAAAACTGTAACTATTAATTGCTGCTATTCCATATAAAAAATATTTTGTTTTAAAGAGGAGATAACAGAGTTTCAGTAACTCTCTAGGTGAACGTTGGGGTTAGACTTTTGCTTTGTGGTGAAGAGATTTCAGCACATAGCTCCATTGGCTTTGCAGGAGCCATGGTAATCCAGAGATGATTGCCTAGAAACAGAATGGGAACTTTTTCAGTTCACTGGGAATGCTCTCCTAGCTGTAACCACCAGGAGGGTGGGACAGCACTTCTCTGAGAATAAATGACCCTTGGGAAGAATGTTTCTTCATTTGCAAAGTTTCCTGTTTTTCATTAGTAAAACTAATATAGAACATGGAAGATAAGTCAAATATCTGCAGAAAAAGTACAAACCAGGTTTAAGCATTATAAAAGTTAAAGAATAAAGCTAAATTACAAAAATATTCAAGGGTCAACAGACCAAGGAAAGCCTTTTATATAAAAATTTTAAAAGCAGACAATATTCTGGGCATTGTAAGCAAATAAACAGCTTTCCTCTGAAGAGCCAAATGAAAGTGAGCTCTAAGAACCTTCCTCAGCCAAAGTCTGTACATTACATTCTTTCAGGTAAAAACAGAGCCCTAGGCACACAACCCACCATGCCCTGAAGATGAGGCTGGTTATATACATCATGCATGGTACCAGGATTTTATATTCCAGTGTCTTGTGTAGTGGCCTTTTCCCACAGGGAGATGTTTACAATCCAGTACACAAACCTAGTCCATGACATTGACAATAACTAATATAATGGAGTGTATGCAATACTTCTTCAATGGCTTAAATTTCCATGATAAAATCTAAATAACTTAAAAAGCATTACACTGATTGTGCTTGGAGGATTTAAATCCATGTCATCATGCCTAGCTGTGTGACTTTGAGCAATTTATTTGTGTGCTCTAAGCCCCATTACTTCCTTGGCAAAATGGGACTAATGATGGTAAGTACCTCCCAAAATTCATATGATGACTGCATAAGCTAATGAGGGAAAAGCACTCAGAATAGCGTATCAGAAGACACATTAGGCTCTCTGTAAGTAACATTAGGCTCTCTGTAAGTAACAGCTACTGTTGGTGGAGAACACTTCTTCCCTCTCTAGGTCCTTGCTCTAGATCAAGGGCTGAAATCTCCATTGCCTTTATATTGCTGCCCATCTTCATTTTCTCATTTGTTCTACTGAAGTGCGGTGGTTTATTTGGTTGATGTATTTGGAAGTAGAGCCTGGACATTCTGTGTTAATCCCCTTCTTCTTGATACTTTTTGGAGTAAATTTACTCTTAGAAATCTTGCATTTTCTACTGTTCTCAGCTATGCATTAAGCTTAATGACAAATGCCTACAGCAGTCAATCTTTTCAGTTCTAGGGAAAAGAAGGCAACCACCTTATCTAATGTCAGCTCCATCAGTAATAATGGTGAGCTTGTGAATGTTTTAATCTCTATCTGCTTTAACCCTTTATCATAATTTTCAGTTGGTTCAGAACTCAGGAGAGGAGGGGTACTCATTAATGGGGTTCCTTAAACACTTAACAGCTGTCAGGTAATTATCACTGGGAAAAAACTGGTTAAGGTTAGTTTTGGAGAGAAGTGGTAGCAGTTTGATTTGACTTTGTCAACAGAAACAAACCAAGTTGTCTTTTCCACAAGGACACTTTTGTGACAGGAGTTGCCATACTTGGCTTCTAAAATGTGCCCACCACCAGTTATTTGGCATAGCATTCAGATTTCTAGACCCCCAGGTGGAAGTCTGACTCTGAAGACTTATCTTTAAATATATATTTTTTTTTTTTTGGAGATGGAGTCTTGCTCTTTCACCCGGGCCAGACTGCAGTGGTGCTATCTCAGCTCACTGCAAGCTAAATTTTTATTAATTCTTCAGATATCTATTTAGGGCTTACCATATTAGGGGGATATGTGTTATAACTTGTTTTCAAATCTCTGCTCTGCCTCTTCCTAGTTGTAAGATTTTCAGTTTACTCATTCATAAATTGGGAATAATTGTACTTACCTTATATGATTGTTACAAAATGAGTTCATCATAACTGTATGGCATGTGTTGTATGCCTAACATACAGAAAGCATGCACTAATTCTTCACTGTTAAGACTATTATCTAAAATTACATACTAGGCATTGTGCTTGTTGCTGTGAGTATAATGGTGAATAAAGTGATTACTGAAAGTTTCACTCAGGGCTAAGTTGCCTGATTCAGTCTGAATCAGTTTTCATTCCTCACTATTATAATTCTCTGAGAGCTACCGAGATGAGTGAAGTACAATGAGTGACAAAAATCAATACTTGGATCAAGAACAGCATTTAAACTATATTTTAATACATTTTATTTTTCATAAAGTGAACCAAACCATTATTGCTGTAAGAGCAATATGCAAAATATCTAGATGGCTATAAACTTATTTTCTGGCTTTAAGACTAAAATTTACTCTAAGATTTTCTAAAATGTTTTGTATATTTAAAATAACAAATATTTTAAATCAAGGAAATTTTGCAAAAAGTATATATGTTGAACTGCTGGTTTCAAGGTCCAAATTTCTTTTCTGCTTAGCACCAAGATCATCCACACAGGATCCAACCTGAAGTTACTCCTTCTTGATGTAGGGAAGTGTGTTTCTGCAGCAGGAGGCCTCTCATAGCCACAGCATTAATACATGCTTCGGTCTTCTTAACAGTCTTACTCTTTCCTAATAGAAGCGGAAAGAAAAAACAAAAACATAGAGGGCTTTTGAATCTTTCAATATTGACTTACAACCCAGAATAGGATGTACTAGAGGGTCAATTTGACTCCCATAAGACACACTTGGTCATTTTTGTTAAGGCCAAGGAAGGAAATTGAGCAAGTGAGTGTGAATCCCTTGTCACTCATAGAGTGGTGGCAGAATGATTTAACCTAGGAGTCAGAGTCTGAGAAGCCACTGAAGCGTGCTAAAATGAACAGGCATAGTTTATGGATTGTCAGGAGGAGGATTGTCCATTGTGAGAAGCATTGACTTAATCCATTACCACTCATTGAGCTTCAGTTCTGACTATAAAAACCCCCTTCATCAAACCAGTATTGCTGAACGTAAAGGGTGTTAAGAAGAAATAAATAACTTTCACATAATTTATATTTCAATAATGTTTAATAGTTTCATAATCATGCTTTTTATTATAAAATCAATAGAACTGCATAAAATAAGAGAAGTGATCAAAACCACTCCTATTCTCATCCTTCTAATTCCATAATTAAATAACTTGTATTGATCTTTTCTAGACCCTTTTCATGTTGAAAGATGTATATATATTGTATGTTGCATATTTTGCCTTCCTCTTCATATTTTACATTGATCTATACAACCAACCCTTTTAATGGTTGCACAATATTTCCTCATATGGATGTTCTGTAGACAATCTCGTTGTTAGACACTTGGGCTCTTTCGTCATTAGAAGTAGTAGTGCCTTGGACGTTTTGTACACATTTACTGTAAGAATAATTTACTTTGGATTAATCCCTAGAAGCATAATCACTAATTCAAAGTGTGTGAGCATTCTTATAACTTTGTTACAAGTTGTTTTTACTCTTCTACCAGCAAAATATGAGAAAACCAATATCCCTCAGTTTTCATCTATTTCCTCTTCTGTTTCAAAGGAAATAGATGTTACCAATGAATAAAAAAGTTGTCAATTAAAAAAGCAAATGTTAATAATTTTTTTTAAATTCTGCATTTCTTAGATTACTATTTTCTCCATTGTTAGGTATTGTCTTTTACTTGAATTGCTTATTCATAAGTTTGCCTGTTGAAATTACAGTGTTTTCCTAATCATGTTGTACACATTAGTCCAAAGTAAAGATATTGATCTTATTGTAAGCAATTAATTCTTTTTTTGGACCATTCTTGAACTGCTTTTATTATTATAGGATTATATAAGAAACTGCTGACTTGGGTGTCCTCCTGCCAAGAAGATTATCAATCTCCAGCACCTCCTTGTATTTCCTTCTGCTTTCTATGACAGTATTACTTTTTTGAGGTAAAAGAGATCAATGCATTAAACATTACCTAAATCATTCTGACTTAAATTCAATATACAAAAAAGAGAATATCTTCTGATAATATATGAAAGTATTCTTTGGGCAATAATAAAAAAAAATCCTTTTCTTTCCAATTTTTATTTTAGATTCCAGGGATACATGTGCAAGTTTGTTACCTGGGTATATTGCGTGATGCTGGGCTTAGGATTCAAATGATTCCATCACCCAGGTACTGAGCATAGTACCCAGTAGTTAGTTTTTCAACCCTTGACCCCTCCCTCCCTGCCCTCTGTAGAAATCCCCAGGGTCTAATGTTGCCATCTTTATATCCATGAGTACCCAATGTTTAGTTCCCACTTACAGGTGAGAACATGCAATATTTGGTTTTCTTTTCTTGTGTTAATTTGCTTAGGATAATGGGTTTCAGCTGCATCCATATTGCTGCAAAGGACAGGATTTGGGTCTTTTTTATGGCTGTATAGTATTTCATGGCATATATGTACCACATTTTCTTTATTCAACCCACCACTGATGAGCACCTAGGTTGATTCCATGTCTTTGCTATTTATTGTAAGTGGTGCTACGATGAACATGCAAGTGCATGTGTCTTTTTGGTAGAATAATTTGTGTATATATATATATATATCTCCAGTAATGCCATTGCTGCATCAAATGGTAGTTCTGTTTTAAGTTCTTTGAGAAATCTCCAAACTACTGTTCATAGTGGCTGAACTAGTTTACATTCCCACCAACAGTGTATACATGTTTCCTTTTCTCTGCAGCTTCATCATATCTGTTGTTTTTGTCTTTTTAGTAAGAGTCATTCTGAATGGTGTGAGGTAGTATCTCATTGTGGTTTTGATTTGCATTTCTCTAATGATTAGTCATGATGAGCACTTTTTCATGTTTGCTGGCTGCTTGTACGTCTTCATTTGAGAAGTGTCTGTCTATGTCTTTCATGCATTTTTAATGGGGTTGTTTTTTGCTTGTTCAATTGTTTAAGTTCTTTATGGATTCTGGAAATTAGGCCTTTGTTGGATGCACAGTTTGGGAATATTTTCTCCCATACTGTAGGTTGTCTGTTTATTCTATTGATAGTTTCTTCTGCTGTGCAGAAGCTCTTTAGTTTAATTAGGTCCTACTTGTCAGTTTCTGTTTTTGTTGCAATTGCTTTTGAAGACTTAGTCATAAATTATTTGCCAAGGCCAGTGTCGAGAATAGTGTTTCCTAGGTTTTCATCTAGGATTCTTATGGTTTGAGGTCTTACATTTAAATCTTTAATCTGTCTTGAGTGAATTTTTGTATATGGTGAAAGGTAGGGGAAAGAATGAAATAGTTTCAGTTTCATTCTTCTGTATATGGCTAGCCAGTTATCCTAGTACCAGTTATTGAATAGGGAGTCCTTTCCCCATTGCTTGTATTGTCAACTTTGTTGAAGATTAGATGGTTGTAAGTGTGGGGCTTTAGTTATAGGTTCTCTATTCTGTTCCATTGGTCTATGTGTCTGTTTTTGTACCAGTACCATGCTGCTTTGATTACTATGCCTTATAGTATTGTGATGCCCTGGCTTTTTTTTTTTTTTTTTTTTTGAGACAGAGTCTCGCACTGTCGCCCGGGCTGGAGTGCAATGGTGTGATCTTGGCTCACTGCAACCTCCGCCTCCTGGGTTCAAGCAATTCTCCTGCCTCAGCCTCTTGAGTAGCTGGGATTACAGGTACCCACCATCAAGCCCAGCTATTTTTTTGTATTTTTAGTAGAGACGGGGTTTCACCATGTTGGCCAGGCTGGTCCCAAACTCCTGACCTTGGCGTCCTAAAGTGCTGGAATTACAGGTGTGAGCCACCACACCCGGCCATTTTTTTTCTAATTCTGTGAAAAATTATATTGGTAATTCAATAAGAATAGTGTTGAATCTGTAGATTGTTTTGGGCAGTATGGCCATTTTAACAATATTGATTCTTCTAATCCACAAGCATGGAATGTTTCTCCATTTGTTTATGTCATCTGTGATTTCTTTCAGCAGTATTTTGTCATTCTCCTTATAGAAATCTTTTACCTCCTTGGTTGCATGTATTCCTAAGGTTTGTGTGTGTGTGTATATATTGTAAATGGGAGTGTGTTCTTGACTTGGCTCTCAGCTTGAACATTGGTGTATGGAAATGCTACTGATTTTTGTACATTGATTCTGCATCCTGAAACTTTGCTGAAGTTGTTTGTCACCTCCAGAAGCCTTTTGGTAGAGTCCTTAGGGTTTTTTAAATATAAAATCATATTGTCTGTAAAGAGAGATAGTTTGACTTCTTTTTCTTTTTTGGATGACTTTATTTCTTTCTTTTGCCTAATTGCTTTGGCTAGCATTTCTAGTATTATGTTGAATAGGAGTAGTGGGAGTGGACATCCTTTTCTTGTTCCAGTTCTCAAAGGGAATGGTTCCAGCTTTTGCCTATTCAGTATGATGTTGGCTGTGGGCTTGTCCCAAAAATAATAGGAGCTTGATGGCTCCTATTATTTTGAGGTGTGTCCCTTCAGTGCCTAGTCTGTTGAGGCTTTTTATCATGAAGGGATGTTGGATCTTATCAAAAGCTTTCTCTATGTCTATGGAGATGATCATATGGTTTTGTTTTTGATTCTGTTTATGTGGTGAACCACAGTTATTGATTTGCTGGATGTTGAACCAGTCTTGCATCCCAGAAATAAAGCCTACTTGATCGTGGTATATTAACTTTCTGATGTGCTGCTGGATTTAATTTGCTAAAATTTTGTTGAGGATTTTCACATCTATGTTGATTGGGAATATTGGCCTGTAGTTGTCTTTTTTCATTGTGTTTTGCCAGGTTTTGATATCAGGGTGATGCTGGCTTTGTAGAATGAGTTAGTGAGGAGTTCCTTCTCATTGATTTTTTGAAATAGTTTCAGTAGAATTAGTACTAGCTCTTCTTTGTATATCTGGTAGAATTTGGCTGTGAATCCACCTGCCCTTGGCTTTTTTTTTTTTTTTTTTTTTTGGTTGGTAGGTTCTTTTTTATGGATTCAATTTTGGAACCTGATATTGGTCTGTTCAGTTTTTCAATTTCTTCCTGATTCAATCTTGGGAGATTGTGTGGTCCCAGAAATTTACCTATTTGATATGGTTTGGCTGTGTTTCCACCCAAATCTCATCTTAAATTCCCACATGTTGTGGGAGAGACCCGAAGGCAGATAAATGAATCGTGGGGGCAAGTCTTTCCTGTGTTGTTCTCATGATAGTGAATAAGTCTCACGAGATCTGATGATTATATAAGGGGGAGTTTCCCTGCCCAAGCTGTCTTCTCTTGTCTGCCACTATATGAGATGTGTCTTTCACCTTCTGCCACGATTGTGAGGCCTCCGCAGCCACGTGGAACTGTAAATCCAGTAAACCTCTTTCTTATGTAAATTGCCCAGTCTCAAGTATGTCTTTATCAGCAGCAGAAAAACGGACTGATACACCATTTCTTCTACATTTTCTAGTTTGTGTATGTAGAGGTGTTCATAACAGTCTCCAAGGATCTTTTGTATTTCTGTGGGATTGGTTATAACGTCACCTTTGTCATTTCTGATTGTGTGTATTTGGAGCTTTCTTTTTTTTTTTAATCTAGCTAGTGATCTACTGATGTTGTTTATCCTTTCAAAAAACCAACTTTATTTCCATTGATTCTTTGTGTGGACTTTTATGTCTTAATTTTGTTCAGTTCTTTTCTGATTTTAGTTATTTCTTTTCTTCTGCTAGCTTTGTAGCTCATTTGTTCTTGTTTTTCTAGTTCCTAAGGGGTGAAATTAGATTGTTAATTTGAGATCTTTCTAACTTTTGAGGTAGGCATTTAGTGTTATAAACTTTATGCTTAACACTGGTTTTGCTGTATCCCAGAGACTTTGGTATGTTGTGTCTCTTTCATTTATTTCAAAGTTGTTTTTGATTTTTGCCTTGATTTAATTGTTTACTCAAACATCATTCAGAAGTCAATTGTTTAATTTCCATGTAATTGTGTGGTTTTGAGAGATCTTCTTGGTATTCATTTCTATTTTTATTCCACTGTTGTCCAAGAATATGGTTGGTATGATTTTGATTCTTTTGAATTGATTGAGACTTGCTTTATGGCTGAGCATGTGGTCAATCTTGGAATATTTTTTGTGTGCGGATGAGAATAATATACATTGTGGTTGATGGGTGGCGTATTCTGTAGATGTCTATTAGGTCCAAGTGTTGAGTTAAAGTCCAGAATTTCTTTGTTACTTTTCTGTCTCAATCTGTCTAATACTATCAGTGGGGAGTTAAAGTCCCTCACTAGTATTGTATGACTATCTAAGCCTTTTCATACACCTAGAAGTATGTGTTTTATGAACCTAGGTGCTCCAATATTGGGTGCATATAAATTTAGGATGATTAAGTCTTCTTTTTACATTGAACCCTTTATCATTACATAATGCATTTCTTTGTCTTTTTTACTGTTTCCTATTTAAAGTCTGTTTTATCTGATATAAAAATAGTGACCCCTGCTCTTTTTTGTTTTCCATTTGCATGGTAGATCTTTCTCCAGCCCTTTACTTTGAGCTCATTGGTGTCATTATGTGTGAGATGCGTTTCTTGAAGGATAGGTCTTGTTTTTTAAATTCAACTTGCCCCTCTATGCCTTTTACGTGGGGGTGTTTACACCATTTACATTCAAGATTCATATTGATATGTAATTTTGATCCTATTGTGAAGTTGTTAGCTGTGTATTGTGCAGTTTCTGTTGTGTTTTTGTTTTATATGGCCTGCAAGGTATGTACATGGGTGAGTTTTTGTGGTAGCAGTTGCCATTCTTTTCTTTCCTTGTTTAGAACTCTCTTAACAGTCTCTTGTAAGGATGGTCTCATGGTAATGAATTCCCTTAGCACTTTCTTGTCTGGAAAGTTAATTTTCCTTTGCTTATAAAGCTTAGTTTGGCAGGATATGAAATTCTTGGTTGGAATTTTCTTTCTTTCAGAAAGATGAATATAGATCCCCAGTCTCTCCTGGCTTGTAAGGTTTCTGGTGAGAAATCTGCTGTTAGCCTCATGGAGTTCCCATTGTATGTTATCTACCCTATTTCGCTGACTTTAAAATTTTTTCTTTGGCACTGACCCTGGACAGTCTGGTGACTATATGTGTTGGGGACGTTCATTTTGTATATTGTCTCTAGGTTTTTGTATCTGGATGTCTACATCTCTAGCAAGATTAAAGAAGTTTTCTTGAATTATTTCCTGAAATATATTCTATAGGTTGTTTGACTTTTCTCCTTCTCTAGGGAATGCCAATAATTCATAAGTTTGATTTCTTTATATAATCCCATATTTCTCAAAGACTTTGCTCATTTTTAAAATTCTTTTAAACTTTATTTCAGGCAGACAGGGTTAGTTCAAAAGAGTGGTCTTCAAGCTCTGAAATTCATTTTTCTCTTTGGTTTAGTCTATTGATAACATTTTCAATTGTATTTTCAATTTTTTTAGGTGAGTTTTCCAATTCCAGAAGCCCTGATTGATTTCTTTTTAAGGTGTTTATCTCTTCTTTCATTTCCTGGATTGTTTTAAGGTTTCTTTGTGTTGATTTCCAGCTTCATCTTGGATCTCATTAAGCTTCCTTATAATCCATGCTTTGACTTCCTTATCTGTATCTCTGAGTTTACATTTTGGTTAGGGACCATTGCTGGAGAGCTAGTGAAATCCTTTAGTGGTGTTACTACATTTAGATTTTTCATGGTGCCAGAATTCTTGCATGGGTTCCTTCTCATCTGGAGACACTGGCACTTCTAATTTTTGTAATTCTTTTCATGTGAGTAGAATTTTCCTTTTTCCCTTTAATAATATTATTATTTGTTTATATTTTATTTTTTCCCTTCCCTTTTCCCCCACTCCCTAGGGGGTATGACCATAGAGAATGCTGTTTTGGCTTTGCTACTGTAGCTCTATGTCTTAATAAAACTTTTGGCAGGTTTTATATTGGGCTGTGCAGTTCATCGTACAAGCCTGTAGATGGTACTTACAGTAAGAGCTGGCTGTAGCCAATGTGTTTAGGTATATACTTGACCCGTGTTTACTGGCAGAAACTATTGTTTTAGGCAATGGGCTAATTCCTAATATGCACAGTGGTCTGAGCTCCCTGCTCAGCCTTGAGGGGATGGGGAGTAGGAGCCAAAAAGGGTGTGTCTTGACTGGGCAGGTCTGTCTGCAGGTCTCTTGATAGCAGGCACAAGCACCAGTGCCAATAGAGAATCCAGTGAGTGTCCACCAGGTACTCACTGGTGTGCCTGGGCATGGAGTTGGGAAACCTTGGCTCTGAGTTCTCTGCACAGGGATGGGGGCAGCCTAAGCTCCTAATCTAGAAGAGTGGGTGCTTCAGATGCCTGAGATCTGCTTGTGTGTGGAGCAGAGATGGCCCCCCTGCACCAAGATCTCTGCACAGGAGGGGTAGGGTGACTCAGGCTGCTGGCCCAAGGAAGCAGGTGCTCTGAATGCTTGGAGATCTGTGTGAGCGTGGAGCAGAGAAGGTCCCCCTGTACCAAAATCTCTGCACAGGAAGTGGGGGGAGCAGTTGGGTCAGGCTGCTGATCCAGTGAGTGCATAGTCTGAATGCCTGGAGATCTGCCTGGTCATGGAGCAGAGAGTCCCACTGCTTCATGATTCTGGAAGGGTGGGGTGGCTCAGGCTGTTGAAACAGGTCAGTGGGTACTCTGAATGCCGGTGATCTGCCTGGGCATGAAGCAGAGAGAGAGTTCCCACACACCAGGATCTCTGCACAGAAAGGATGGGGTGGGTCAGGCTGCTGATCCAGTGAGTGAGTAATCCAAATGCCTGGAGATCTGCCTAAGTGTGGAGTAGAGAGAGCCCTGCTATACCATGATCTATGTGCAGAAAGGATGGGGTGGCTCAGGCTCTTGAACCAGGCAAATGGGTGCCCCAAATGTCTGGAGATCTCCCTGGGCTTGGAGCAGAGAGAGCCCTGCTGCACCACAATCTATGTCTAGGGAGGATGGCATAGCTTAGGCTGCTGAACCAGGTGAATGGGTATTCCAAATGCCTGGAGGTCTGCCTGGGTGTGGAACAGAGAGCCCCACTGTACCATGATCTATGTCCAGAAAGGGTTGCATGGCTCAAGCTGCTGAACAAGGCAAATGGGTGCTCTGAACACCTGAGATCTGCCTGGGTGGGGAGCAGAGGGAGCCCCACTGCACCATGATCTGTGTCCAGGAAGGGTGGGATGGCTTAGGGTGCTGAACAGGGTGAATGAGTGCTCCACATACCTGCATTTCTACCTGGAGGTTGAGCAGAAAGGGCCCCACTGCACCACAATCTCAGGGGAGCAGGGTAAGGCACTCAGCAATGGCACATACAGATAAGTTTGTGGTTGCCAAGCTGGCCCTGGCTGCAAGTCTCACTACCCAGAAGAAATTACAGCTGTAGCAGTTTTCCTCCTACCCCAGACTTGCAATGGGAAAAAGCACAATTCTAGCACCTACTGTTGAGGCACTTCCCACAATTCTGGCAGTGAAGGCTCCTACCCTGCTCCAGAACAGGGTGTTCAATCTCTGGCCTGAGACTAAAATGCCTGTATAGCCATGCTGCTGAGTCACCCAAAAATGACTGACTTTTTATGTGACCGGATTAAAAATGGCATCCTGCTCTCATCCCAGGTCTGGGAAAATGTCTACAGCTTTCTCCAGTGCCTTTCTCCTAAGTTAACTCGAGGGCTAGGGGAGAAACAAAGTGGTCTCTCTTGGCCTGGGTTGCATGGCTCTCCAGTAGAAAGATGAGTCACAAAGGGAAGCTCTCTACTTCTCTCATATACTGGGGCTTCACTCACTTTTATGAGGTAGATACTGTCATGGGAGTGCTGTTTGCCACTGTTCTTCTCTCTGGGATCTGGGGTGTCCCTCATGATTCCAGTGGGATTCCCATCTTCCTTCTTGAATTGTAGCTCACGGAGATAATTTTTATGCACTATCTTGCTACTTCAAAGTGGCTGAGGCACATTGAAAGCCTCTAATCCGCCATTAAATTCATCTTGCAAATACTTTTTTATAGGGTATTTTAAGCTTTTAAATCTACTTTTAAATATGGCCATATTTTAAAATATGGAGGTGGCATGGAAGAAATATATATATATATAAAATATATATATAAAAATACATATATATATATAAATACATATACATATATATATATATATAAATACATATACATATATATATATATATATATTTTTTTTTTTTTTTGAGATGAAGTCTCACTCTGTTGCCCAGGCTGGAGTGCAATGGCGTGATCTCGGCTCACTGCAACCTCCGCCGCCCAGGTTCAAGCGATTCTCCTGCCTCAGCCCCCTGAGTAGCTGGGATTACAGGCATCTGCCACAGCGCCTGGCTAATTTTTGTATTTTTAATAGAGATGGGGTTTCACTACCTTGGTCAGGCTGGTCTTGAACTCCTGACCTCGTGATCCACCTGCCTTGGCCTATCAAAGTGCTGGGATTACAGGCGTGAGCCACCGCGCCCAGCCTGAAGAATTACATTTTTAAAATGGAGATAAACCTATTTATCTGATGGCTTTTATTTTTTAACTTAGTGATATGATTTATGTAACATAAAATCATATAAAGCATACACACACAAATATTTCCCCATAGATACATTTTGAACAGTTAACTGTCGGACTGTCCTCCTCATTGTTCCCCAAAGGTCTTGCTTTCTTTTATCCTCTCTTGTGAATATCCTCTTCCTTTCTTTACAAAGACTTTGCTCATTCTCACAGCCAGCCATTTCTCTCTTGAATTCCTTTAACTTCAGCTGGTGTTATCCACAGTGTATCTTTTATGGTAGTTTAATTGCCTTCTGGTAGGTTTTGTCTTCTTAACTAGAACATAAACACTTGAGAAGTGAAGTCATAACTTATCTTTTTATATCTTCCAACAGTACATGGTAGCCTGAAAAATAACCTGCTAAATTGAGAGCAGCCAGTGTTGCATGTGAGATTAAGTGGCAGTATATAGAGAGGAAACCAGAATATTATGAAGTTTTCAGAAATCTAGATAAAGGAGTATTATTTTGAAGTTAATTCTCTAAATTACAACTTAGAAACACTGTAATTAGAAGAATCATCTGACTAGTGGAAAGAGCTATAATTCACACTATCACATAAAGGGCAAGTAACTTTGGCTTCAGTCTGTATCTCCAGGGACAGATGTGCTCCTGATCCTGTTGAGGAAACCAGAGTGGCTTACCTGACTTTCCTTAGGTTTATTCTAGGGGACTCCTTACAGTTGAACTTTGTCCCCAGCAGGGAGCAAGGCTGGGGACTCCTGGCAGTGGCGGCACTGTGTGCTCCATCCTGGGATTCAAAACACTTTGTTACTTGATGTCATGATAGGCCTTTTGAAGGGGGCCTGCCCCTCCACACCTGTGGGTATTTCTCGCAAGGTGGAGATGAGAGACTGAGAAAAGAAATAAGACACAGAGAAAAAGTATAGAGGAAGAAAAGTGGGCCCAGGGGACCTGCACTCAGCATAGGGAAGACCCGCACCGGCACTGGTCTCTGAGTTCCCTCAGTATTTATTGATCACTATCTCTACCATCTCGGAGAGGGGGATGTGGCAGGACTATAGGGTAATGGTGGGTAAAGGATCAGCAGGAAAACATGTGAGCAAAGGACTTTGTGTCATAAGTAAGTTTAAGGAAAGGTGCTGTGCCTCGATGTGCATGTAGGCCAGATTTATGTTTGACTTTACACAAACATCTCGGTGCAGTAAAGAGCAGTATTGCTGCCAGCATGTCTCACCTCCAGCCATGAGGCGATTTTCTCCTATCTCAGAAAATAGAATGTATGATCGGGTTTTACACCGAGACATTCCATTCCCAGGGACGAGCAGGAGACAGATGCCTTCCTCTGATCTCAACTGCAAAGAGGCCTTCCTCTTTCACTAATCCTCCTCAGCACAGACCCTGTATTGGTGTCAGGCTGGGGGACAGTCAGGTCTTTCCCTTCCCATGAGGCCATATCTCAGGCTGTCTCAGTGGGGAGAAACCTTGGACAATACCCAGGCTTTCTTGGGTAGAGGTCTCTGCGGCTTTCCACAGTGCATTGTGTCCCTGGGTACTCGAGACTGGAGAATGGCGATGACTTTTACCAAGCATACTGCCTGCAAACACATTTTTAACAAAGCACATCCTGCACAGCCCTAAATCCATTTAACCTTGAGTCAATACAGCACGTGTTTTTGCAAGCACAGGGTTGGGGCCAGGGTTACAGATTAGCAGCATCTCAAGGCAGAAGAATTTTTCTTAGTACAGATCAAAATGGAGTTTCTTATGTCTTCCTTTTTCTAGATAGACACAATAACAGTCTGATCTATCTTTCTTTCCCCCACACCTTTGGTGGACTTTTTATTATGTAAAGGGAAAGCCACAGTCCTGGGATGGTAATGATGAGGAAAGGGTTTAGGATCCTGGGAAGAGAACTGACTCTAACACAGCCAGGATCTAACTGCAGGGAGAAGAAGCATCTACTAAACAACACAATTTGATGATTTTCTTTATATGTCTTAATAGCTAACATTCCTGTCATTTAACAAACTTTCATTTTCACACTCCTGCTTCATTAACAACCACCATGCCATCATTCTTTTTTTAATTGATGGAAAAGCAGCACTGTTTGAGGCTAGGTACATGAAAAACATTAGCTTTCCTTCTTCAATCCCTCCAAATATGCTATTAAGGCAGCATTGTTAAAAAAAAAAAAAAAGATGGTCTTGTCAGTGGGCTCTAGAAGTCATCTAATATTTTATTTTAAATGTCCTCCTCATCTGTTTTTCTATTGTTATTTCCCTTTGTTATTCCCTAGCCTTCAGGAGCAGCTGTGTTTGGAAGAATTAGAATAGGTGCATGTATCCATGTTTTTTAGAGAATATGAGAAGAGTCAAAGACGTTTGGAGAAATAGTTTCCTGTATTAAGAAAGGGTGAGCCAAGAATAATGGAAACTGTGTAGGAATTGCTGGTTTGTGCCAAGGACTGTGCAGTGTACTTTTCATTTCTTTGATCTCTACAGAGGTGGGTATTGCTATTATCACTCTTTTATAGATGAAAAAATGATGCTTATGTAGGTTAAAAAATTTGCCGAAGGTCACGTGGCTATTAAGTGGTAGAATCTGAGTCAATTCCAGAAAGTCTCATACCAGAGCCCAGATTCTTGGCCCTTATGCTATTCTGCCATGAATTCCATTCAACAGGCAATAAATAGGAAAGGTTTGAGGAAACTTTTTCCCAAGAAGTCTCCAAAATCCTTTTGGGAGACAGTGAACATCCTTCTTTCATGAGGGATGGACACTTGGGTACTGGAGAACAGTGTTGTCCTCTTAAAAGCCAGGGCACTTGGATGAGGAACATCTTCAACTTATCACAGAACTTATGATCATCTTTTATTCAACATATATTTGTGAGGAGATGTTGGGGACAAAAGGAGTGTCTGTTCTCAGGTTTATGTCTAGTGCTAATAGAACAAATAGGCTTAATGGATGTAAAATATGTATTTAACAACTAAATATACAATTTTATGGCTTGTGTATTCATAGCAGACATTTATCAGATTCTGAGTATTATAATCAGCATCTTCTGGAGCAATATAAACAACTTGGCAGAGACTAAAACTAAAAATGAACTCTCCATTCCATCTGGAGTCCATACGATTCAGACACAGGTAGGATGATGTAGATTTGGTGGGGTATTTTCATTATATTTCTCTCTGCTCAGTTTCAGTTCCAGAGTCCTATAGTGTTTCACAGCTTGGAATCCTATTGTGAAGTTGGCTCAAGATTTTGAGGATCTCAAGATCCCCAGGGTCATAGAGGAATATGAAATTGATCAATATTTGTGGGACTTTCTGAATAATTTAGGTTAGCCGGGATATATTTTATTAGAGCATTTATTATTGAGCTCCTTCTTTCTGTCATGCACTGTAAACACAGGGCAAACTGCTTTCAGGCTTAAAGATCCCAAATGCATAGCTGAGGTAGCACTGAAAGAATTAAGGGTCAGTCCAGATTTTGGCATTCCAAGGGGGAGTGGAAAGGGCTTGGGTGTGCTACAACCGTAGCCATCCTGGTAGTGCCTGGTTGCTAATGTGATTCAAGACAGATCTTCTGGCATCCCTTGAACTTCGTTTTTCTTTGTCATTTCTCTAATATTTCCCTAAAAATAAGTATAATTTCCACTGTACCCAGTGCTAAAATAAGTGTTTTACACCAAAATCTACAAAATGACTAGCAGATGAACTTTTTCAGAATAAGAGAAACACATTGGTAGTTTCCATAAATTCTAGACTCTCTTTTACCCAAAATACAACTTTTAGAAAGGCTGCTTTAAATTTACCTCCTTAACATTTCTTTCTTCTTGAATGCCTTCTTCCAATGTTCCAACTGAACCTGATTAAAAAAAAAAAAAACAGTGTTAATTCAACCACTGAAGCAAGTGACTATTTCTATTAGTCCAACTATCAGATTAGATCAGATTCAAATCACACTCAGGACCTGTGATCTGAAATTGGTGGTAATCTCATTTGGTTAAAAAAAAGGGTCACATTTAAAAAAGTGATTATAAGTCTTTTATTATGGAGATGATATAATAAATGTGCAAAAAGTTTGGAAAGTAGAGCTACAAAATCATCTATCATTCCAATATCCCAAAATACTTTTATATTAATATGTATTGAGGGCCAGGCATGTTGCTAGCAATAAGGATACATAAGAAAGCAAAAGAATTAAGATCCATGTCTTCTAGGAGTTTTAAGTTAGTAAAACAGACAGACTAGCAAACATACAAAGAAATATGACGTGGTAAAAACAGGACTGTGTGTATGTTGGGCTATTGGAGCATGCAGGAGAGTCACATAGCGCAGTTTTGTGAATTTGGGATGTATCAGTGATGGCTGCTTGGAGAAAAAGCTGAGATTTCAAGGATAAGGAGTTAGCTCCATGAAATGAGGAGATGTGGGGAAGAGGATGTATAGAGAATTTCAGGAAAAATGAACAATATGGGGAAACGCTCAGGAATGGGAGGCCACCAGGTCTTTTATATCAGGTGAACCATTTGTAGTTTGGTATGGCTAGGTTTTAAAGTGTGGGGAGAGGAGGTAGCAGGTGAAAGAGCAGACGGTGAAGGGCCCAAAACCATGCCCTGTATATGCTTAATCATTTTTAAAAGCAGAGAATCAAGGTATTTTATTTTAATTTTTTTGACAATTTAAATATTTTATTGATATATATTAGCTGTACATATTTTGGGGGTACATATAATATTTTGATGCCTGTATACAGTGGGTAAAGATCAAATCAGAATAATTGGGATAACCATCACCTCAAACATTTATCTTTTTTTTTGTGTTGGGAAGATTACAATTCTTCTCTTCTGGCTATTTGGAAATATACAATATTTTTTTAACTATGATTACCGTACTATTGAATACTAGAACTTTTCCCCTCTAACTGTATTTTTGTGTACCCCTTAGTCAACTATTCTTCATCATCTCCTTTCCCTTTCCTTCTCAGTCTTTGATAACTATCATGGTACTCTATACTTCTATGAGATCCACTTTTTTAGTGCCCACATATGAATGAGAACATGTCGCATTTGTCTTTCTGTGCCTGGATTATTTAGCTTAAGATAATGACCTCTAGTTTCAAACACATTGCAGCAAATGAGAGAATTTTATTGTTTTTTTAATGGCTAGATAATATTCCATTGTGTATATACACACATACACACATATACACACTGCAT
This sequence comes from Homo sapiens, assembly GCF_000001405.40. Taxonomy (NCBI): domain Eukaryota; kingdom Metazoa; phylum Chordata; class Mammalia; order Primates; family Hominidae; genus Homo; species Homo sapiens. The sequence goes on from NC_000003.12 coordinate 112,156,404, forward strand.
TTTCTTTATCCATTTGTTGATGAACACTTATGTTGATTTCATATCTTGGGTGTTATGAACAGTGCTGCAATAAACATGGGAGTGAAGACATCGCTTCAACATACTGATTTTATTTCTTTTGAATATATACCCAGCAGTGGGATTGCTAGATCATATGGTAATTCTCGTTTTAGTTTATTTTTTTTTAAAGAAACACTGTACAGTTTTCCATAATGGCTGTACTACTTTACATCTCCACCAATAGTGTACAGGTGTTCCCCTTTCTTGGTGTATTTGCCAGTATTTTAAATTTTTTGTCTTTTTGACAGTAGTCATTCTAACTAAGGTGAAATGATATCTCATTGTGGTTTTGATTTGCATTTCTCTATTTTTAGTGAAGTTGAGCATTTTTTCGTCTATCTGTTGGTCATTTGCATGTCTTCTTTTGATAAATGTCTCTTCAGATCTTTTGTGTATTTAAAAATCAAGTACTTGTGTTTTTGCTATTGAATTATGTTCCTTATATATTCTGGTTATTAATACCATGTCAGATGAATAGTTTGCAAATATTTTCTGTTATTCTGTAGGTTGTCTCTTCACTTTGTAGACTGTTTCCTTTGTTGTGCAGAAGCTTTTTAGCTTGATATAATCCCACTTGTTTATTTTGGCTTTGGTTGTCTGTTCTTTTGTGGTCTTAGGCAAAAAAATATTCAGGCCAATGTCCTATAGCATTTTCCCAACTTTTTTTTTGTAGTTTTACAGTTTTAGGTCTTAAATTTAAGTCTCTAATCCATTTTGAGTTGTTTTTTTCTATATGGTAATAGATGGGAAACTTGTTTCATTCTTCTGCATATGGATGTCCAGTTTTTCTAGCACCAATTATTAAAGAGACTGTCCTTTCCCCAATGTATGTTCTTGGTGCTTTTGTTGAAAACGAGTTGGCTATCAGTGCATGGATTTATTTCTGGGTTCTTTATTCTGCTCCATTGATCTATGTGTCTGTTTTTATGCCAGCACCATGCTATTTTGGTAATTGTAGCTTTGTAGTATAGTTTGAAATCGGGTAATGTGATGCCTCTGGTTTTGTTCTTTTTGCTCAAGACTGCTGTGGCTATTCAGGGTCTTTTGTGGTTCCCTATGGATTTTAGGATTTTTTTTCTATGTCTGTGGAGAATGCTTGTTGGTATTTTGATAGGCCTTGCATTGGATTTATAGATTGCTTTGGGTAGTATAGACCACTTTAACAACATTAATTATTCCAATCTATGAACATGGAATATCTTTTAATTTTTTGTGTTCCTTCTTTGATTTCTTTCAACAGTGTTTTATAGTTTTTCTTGTAGAGATCTTTCACTTCTTAAGTTAAATTTATTCCTAGGTATTTTTTTTTTTGTAGCTATTGTAAATAGGATTGCTTTCTTCATTTCTTTTTCAGACTGATCACTGTTAGCCTATATAAATGCTACTGACTTTTTGTATGTTGATTTTGTATCCTGCAACTTTGCTGGATTTATCAGTTTTAAGAGTTTTTGGTGTGGAGTCCTTAGGTTTTTCTAAGTATGCTATTATGTCATCTGCAAACGAGAATACTTTGACTTCTTCCTTTCCAAGTTGGATGCCTTTATTTTTTTCCCTCGCCTAATTGCTCTGGCTTGGACCACAAGTACTATGTTGAATAGTGATAAAAGTGGACATCCTTGTTTTGCTCCAGATCTTAGTGGAAAAGCTTTTTAAAATTCTTTCCTCTTTAATATGTTATTAGTTGAGGGTTTGCCACATATGTCACATTTATTGTGTTGAGGTATGTTCCTTCTATATTCAATTTGTTGATGATTTTTATTATGAAAGGATGTTGAATTTTATTGAATACTTATTCTGCATTTACTGAAATGATCATAGGGTTTTCATCCTTGATTCTGTTGATGTAATACATCACATTTATTGATTTGCATATGTTGAACCATCTTTGCATCCTTGAGATGAATCCCACTTGAACATGATGAATGACCTTTTTAATGTATTGTTGAATTTGGTTTGCTAGTATTTTGTTGAGGATTTTTGCATCTCTGTTGATCAAGGATATTGGCCTATAGTTTTCTATTTTTCCTGTGTCCTTGTCTGCTTTTGGTATCAGGATGATGCTGGCCTAGTAGAATAAATTTAAAAGTATTTCTTTCTCTTCAATTTTTTGAAATAGTTTAAGTAGAATTGATATTAGTTATTATTTAAATATTCATTACAATTCAGTAGTGAACCCATTAGATCCTGGGTTTTCTTTAATGGGAGACTTTTTATTATGGCTTTGATCTTGTTATGTGTTATGGGTCTGTACAGGTGTTCTATTTCTTCATGTTTCAATTTTGATAGGTTGTATGTGTCCAGGAATTTATCCATTTCTTCTAGGTTTTCCAATTTGTTCGTGTATAATTTTTCATAGTAGTCTATGATGATCCTTTGTATTTCTGTGGTATCGGTTGCAATCTTTACTTTTTAACTTCTGGTTTTATTGATCTGGGGTTTATCTCTTTTTCTTAGTCTAGATAAGGTTTTGTTAATTATCTTTTTTAAAAAAAAATATTTTTGCCAACTTTTAAAATCATTATTATTTCCAATTTTATTTATTTCTGCTCATTTATTATTTATTCTCTTCTACTAATTTTGGGTTTGGTTTGTTCTTGCTTTCAAGTTCCCTGAGGTGTGTCATTAGATTTTTTTTTAAGAGTTTCTATTTTGGGGGTGTGGGTATTTATTGCTATAGACTTCCCACTTAGTATTGGTTTTGCTATATCTCATAGGCTCTGGAATTTTGTGTTCCCATTTTCATTTATTTCAATAAATTAAAAAAAATGTTTCCTTTAATTTCTAAATTGACCCATTGGTCATCTAGGTGCAAGTTTTTTTAAATTTCACGTATTTAAAAAAACTTTCATAGTTTCCAAAGTTCCTCCTCTGATTGATTTCTGGTTTTATCCCATTGGGGTCAGTTTCCATAGTTCCTCCTCTGATTGATTTCTAGTTTTATCCCATTGTGGTCATAAAAGATATTTGATATAGTTTTGACTTTTTAAAAATTATTGAGACTTGTTTTGTGGCTTAACATGTGGCCTATCCTGGAGAATATTCCATGTGCTGATAAGAAAAATGTATATTCTGCAGCAGTTGAATGAAATACTCTGTAAATGTCTGTTAGGCTCATTTGGTGTAGGGTCTAGTTTAACTCCAACGTTTGTTTATTTTCTGTCTTCATAATCTGCCCATTGCTGTAACTGGGGTGTTGAAGTCCCCTACTACTATTTTATTGCAGTCCACCTCTCCCTTTAGATCTCTTAATATTTGCTTTACATATCTGGGGACTCTGATGTTTAGCGCATACGTATATTGACAATTGTTATATCCTCTTGTTTAATTGACCCTTTTTTATTATATAATGACCTTTTTTGTTCTTTTTTTGGTAAAGATTTCGATTTAAGGTCCATTTTATCTGATATAAGTTTAGCTACTCTTCCTCTTTTGGTTTCTGTTTGCATGGAATATTTTATACTATCCTCTCATTTTCAGTGTACATGTATTTTTATAGGCAAAGAGTTCTTCTCATAGGCAGCATATAGTTGGGTTTTATTTTTTTAATTTATTAAGCCATGCTTTATCTTTTAATTGGAGAATGTAGTCCATTTACATTCATTGTTACTACTAATAGGTAGGGACTTACTACTGCCATTGTCTTACCTGTTTTCTAGTTGTTTTGTAACTATTCTCTTTCTTTCTTCCTTTCTTACTATCTTCCATTGTGTTTAGTTATTTTTTTCTGGTAGTACGTTTTAAATAAGTTATTTATTTATTTATTTTGTATTTATTTTTTATTTTTATTTATTTATTTTTTTAAGTTTTTTTTCTTTTATTATTATACTTTAAGTTTTAGGGTACATGTGCACATTGTGCAGGTTAGTTACATATGTGTACATGTGCCATGCTGGTGTGCTGCACCCACTAACTTGTCATCTAGCATTAGGTATATCTCCCAATGCTATCCCTTCCCCCTCCCCCCACCCACAACAGTCCCCAGAGTGTGATGTTCCCCTTCCTGTGTCCATGTGATCTCATTTTTCAATTCCCACTTATGAGTGAGAGTATGCGGTGTTTGGTTTTTTGTTCTTGCGATAGTTTACTGAGAATGATGATTTCCAATTTCATCCATGTCCCCACAAAGGACATGAACTCATCATTTTTTATGGCTGCATAGTATTCCATGGTGTATATGTGCCACATTTTCTTAATCCAGTCTATCATTGTTGGACATTTGGGTTGGTTCCAAGTCTTTGCTATTGTGAATAATGCCGCAATAAACATACGTGTGCATGTGTCTTTATAGTAGCATGATTTATAGTCCTTTGGGTATATACCCAGTAATGGGATGGCTGGGTCAAATGGTATTTCTAGTTCTAGATCCCTGAGGAATTGCCACACTGACTTCCACAATGGTTGAACTAGTTTACAGTCCCACCAACAGTGCAAAAGTGTTCCTATTTCTCCACATCCTCCCCAGCACCTGTTGTTTCCTGACTTTTTAATGATTGCCATTCTAACTGGTGTGAGATGGTATCTCATTGTGGTTTTGATTTGCATTTCTCTGATGACCAGTGATGATGAGCATTTTTTCATGTGTTTTTTGGCTGCATAAATTTCTTCTTTTGAGAAGTGTCTGTTCATGTCCTTCACCCACTTTTTGATGGGGTTGTTTGTTTTTCTCTTGTAAATTTGTTTGAGTTCATTGTAGATTCTGGATATTAGCCCTTTGTCAGATGAGTAGGTTGCGAAAATTTTCTCCCATTTTGTAGGTTGCCTGTTCACTCTGATGGTAGTTTCTTTTGCTGTGCGGAAGCTCTTTAGTTTAATTAGATCCCATTTGTCAATTTTGGCTTTTGTTGCAATTGCTTTTTGTGTTTTAGACATGAAGTCCTTGCCCATGCCTATGTCCTGAATGGTAATGCCTAGGTTTTCTTCTAGGGTTTTTATGGTTTTAGGTCTAACGTTTAAGTCTTTAATCCATTGTGAATTGATTTTTGTATAAGGTGTAAGGAAGGGATCCAGTTTCAGCTTTCTACATATGGCTAGCCAGTTTTCCCAGCACCATTTATTAAATAGGGAATCCTTTCCTCATTGCTTATTTTTCTCAGGTTTGTCAAAGATCAGATAGTTGTAGATATGTGGCGTTATTTCTGAGGGCTCTGTTCTGTTCCATTGATCTATATCTCTGTTTTGGTACCAGTACCATGCTGTTTTGGTTACTGCAGCCTTGTAGTATAGTTTGAAGTCAGGTAGCGTGATGCCTCCAGCTTTGTTCTTTTGGCTTAGGATTGACTTGGCGATGCGGGCTCTTTTTTGGTTCCATATGAACTTTAAAGTAGTTTTTCCAATTCTGTGAAGAAAGTCATTGGTAGCTCGATGGGGATGGCATTGAATCTGTAAATTACCTTGGGCAGTATGGCCATTTTCACGATATTGATTCTTCCTACCCATGAGCATGGAATGTTCTTCCATTTGTTTGTATCCTCTTTTATTTCCTTGAGCAGTGGTTTGTAGTTCTCCGTGAAGAGGTCCTTCACGTCCCTTGTAAGTTGGATTCCTAGGTATTTTATTCTCTTTGAAGCACTTGTGAATGGCAGTTCACTCATGATTTGGCTCTCTGTTTGTCTGTTGTTGGTGTATAAGAATGCTTGTGATTTTTGCACATTGATTTTGTATCCTGAGACTTTGCTGAAGTTGCTTATGAGCTTAAGGAGATTTTGGGCTGAGACAATGGGGTTATCTAGATATACAATCATGTCATCTGCAAACAGGGACAATTTGACTTCCTCTTTTCCTAATTGACTACCCTTTATTTCCTTCTCCTGCCTAATTGCCCTGGCCAGAACTTCCAACACTGTGTTGAATAGGAGTGGTGAGAGAGGGCATCCCTGTCTTGTGCCAGTTTTCAAAGGGAATGCTTCCAGTTTTTGCCCATTCAGTATGATATTGGCTGTGGGTTTGTCATAGATAGCTCTTATTATTTTGAAATACGTCCCATCAATACCGAATTTATTGAGAGTTTTTAGCATGAAGGGTTGTTGGATTTTGTTAAAGGCCTTTTCTGCATCTATTGAGATAATCATGTGGTTTTTGTCTTTGGCTCTGTTTATATGCTGGAGTACATTTATTGATTTGCGTATATTGAACCAGCCTTGCATCCCAGGGATGAAGCCCACTTGACCATGGTGGATTATCTTTTTGATGTACTGCTGGATTCATTTTGCCAGTATTTTATTGAGGATTTTTGCATCAATGTTCATCAAGGATATTGGTCTAAAATTCTCTTTTTTGGTTGTGTCTCTGCCCGGCTTTGGTATCAGAATGATGCTGGCCTCATAAAATGAGTTAGGGAGGATTCCCTCTTTTTCTATTGATTGGAATAGTTTCAGAAGGAATCGTACCAGTTCCTCCTTGTACCTCTGGTAGAATTCGGCTGTGAATCCATCTGGTCCTGGACCCTTTTTGGTTGGTAAGCTATTGATTATTGCCACAATTTCAGCTCCTGTTATTGGTCTATTCAGAGATTCAACTTCTTCCTGGTTTAGTCTTGGGAGAGTGTATGTGTCGAGGAATTTATCCATTTCTTCTAGATTTTCTAGTTTATTTGCGTAGAGGTGTTTGTAGTATTCTCTGATGGTAGTTTGTATTTCTGTGGGATCGGTGGTGATATCCCCTTTATCATTTTTTATTGCGTCTATTTGATTCTTCTCTCTTTTTTTCTTTATTAGTCTTGCTAGCGGTCTATCTATTTTGTTGATCCTTTCAAAAAACCAGCTCCTGGATTCATTAATTTTTTGAAGGGTTTTTTGTGTCTCTATTTCCTTCAGTTCTGCTCTGATTTTAGTTATTTCTTGCCTTCTGCTAGCTTTTGAATATGTTTGCTCTTGCTTTTCTAGTTCTTTTAATTGTGATGTTAGGGTGTCAATTTTGGATCTTTCCTGCTTTCTCTTGTGGGCATTTAGTGCTATAAATTTCCCTCTACACACTGCTTTGAATGCGTCCCAGAGATTCTGGTATGTTGTCTCTTTGTTCTCGTTGGTTTCAAAGAACATCTTTATTTCTGCCTTCATTTCGTTATGTACCCAGTAGTCATTCAGGAGCAGGTTGTTCAGTTTCCATATAGTTGAGCGGTTTTGAGTGAGATTCTTAATCCTGAGTTCTAGTTTGATTGCACTGTGGTCTGAGAGACAGTTTGTTATAATTTCTGTTCTTTTACATTTGCTGAGGAGAGCTTTACTTCCCAGTATGTGGTCAATTTTGGAATAGGTGTGGTGTGGTGCTGAAAAAAATGTATATTCTGTTGATTTGGGGTGGAGAGTTCTGTAGATGTCTATTAGGTCCTCTTGGTGCAGAGCTGAGTACAATTCCTGGGTATCCTTGTTGACTTTCTGTCTCGTTGATCTGTCTAATGTTGACAGTGGGGTGTTAAAGTCTCCCATTATTAATGTGTGGGAGTCTAAGTCTCTTTGTAGGTCACTCAGGACTTGCTTTATGAATCTGGGTGCACTTGTGTTGGGTGCATATATATTTAGGATAGTTAGCTCTTCTTGTTGAATTTATCCCTTTACCATTATGTAATGGCCTTCTTTGTCTCTTTTGATCTTTGTTGGTTTAAAGTCTGTTTTATCAGAGACTAGGATTGCAACCCCTGCCTTTTTTTGTTTTCCATTTGCTTGGTAGATTTTCCTCCATCCTTTTATTTGGAGCCTATGTGTGTCTCTGCACGTGAATTGGGTTTCCTGAATACAGCACACTGATGGGTCTTGACTCTTTATACAATTTGCCAGTCTGTGTCTTTTAATTGGAGCACTTAGTCCATTTACATTTAAAGTTAATATTGTTTTGTGTGAATTTGATCCTGTCATTATGATGTTAGCTGGTTATTTTGCTCGTTAGTGGATGCAGTTTCTTCCTAGTCTCGATGGTCTTTACATTTTGGCATGATTTTGCAGCAGCTGGTACCGGTTGTTCCTTTCCATGTTTAGCGCTTCCTTCAGGAGCTCTTTTAGGGCAGGCCTGGTGGTGACAAAATCTCTCAGCATTTGCTTGTCTATAAAGGATTTTATTTCTCCTTCACTTATGAAGCTTAGTTTGGCTGGATATGAAATTCTGGGTTGAAAATTCTTTTCTTTAAGAATGTTGAATATTGGCCCCCACTCTCTTCTTGCTTGTAGAGTTTCTCCTGAGAGGTCCGCTATTAGTCGGATGGGCTTCCCTTTGTGGGTAACCTGACCTTTCTCTCTGACTGTCGTTAACTTTTTTTCCTTCATTTCAACTTTGGTGAATCTGACAATTATGTGTCTTGGAGTTGCTCTTCTTGAGGAGTATCTTTGTGGCATTCTCTGTATTTCGTGAATTTGAATGTTGGCTGCCCTGCTAGATTGGGGAAGTTCTCCTGGATAATATCCTGCAGAGTGTTTTCCAGCTTGGTTCCATTCTCCCCATCACTTTCAGGTACACCAATCAGACGTAGATTTGGTCTTTTCACATAGTCCCATATTTCTTGGAGGCTTTATTCATTTCTTTTTATTCTTTTTTCTCTAAACTTCTCTTCTCACTTCATTTCATTCATTTGATCTTCCATCACTGATATCCTTTCTTCCAGTTGATCAAATCGGCTACTGAGGCTTGTGCGTTCATCACGTAGTTCTTGTGCCATGGTTTTCAGCTCCCTCAGGTCCTTTAAGGACTTCTCTGCATTGGTTATTCTAGTTAGCCATTCGTCTAAGTTTTTTTCAAGGTTTTTAACTTCTTTGCCATGGGTTCGAACTTCCTCCTTTAGCTCAGAGATGTTTGATCATCTGAAGCCGTCTTCTCTCAACTCGTCAAAGTCATTCTCCATCCAGCTTTGTTCCATTGCTGGTGAGGAGCTGCATTCCTTTAGAGAAGGAGAGGCACTCTGATTTAGAGTTTCCAGTTTTTCTGCTCTGTTTTTTCCCCATCTTTGTGGTTTTATCTACCTTTGGTCTTTAATGATGGTGACGTACAGATGGGGTTTTGGTGTGGATGTCCTTTGTGTTTGTTACTTTTCCTTCTAACAGTCAGGACCCTCAGCTGCAGGTCTGTTGGAGTTTGCTGGAGGTCCACTCCAGACCCTGTTTGCCTGGGTATCAGCAGTGGAGGCTGCACAACAGCGGATATTGGTGAACAGCAAATGTTGCTACCTGATCGTTCCTCTGGAAGTTTTGTCTCAGAGGAGTACCTAGCCATTTGAGGTGTCAGTCTGTCCCTACTGGGGGGTGCCTCCCAGTTAGGCTACTCGGGGGTCAGGGACCCACTTGAGGAGGCAGTTTGTCCATTCTCAGATGTCCAGCTGTGTGCTAGGAGAACCACTACTCTCTTCAAAGCTATCAGAGAGGGACATTTAAGTCTGCAGAGGATTCTGCTGCCTTTTGTTTGGCAATGTCCTGCCCCCAGAGGTGGCATCTGCAGAAGCAGGCAGGCCTCCTTGAGCTGCAGTGGGCTCCACCCAGTTCGATCTTCCTGGCCGCTTTGTTTACCTACTCAAGCCTAAGCAATGGCGGGTCCCCCTCCCCCAGCCTTGTTGCTGCCTTGCAGTTTGATCTCAGACTGCTGTGCTAGCAGTGAGTGAGGCTCCGTGGTCGTAGGACCCTCCAAGCCAGGCGCTGGATATAATCTCCTGGTGTGCCGTTTGCTAAGATCGTTGGAAAAGCACAGTATTAGGGTGGGAGTGACCCGATTTTCCAGGCGCCGTCTGTCACCCCTTTCTTTGACTAGGATAGGGAATTCCCTAACCCCTTGTGCTTCCCAGGTGAGGCAATGCCTTGCCCTGCTTCAGCTCACACTTGGTGCGCTGCACCCACTGTCCTGCACCCACTTTCTGACACTCCCCAGTGAGATGAACCCGGTACCTCAGTTGGAAATGCAGAAATCACCCGTCTTCTGCGTCACTCATGCTGGGAGCTGTAGATTGGAGTCTAGCATTTCTTTAAATGTTAAATGTGCATCCTTCGAGCTGGAGAGCTCCACATGGCTGGGGAGGCCTCAAGAAACTTACAGTCATGGTGGACAGCACCTCTTCACAGGGCAGCAGGAGAGAGAATCCCACATTGTGTTTTCAGTGCAAGTTTTCACCTGTGAATTGTCTTTGGTTGATCTCTTGATTGGTAATATTTTTTATAGACACAGGATTTTAAAATTGATTTCTATATTTCTATATTTTGAACATTATTTCTCCTTTAATGAATTGATCAATTAAATTCTATTATTATTACTTATTCAATAATTTTTAAATTTTTAATATTTATCTCAAAATTCAATTTTTAAATTTATCTCAAAAGTATTTTTCAAATTTTAACCATGGTCTTAATAGTAGTGATTAAATAATCATATATGTTATGATTAAAGTTTTATCTATTAAAATCTGTAAGAAGAATAGGCTTTATATCAAAATTATTCATCTAGTTCCAGTGATTTATGTTTGTTGTTCAGACAGTACAATGCTCTTTTTATTGTTATTGCTATGTAACATATCTTAATTTTGGGGAAGAGCTAGTAATTCCCTCATTAACCTTTTTTCATATCATTTTGATAATTATGCACTTTTGTTCTTATGGATGAAATATATAATAATTTAAAAATGTAACTTCAATATTGTCTGTCTGAACTCATACATTGAATAGCAAATATGGCAGTTAAAAGGATTCCTCAATATATTAGGCAGAATGCAAACAACAGTTTCCAAATACACATATGGCTATTTTATAAAGGGAAAGTAAGTTTTCACAATTGCTGAAAGAAGTCTAACTCACCTATTAATCCTGGTGTAAGATAACTTTTATGTTTAGGAACAAACTTTCTAATATTCCTTCTGAATGTTTTCATGTTAATCGGAGTTTGAATAATCACTACTTTTGTGAAATCTTCAATACTTTGTATCTGAAAGTTGACAGAATGCAAGTTAATTTCTGAGCAAATATCCTACAATTAAAAATTTACCTAGTAAGCTGCTATTTCTGGCTTTCTCTAGGTATCTGGGAAAAATGGAAAATATTAACAAATCAACACAAATAAGATTAATATCTTAAAATACTTGGATATATTGGTTTTGTAAAAGTCACTATTCCATATACATTCATTGATTTTTAAATATTTCTATTCCATATGAAAAAAATGATTAAGAATGAATTACCAATGGCCCTTTAAAAATCATCCAGAGACTTTTTCCACATGGCAGAAAGAAAGTTTAATGAAAAGAGTATTTCAAAATATTCTTTTCATTAAACTTTCTTTCTGCCATATAGAAATATTTCAAAATATTCTTCCACCTTGTGGTTGTTTTCAATATAGTTTGAATCACACTGGTACCCAAATCCACAATGAGTAGGGCTCTGTTTCTAGGAAAGTAGATAGAGTTTATCAGGCTTCAGGCTCCTGCTTGGCTGTCTAAATTCTCAACAAGCACCCACACCAAATCTCTGTTACATGTTCAAGGATAGAGGTAGAGAGCAGCGTAGCGGAGAATGTTTCACTTCCTCTCATTAAGCATTATGTCAGTGCTGGTGATGTCCACTTAGAAAATTTTCTTGTGATCCTTTCTCACCTTGGGATCCCTCCCATTCCCATTACACTTTTTTCTTATGTCCAAAATCTACCCTGTAAGTGCTTTTATCCTAGCTGTAAAACATCTTATTAATATCTTTACTTATTTGTTTCTTTTCACTTGGTTGAGAGATCTCTTGAGGATAAGTTGTAAGTATCATTTTTTTTATCATTTCAATATATAGCACTGTATTCCAGCATATTTTAAATAACTCTGAGTCCTCTTTGAATTACTTTTTGTAGCTGTGTCTTTTATGTGCCCTGATTCCTATTGACATGTGCCTCTCTGATTCTCCCCCAACACAAAACAATACACACACACACACACACACACACACACACACACACACACACACAACTTCTTTCCTTCTTTACATGGCTCAGGTTCTCATTTTGATTGGCAGGGGAACTCAATTAGCAATTTAAATATGAGAAGACATTCACTTTCAAAGCAGCTGTAGGAATACTACTAATACTCAATTCAGCATCAGTCTGGCAGAACCTTTCTAGAGCATTGTTGATACAGTTTTTCTGCAACATGTGAGTAAAATAAATGCACCCTCTTTTGCAATGAATAACTGTACCAAAATCTAACTGTAACCAAAATGTCCAGCTTGGCCTTCATAGGCATTGGATGGGAATAGCTTGTGCTTGGGCTAGCAAGTGCCAAAGCAGTCAATGAACTTGGTGTGTGTGGGCCTATGTGGGTGTGGTTGTGGGTATGAGTGAGTGTTTATGGAGTGGTGGGAAAAGGGAGAAGATTGGAAGATGAAAAGCTTAAGATTATAGTGACAGTTTTTCTGACGTTAATACATTGTTGGACATATGGCATATTGATCTGAAGACAGGAATCAATATTTCTTTACCTGATGGCATGTTATAGGAATTAAGAAAGGTGCTCTATAAGTTTTTCGTAACAGACAATCTTCTACAGCTCCATGTATGAGGATAACATAGATTAGATTTTCATCATAAATATCAGTTTTGGTACTCATTGGTATATCTACTACATAAATATTAGAGAGCTTTAGTTGCATATTGTAGTTCCAATCCTGTTTTAGAAAACACAATTTCAGTCTATTATTAGTCTATGAAGTTCAGTATATATTCATAAATAGTCAATTATAATGTTTTAATGCCATTCCATTCAAAGAAAGAAAGACAAGTTTATACAAGCACTTCCTACCTCATAAGATAAGTGTTCTCTGATTTTTCTGGCTGTAATAGCGAGTCCAAGTTTTAGCCACATTTTTTGTTTAATGAGAGGAGAGCATTGCTCAAAAGCATCATACAAGTGAGTTTTGGGAATAAAACATGTCTGGAAAAGAAGGATGTAAATTTGATATTTTATTTTGTGCACTATGGTTTAAGGAATAAAGTTTTTTTGTTTATGTACACTATTAAAGCTAATAATTTAATTAGGTAAGATTCACATAATAGCATGGAAACTTAGTAAAATGTGTCTATCAATGAAAATTGGTGTGTCCTTTCCCTATGTTGTTGTTGACTTTGTCAAAATCAGTTGGCTGTAAAATGTGGCTTTATTTCTGGGTTTTTAAATTCTGTTCCATTGATGTATGTGTATATTTGTAAACCAGTTTCATGCTGTTTTGATTACTATATCTTTATAGTATAATTTGAAGTTAGGTGATGTGATTCCCCCAGCTTTGTTCTTTTTGCTTAGGATTGCTTTGGATATTTGAGCTCTTTTTTGGTTCCATATGAATTTTAGGATAGTTTTTTCCAATTCTGTGAAAATCAGGGCATTTTGATAGATATTGCATTCAATCTATAGGTTGCTTTGGGCAGTGTGGTCACTTCAACAGTACTAATTCTTCTGATCCATGAGCATAGGATGTTTTTCATTTGTTTGTGTCATCTAAAATTTCTTTCCATAAATGGTATTGGGAAAATTTGATTGCTTTATGCAAAACAATAATACTGGACCCTTTATCTCTCACCACATTAAAAAAAATCAACTCAACATGGATTAAAGAGTTAAACGTTAGATCCTAAACTATAAACATGCTGGAAGGAAACCTAGAGAAAAGTCTTCTAGACATTGGTGTAGGCAAAGAATTCATGACTAAAACCTCAAAAGCACAGGCAACAAGAACAAAAATAGACAAATGGAACATAATTGAACTAAATAGCTTCTGTACCACAAAAATAAATAAATAATCAAGTGAACAGGCAACCTATTCACTGGGAGAAACAAAAACCCTGCAGAATGGGAGAATATATTTGCAAACTATGCGTCTGACAATGGACCAATGTCCAGAATTTACAAGGAACTCGAATAGCCTTTCTGACTAGTGTAAGGTGGTATCTCATTGTAGTTTTCATGTGCATTTTTCTGATGATTAATGATTTTGAACATTGTTTATATACCTGTTGGCCATTTGTATGTCTTCTTTTGAGAAATGTTTATTCAGGTCCTTTGCTTATTTTTAATTGTATTATTTATTTTCTTGCTGTTGAGCTTTTGAGTTCCTTATATATTTTAGATACAAACCCATTATCAGATGTATGATTTACACATATTTTTTATAAGATAAAATATAGAAAACAAATTACTAACAATTATTTGACCTTTTTAGATAAATATATGCATCTATAAATATGTTATTTGAGGGGAGCAAACTTTTTAGGCAAAAATAAAATGCTTATGCTAAAAGTGAACAGATCATTGGTTACTAAGAATAAAACTTCTATGAATAGTCAAAAACAAGTTTTGTGTACATTGGATTTTATTTCTCTTGGGTCAGTATCTTTTTTTGTGTGTAGTATAGGACATGTATATTTAACTTTTGTAAGCAACTGACAAACTGTTTCAGACCAAAACCACTGTTCAAATTAAAACTCTGTTTCAGAAGTTGTTGCAACATTTTACACTCTCATCAGCCATGTATGAAAATTTCAGCTGGGCGTGGTGGCTCATGCCTGTAATCTTAGCACTTTGGGAGGCTGAGGCGGGCTGAGCCCCTGAGGTCAGGAGTTGGAGACCAGCCTAGCCAACATGGCGAAATGCCGTCTCTACTAAAAATACAAAAATTATCTGGGCATGGTGGCACGTGACTGTAATCCTAGCTACTTGGGAGGCTGAGGCAGGAGAATCACTTGAATCCGGGAGGCGGAGGTTGCAGTGAGCTGAGATTGGGAGCCATTGCACTCCAGCCTGGGCAACAGAGTGAGACTCTGTCAGAAAAAAAAAAGAAAAGAAAAGAAAAGAAAATTTTAGTTGCTCCACGTCCTTGCCAATACCTGTTATTCAGTGTTTTTATTTTTAGGCAATGTAGTAGGTGTGTATTGACGTACCACTGTGGGTTTAATTTGCATGTTTCTGGCAGCTAATGATGGTGAACATCTTCATGTGTTTATTGGCCATTTGTATATTCTTTGTAAAGTGTCTGTTCACATTCTTTGCCCAGTTTTTAATTCAGTAGTTTGTCTTCTTATTTTTGAATTGTTAAGAGTTATTTATAGATTCTATTATCAAATCCTTTTCTTGGGGAACTTTTGAAAAATCCCTAAGCCCATGACTCATATTTTTCCCTGAGCCTGCTGCTCATATTTTTTGTGATGTCTTTTGAAGAGCAGAAGATTTTTAATTTTGGTGACATCCAATTTATCAATATTTCGTTTTATGGTTAGTACTTAAAAAAATCCTGGCTAAGAAATCTTTGCCTACCTTAAGTTCTCCTATGTTTTCTTCTATAATTTATATAGTTCTATCTTTCATGTTAAAGTATATGATCATGCCACATTACATTTTGGGCCTAGTACATGGGGATCAAGGTTCATTGCTTCTGCATGGATATTCAGTGTTTTCAGGATTATTTGTTGAAAATATTGTAATTTTTCCATTGAGATAATTTGATCCTTTGTCAAAAATCTATTGACTATGTATGTGTGGATTTATTTATGGATTCTCTTTTCTGTTGTATTGATCTCTACATCTTAACCTAAAGCCAACATCATGTGGCCTTAATTACACAGGATGTATGCCTTTAAATCAGGTAGTGTAAATCATCTAACTTTTTTATATTTGTTTTGCCTATTATAGGTCCTCTGCATTTTCATATATATTCTACAAAAAGAGTCTGTGGAGAGTTGGATTGAGGTTGTATTAAATCTATAGATCAATTTTTGAAGAATGGATATCTTAATAATATTATGGGCTCTAATCCACAAATACGGTGTACTTCTCCATTTATTTAATCTTTTTTCAGTTATCTAGGAAATATTCTATGGTTTTCATTGTAGAGTTATTCCACGTATTTCATTAACTTTATCTCTTTTATACTTTGATTATTTTTGTAAAAAGAATTAAAAATTTTATTTCCAGTTGTTTGTTACTAGTATATGAAAACACAATTAATTTTTGGAATTTGGACTTGTATTTTACCATCTTACTAAATTCATTATAAATTCTAGTTATTTTTGGTAGAATCTTACAAATGTAGATATCATGCCATCTTGCAGAGACAATTTTAGTGCTTTCTTTGTAATTTTTATGTCAGTTTACTTCTTTTTCTAGCCCTATTGTACTAGTTAACAACTCCAATATAATACTGAATGGAAGTGGTGAGAGTGGACATTCTTGTCTTGCTCTCAGTCTTACCGTCTTAGTTTTTCATCACTAGATGTGATGTTAGCTGTAAATTTATAATAAATGCCCCTTATTGAGTTCAGGAAGTTGCATTCTATTCTGAGTTTTTGGAGATTTTTTAAAAGAATGTTACATTTTGTAAAATTCTCTTTGTTCTATATCTACTTGAATATCTTATATAAATTTTCTGTTTTTTTCTTATAATGTGTTGAATCACAATGGTTGATTTTCAAATGTCGAATCAATCTTATATTCCTAAAATAAAGCTCATTTATTTAGTTTTGATGTCTAATCCTTTTAATATATTCTTAGATTCAACTTGCTAGTATCTTATTAATGATTTTTTTGTGTCCACATTAATGTGGGATTATTGGTCTGTAATTTTCTTTTGCTGAAATGTTTTTTCAAGGTTTAGTATTTGTTTGCACTGGCCCCATAAAATGCACTGGAAAGCTTTTTTTCCTCCTTTGTTTCCTGACAAAGTCTGTGTAAGATTCATATTATTTCTTCCTGAAATATTTGATAAAACTCATCAGTAAAACCATCTGGCATGGAGTTGTTTTTGTGGGAAGGACACAAATTCCAAAAATCTCAGTATGTATAGTACTATTAAAAAGTTCTAGTCCTTAAGTAAATTTTGACGTGTGTGCTTTTTAAAATTTTTTCATTTAGGTTTAAGGATAGAAGTGCAGGTTTGTTATATAGGTAAATTACATTTCGCAGGGATCTGGTGTACAGATCATTTTATCACCCAGGTAATAAGCATAATGGTACATGATAAGTAGTTTTTTGATCCTTACCTTCCTCCCTACACTCCACTCTCAAGTAGGCTCTGGTGTATCTTGCTCCCTTTTTTGTGTCCATATGTACTTGATGTTTAGCTCCCATTTATAAATGAGAACATGCAGTATTTGCTTTTCTGTTCCTGTGTTAGTTTGCTAAGGATAATAGTGTCCACCTCCATCTATGTTGCTGCAAAGGACATGATCTCATTCTTTTCTATGGCTGCATAGTATTCCATGGTGTGTATGTACCACATTTTCTTTATCCAGTCTACTGTTGATGGGCATTTAGGTTGATTCCATGTCTTTGCTGTTGTGAATAGTGCTGCAAAGAACATACACATACATGTGTCTTTATAGTAGAATGATTTATGTTCCTTTCTGTATATACCCAATAACAAAATTGTTGGGTTGAATGGTAATTCTGTTTTAAGTTCTCTTAGAAATTGCCAACGTTCTTTCCACAATGGCTGAACTAATTTACATTCCCATCAGTAGGATATAAGCATTCCCTTTTCTCCACAGCCTTGCCAGCATGTGTTATTTTTTGACTTTTTAATGATAGTCATTCTGACTGGTGTGAGATGGTATCTCATTGTGTTTTGATTTGTATTTCAAATGTAAATGGTTAGTGATCGTCAGAATTTTTTCATATGCTTGATGGCCATGTTTACATCTTCTTTAGAAAATTGTCGGTTCATATGGTTTGCCCACTTTTTAATGGGGTTGTTTGTGTTTTGCTTGTTAATTTGTTTAAGTTTCTTAGAGATTCTGGCTTATAAACCTTTGTCAGATGCATAGTTTGCAAGCATTGTCTTCCATTCTGTAAGTTGTTGCCCCTGGGGGCTCCACCTCCATGAAATGTGGAGCTGCTGTTACTGGTCAGCTGGAGGGGTGGGTTGTGTGTACTGTTGTCATGACCTTAGGATTTTTCATGCTGGGGATCAGGGGGCCAAAAGCTCACAGGGAGGAAAGATTGGTCTTTCCTCTGGTAGCAGTGGCATGTGGTAAGCTTGGGTGTAGCCCTCAGGCTCTTTGTTTCTTCCCCAGACTAAGGGCAGCAGGGATACAACTGTTACTGTGGCAGTGGAGGGAGCGGGGGTGCAGTTGTATGTCTCTAGGAGCCTCTCCCTGGGCAACCTCTGTGCTACTACCAGTGAGTATGCGCAGTTGTGGATGGAGCAACTGTTCTACTTTCATGAGCTGGGGGCCCTGCCTGGTGAAGAGTTGGGGTGGTGGTTCACCTCCATATGGTGGCTGCCATGTGCTGGAGGTGCCAGCATAATGACTAGGCCCTTTGTTCCTTTCCAGTGTCAGGGCTGTAAGGGCTGAGCCACTGCAACTGTAGTAGCAGAGGGGTTGTGAGTTGACTCTATGATTTCCTCCTTGAAGAAATGCTGGGCTGTCTTTGATTGTGGTGATCAGGCAAGGGTTGGGTCATTGTGCTGGAGTCCCAGGCCAGGCAGCCCTGCCCAGTGAGGAAAAGTGAGGATCTGGATCTGCGTGGAGAACAGTCTGGCCACTTTTCTGTGAGCTGGTTGCTCTTTGCTGGGGGTCTGGACCAGCCTCTGGTCCCTACAGACTCTCTGGATCCTGGAGACAGCAAGGGCAAGGGCTGCAAGACAGCAAGGATAGCAACTCCCCTTCCCAAGGGAGTCCTGTCCAGGGAGTTGCAGAACTGCTACTGGCTCAATAGCCCTGACAAAGGGTGGCTGGAGGCCCAGGCCTGGAGGACTTGCCCAGTGAGGAGATGTGGGAACTAGCTCCATGTAATAGTCTGGCCACTTTTCCATAGGGCTGCTGCAGTATGCTGGGTGTCCGCTCCAGTCCCTAGTCACCTCGGACTTTCTAGTGCCTGAAGGTAACAATGAGTGGAGGGTGCGAAACAGCAGAGATGGTGGCCTGCCTCTCCCTCTGAGAGCTCTGCCCCAGGGAGGTATGAACCTATTGCCAGCCCGAACACACCTGTAGGAGGTAGCTGGAGAACCCGGTCAGGAGGTCCCACCCAGTGAAAAGGAATGGGATCAGAGACCTACTTAAAAATAACAGTCTGGCCATGTTTTCATAGAGCAGCTGTGCTAGCTGGAGGTCCACTCCAGCCTTCAGTTGCCTTGGACTCTTCAAAGCCCGAAGGCAAGAATAGCTAAGTTGACCAAACAGCAAAGATGGTGGTCCACCCTCCCTCTGGGCGCTCTGTAACAAGGAGGTTTGAAACTCAGTTGGCCAACACCAGCAGGGGTGATTGGAGGACCCCAGTTGGGAGATTCTGCCTAGTGAGGAGAAATGGGATTCGGGATGTGCATGAATAAGAAGTCTGACTGCTTCTCCATAGTACTGCTGAGCAGTGCTGAGGGACTGCTCTAGTCCCTCATTGCCACCGATTTGCTGGAGCCCTAAGGCAACAGTGGTTGAGGCTGTGAAACAGCAAAGGTGGTGGCCCGCCCGACCTGCTGGGAGCTCTTTCTCAGAGAGATGCAATGCTGCTACCCGTGGCTGGCTGGATTTCCAAGCCAGTGGGTCTTATCATGTGATGTACCACGGTCCTGCAGACCATCATTGGTCAGTCCCCTGGATTCAGTCCCTTTCTTAGGAGTAGGTATAGGGATCTAACCTCCTGCTGAGGGTTGCAGCTGCTTTTGCTGGGAGGCCTGGGTATCTAAGGCTCCTAGGGCTCCACATGTGCCTGAGTGGCTGCTCTGCCAAGACTCCACATAGCTCTGCATGTCAGACTGCAAACCCTAGTGGAGTGGGTCCTCCTGACTGGAGGGTTGCAAAGATCCATGGGAGAAGCATGGGTTCCTGGGACTCCTCATTCACTCACTGCTTCCCTGGGCAGGGGAGGTTCCCCTGACTCTGTGTCACTCCCAGGTGGGTGGTCATCCTGCCTTACTTTTCTCCGTTCTCCGTGAATTGAGTTGTTTCCTTGATTAGTCCCAATGTGTGTACCTGGATGTTTCAGTTGAAAGTGCTATGTTTACTTGCCCCTTCCATCCCTCTCTGTGAGAGCGGCACACACCAGCTGCTTCTAGTCAGCCATGTTGGCCACCTCTCTCCAGAATCGATTTTTAACAACTGGTTTAAAGTCTTTGACCAATCTATAGTCTGGACAATCTCCATGATGGTTTTTACCGAATGCTTTACTCCTCACCTTTTATACTATAGATCACAATTTCATGCTTCTTTGCTTGTTTTGTAATTCATGGTTGCTCATGATAACACTACAGAGATTCTAGATTATTTTATCTTCTTCTGAAAATTGTTGATTTTTGTTATAGTAAGCAGTTCATTTACTATCTGATCACACTGAGCTTGTATAGGCTGGGTTTTACAATTTGCTTGAGTGAATCAGTAGAAAACCTCAGGTATCTAAGACAGTGTAACTTGTCTCCAAACTCTGTCTCCACCATGGGTGCTGTCAGGGCTTGCTCCAAGGCTTTGTTAGGTCTTAGAATAAGAGCAAGCCTTCTTCTAGGTCATGATTCTTACTCCTAAGGCCTATTCTTTCTGGTCTCTCAGCTGTGGGCCTGAGATTTTAACAGATCTTTCCTTTCTGTTAGATATCTTGACTTCTTGACTCCTGGTGTCTCTCTCTCTCTCTCTCTTTTTTTTTTTTTTTTTTGGTGATAGAGTCTTTCTCTGTCACCCAGGCTGGAGTGCAGTGGTGCGATCTCAGCTTACTGCAACCTCTGCCTCCTGGGTTCAAGTGATTCTCCTGCCTCAGCCTTCTAAGTAGTTGGGATTACAGGTGTGCACCACTGTGCCCAGCTAATTTTTGTATTTTTATTGGAGCCAGGGTTTCACCATGTTGGCCAGGCTGGTCTCAAACTCCTGACCTCAGGTGATCCACCAGCCTCAACCTACCAAAGTGCTGAGATTACAGGCGTGACCCGCCACACCTTGCCTGACTCCTGGTATCTCTCTTCCTTTCTTAACAATCTGGTAAATCTAGTTGTGTCTCATCCTGGGCATTTGCAGCCTGTCTCTCAACCAAGGACTTGTAGAGAACCACCACACAGGCTACTTGGGTCTTTCTCCGTGTAAGACTTTGTCTTACTTCCTGCTCTGCAGTTTCTAGCCAAGTTAGCTTCCACAACTTCTGATGTCTCATTTCTCAGCTTAGCAGGATCGCCATCTTCTGCTTGGATTCTTATTGCATCATGGTCAGGAAATGGTCCTAAGCAGAGGATCGGGGTGAATGTAGGGCTTACCTTGTGAGTTTCTCATCTCTTAGTTTTGGGTAACATAAGTTTACCTATATAACAAACCTGCACATGTACCCCTGTACCTAAAATAAAAGGATGAAAAAAATTTTTTTTCAAAAAAAAAAAAAAAATTAAATAGAAAAAAAATCACATTTGCCTCATATATTTTATTAAGTTTTAGGGTTTTTTTTTTATAGCAGATGTGCTGCTCTGTTACTAGTAACTTCATTATAGCCCAAAGCAGAAGGCTAGAGTGTTTTATGCAAATTCCAGGTATCATAAATATATAATTTTATTTTTAAATATTTTAATGATAGAGATATTTTAAATATATAACATATGTGATTATATGCCAAAAATAAAAATATCATTTAGTATTCTGTTCACATTAAAATGTCCTAAATTATCTCAAATAGGTCTCTTTATAATTGGTTTGTTCAAATTACAGCAATTGTATTTATTTGGTTATTATATCTCTTAAGTCCATTTTTAATAATTTTTCTTTGCCTTCTTCCCCTCTACCACTACATATTTTTTTTTTTTTGTAAACAGAGACAGAGTCTGGCTCTGTTACCAGTCTGGAGTGCAGTGGTGCAATCATGACTGACTGTAACTTTGGGTTCCTGAGCTCAAGCAATCCTCCCTTCTCAGCCTCCCAAGTAGCTGGATCTACAGGCATGTGTCACCATGCCTGGCTAATTTTTTTTTTTATTTTTTGCAGATATGTTGCAGGCCAGTCTCAAACTCCTGGCCTCAAGCAATCCTCCTGCCCCAGCCTCCCAAAGTTTTGGGATTACAGGTATAAGCCACCATGTCTGCTACTCCATTCACATTTTATGCCATTGATTTGTTAAAGAAATCAGGTTATTTGTCTACAGACTCTTCCACATTCTAAATTTAGCTGATTATTCCCTCTTGCTGTCAATTAACCTGTTTCTCTCCTTCCTGTATTTTCTGTAAACTGATTCAATCTATAGACTTGAAGAACTTCAGATTTTTTCTTGTGTGAGACTTCATGGGTGGTGCTAGCACTTCTGCTACATCACATCATGAGGTACATCATGCCTGGTTGTCCCATTTAGTGACACTAATATTGACCAATGTCCTTAGGTAGTATTTCCTTCATTATAACGTTTTCTATTAACATTCACTTAGTAGTTTTAGCACCAACTGAAGGTTGTTTCCTAGATCTATTATTTTATTAGCGATGGCACAATGGAGATTTTCTGATTCTCTCATTCTGCGTTCATTAGCTGAAATTCTATATAGAATTTTTCCCAATTAAAAAACTACTTTGAAAGAGTTCATAGAAGAAAGGCAAGATAAATGTTTACTTCTTTCTCTTAAAAAATCCATTTTCAAAGTAATAAAATGATATCCTAGCAACCTCAGTAGAAATTTTAAAAATTAGCATCATTATCAATGTATGTAATGTATGGGTTTTCACATATTTATGGAGTTTAATTATTTGCAGTCATTATTCTTTTTGAGTTCAAATTAAGCCAGTGGGAGCCCTTGGTACTGTGAGGATTTTGTTCTCAATCATGTGTAGGGAAACTTCCAGGCACTTTGTCCAACTTTTATATTAATAGATTCTAGCCCTGTCTTTATCCCCTTTCTCATCTTTCAAATTATGGTATTGACAATTAACATATGTTAGCCAATTTCCCCATGAAAGAGCTTATATTGCCAGTTTTTCTGGATACATCTTTCTTTCTGTATGGTTGATTAACATTCATAAGCTATTTTGCCAGGGCTTTATACTAGATGAGTGTAATTCGGCAAGTTTTGTTCCTTTATAATTCCTAGTTTTTAAAAGTAAATTGTCAACTAGACTGTAAACTTATACTAAATACTAAAATAACCTTAAATCTGATATTATTTAACAAAATACAACAAAAGTCACAGGCGAAGTTTTTCTGACCTCCACTACAGTTTTGCAGGTGGCAGAATATTTCATAGGTTCATTAGTTAAGCAGTTTATCTCTCCTATTATTTCTCCACTGAGCATATAGTCTGTGTCAATTATCGGAAAATCTTTCTCCTTTGACTCCACCATTTGATCAATCCCTAAACCTGGCTTTGATTTTTCAAGCTGTTCAGGAACAAAGAAAGAGAAAAATACATATGCCAGTTAACTTGTATTACCAAAACTAATTTATGACTTTTTCCACTTTGGTTTGAACAATTCTAATATTTACATATTGTCTTGAGAATAAATATTTTATTTCTTTTTAAGTAAAATTATTAAATTAGCAATGATTTAGACACAAAGCATTCTTAAATACTCTGATCTTTCTGATTCCTCCTACTTAGTTAATCTATACCCATTTTAGGATGGCTAAATCTCTAACTCAGATCAGCATAAGATGAATAACAATTTATATTATAATTGTCCATCGTGAAAGATAATTCTTTTGAAAGTTTCCTGTTATCTGTGAGAAAGTATGGCTTTAAAATGATGGATAGTGTTATCCATTGTGTCTGAACATGAAAATTTATCATTAGATGGTAGTCACTGTCCTAAAAAAGAAACTATGCAGTTCTTAACATGGAAAGCTACTAATTATCAATTTCATAAAGTTTTCTTTAAAAACTTATGATCACAAGTGCATTTATAAATAACACTGCCTGGTCAGGCGCAGTGGCTCACGCCTGTAACCCCAGCACTTTGGGAGGCTGAGGCGGGCGGATCACCTGAGGTCAGGAGTTTGAGACCAGCCTGGCTAACACGGTGAAACCCCGTTTCCACTAAAAATACAAAAAATTACCAGGGTGTGGTGGTGCGTGCCTGCAATTCCAGCTACTTGGGAGGCTGAGGCAGGAGTATCACTTGAACCCAGGAGGTGGAGGCTACAGTGAGCCAAGATCATGCCATTGCACTCCAGCTTGGGCAACAAGAGAGAAACTCTGTCTCAAAACAAAAAAACAAAACAAAACAAAAACCTCTGCCTTACCTTTACCATGCCTGAAATAATGATATAGATTCCTTTGGGCTCATCACCTTCTTCAAATATATCATTTCCACAATCAAATGTTACAACTTTGGCTTTTTCCTAAAAGATACCACCAAATACATAAACTATAAACAACATTTTAGAAGTGGTTGGGAATGTTAAAATTTGCATTTTTGTTATTTATTTTTTTGAGACGGAGTCTCGCTCTGTCACCCATACTGGAGTGCAGTGGTGCAATCTTGGCTCACTGCACCCTCCCCCTCCTGGGTTCAAGCCAAGGAGAATTGCTTGAGCCAATTCTCCTACCTCAGCCTCCTGAGTAGCTGGGATTACAGGTGCCCACGACCATGCCCAGCTAATTTTTGCATTTTTAGTAGATACGGGGTTTCACCACATTGGCCAGGCTGGTCTCAGACTCCTGACCTCAGGTTTTCTGCCCACCTTGGCCTTCCAAAGTGCTTGGATTACAGGCGTGAGCCACCATACCCGGCCTAAAATTTGCATTTTTAAAAAAAGTTTTTACATTTAAAAAATTACTATCATTTGATAATATCTGAAATATATTAGTAATAAGTTTGTAACAGAAAATAGAAATTATGAATAGTAAAGAGGAAGGTGGATCTTTGTGAATATATGCAATTTTAGATAGGGTATTTATACACGGATTAGAAAAGAAGTACTCTAGGAATGAGAATGTAATTAGGGGATAAAAATCTTTCATCTGGATGAAAAGTAATGGGAACAGATGTAGGCTAATGGCATGCATATGTCATACATACCCTTGCTCTAAACAGCTGATCAGGTAAATAAAATATTCATTTATTCAAAATGTTTAATCAGGTAGAAAAATATAATTGGTCTTTTGACATCAAATAGATATTTAAAAAAAGAATATTAGAACAAGTTAGATCCATTTATTTGCTCATTCCACAAGCACTTAACTGAGCATCCACTATGCATTATGCAAAGTGCTAGGGGCTGGGTATTCAAAAGGTAGATGAGATAAAAAATATAGTAGGAGGGAGACCTAAAGATAATTGTAATGTAATGTACTTAATGCTATAATAAAGGTACATATTGGATACAATGGCAGCAATATTGGTCCTCTGAAAACAATATAGTTCACAGGAAGGTCTTCTACTGGGGCATTTGGCCCCAAAACCTACTTCTCTGAGTACTCTGGTGGGGATGTTTCCAGAAAAGAAATAAGCAGGAAAAGTTTGAAAAAAAAAAAGTGAAAAACAAGGGCATTTCAAGAAAAGTAAATAGCACCCACAGATGAATGGAATTAGAAAAACATGTAATGTGCATGGAACACCATGAGTGGTTCAGTATAAATAGAGTATAGAGGATATGTGACAATGGAAAACAGAAGACAAAGCTGAAGTAGGCAGGAAACAGATTGTAGAAACATTTTGCATATTATTCAAAAGGATTTTGATTTTATCCTATCAGAAATAAGGAACATTTAGAGAATATTAAACTAGAGAGTATCATGGTTAAATTCTTATTTTAAAGATTATTTGTTAGTACATTAAAAATATTATTAATAGGAAATAAAAGTGTTACCTGAATGAAGTTTATATAATCTTTGTTTTTATCTAGCCACGGAATATGATATAGAACTTCTTCAACAGTAAGAGGCCTGATAATAGATTGAGAATCAAGCACCTCTTTCTTTTTGGCCATGATTAACTAAAACATAAAATTTAAGAAAAGGGATGAACCAAACTGCTGTTCCCAGAATGTTTAAGGCAGACAGGTCTTTGTACTATTTCCTATTCTTGATCATTTGACATTTTTCTTCTTCCATGAACATTTTCAACCTCTCTTTATATCATGATTCTTTTTGTATCATCATTATTTTTATTTCTTCCCAACTTTTATTTTAGGTTCAGGTGATACATGTGCAGATTTGTTACATGGGTAAGTTGCATGTCACAGGGGTTTGGTTTACAGATTATTTTGTTACCCAGGTAATAAGTATGGTACCTCTTAGGTAGTTTTCCCTATGATCATTATTCTGAAGTCATAGATAAGCTTCTTAAAGTAAACCATTTTACTGAAGTATAGCAGATGTGAAAAAAAAGTGTACAAGTCATAAATGTTCACTCAAAGAATATTACAAAGTAAAAACATCTGTGTAACAACACCTAGATTAATAAAACATTTGCTTCACCCTAGAATCCTCCTTTATGTTCTCCTCTAATCATTACTTCTATCCAAATATAACTACTATACTTCTATCATCATTGTTTAGCTTTCTCTGGCTTTCAGCTTTATTGGCATGAAATGAAAGAATGTACTTGTGTCTGATTTCATTTGCTCAACATTTTGTTTCTGAGATTCATCGATGGTGTTGCAGAAAGCAAAAATTTATTCATTTTATTTTCATCGTTGTATAGTATTCGGTTGTATGGATACCACAGCTTTATTTATCTACTGTTGATTGACATTTAGATTGCTTCATTTGGGGTTTTTATGAGTAATGCCGCTACGAATATAGTGTACAGATGTACATATTTCTATTGAGTATATGGTTATCTAATCCGATTGCTGGATCATAAAGTATGCATATGTTCAATTTTAATAGGTACTGCCAAATATTTTTTCAAAGCACTCACATCAATTTACACTTCTACTCTAATGTTCCCGTTGTTCCACCCTGTTGTCTACACTTGGTATTGTCAATTTAAAAAAAATGGTATGCTGGTGGTTGTGTATTGGTATTTCATTTGGGTTTTAATTTGCATCAAGCTTACGACAATGATATTTAGCACCTTTTCTTTTTTTTTTTTTTTTTTTTTCAGCCAATCACAAAAAACAGACTTTATTGAAGTATTTAGCACTAAACCCCACACAATTCCAGCTCTGTAGCTGAGGACACAGCCACTTGGCAATGGCACCAGGTGTTATACAAGACCAATAAGTTAATGTAAAGGACGCTTAGGTGTGGAGGGCCAGTGCTCAGCCGTCTCCTGGCTCAGTACAAGGCACTCTGGGCTCCAGTTAGGACACTGAGAGGCCAGGGAAACCAACATGCCCTGGAGAAAGGGGCTTAGAGACAAACCGGAAAAGCACAGCATCCAAGCAGGGTATTCACGCATGGGGGGCAGAGTAGGCCCAAAAGTTGGGGGTTGCTGATGCGGTAAGAGCACAGTGAGAGAAATGCCAGGTGCATCCCTTCAGCCTCCTGCATCCTCCCCCAGGTTCCTTTGATGGGCCATCCTGGGTCTTCCCTTGGCACCCTTGTGCAATCGGCTACATCGTTTTCTTTCCAGTAGAGAGAACTGTGCCTCTTCTAGGTCAGACACCAGAGTTCTTGGAACCTTCTGCTATATTCACAGTCTGTTCCAGTCCAGGTAACATGGGGGCAGAGAGTTCTGCACAGGTGAAGTCAGAACTCAGCTCTCCCTACCTCTCCTAGCCTCAATTCAGTTGCTTTCTCATTGAAGCAGGTCCCCTGACCTGGAAGCAAAGAAGGCCCTAGGATGAGAACCCAGGGACAGCTGGGTGGTCTTAGCACAGGCAGCTTCCAGACTTGCTCCAGTCGCTGCAGCTGGGACAATTAATGAATGCCCCCAAAGAAAATTCAGCATCTCATCAGCCCTTGGGAGTGAGTATGTCCATGTTTGTATAAATAACCACCTTCTCAGAGCAGAAGCATAGCTGGTGGGGGGAGTAGGAACTGTGACTCCCTCTCCCAACCAGAACATGCCACAAAAGTGGTGCCTTTCCAAAACCACTTGTAAAGTATTGGTTTTTGGGACTATGATGAAAAAACGTTAGAAGGGCCAGGTGCGGTGGCTCATGCCTGTAATCCCAGCACTTTGAAAGGCCAAGGCAGGTGGATCACTTGAGGTCAGGAGTTCGAGACCAGCCTGGCCAACATGATGAAACCCCATCTCTACTAAAAATAAAAAATTAGCAGGCATGGTGGTGCTTGCCTGTAATCCCAGCTACTCGGAAGGCTGAGGCAGGAGATTCGCTTGAACCCGGGAGACGGGGGTTGCAGTGAGCCGAAATCTTGCTACTGCATTCCAGCCTGGGCGACAGAGCGAGACTCCATCTCAAAAACAAACAAACAAAATGTTAGAAGGAGCAGTGGGGCTGCAAGCCCTTGAGATGCCCAGAGGTAGCTGTCAAAGGGTGGCTGCTGTCCACTAACCACAAGCATGGATCAGCCCCCAGCCGGACCCCCTGAGGCTACAAACCGTGATGCCACTGACTCAAAGCTCAGGGGTCTGGGAGCCCACAGGGCATAGACAGGGTATAGTGACTGGGTCCCTAAAGAGGATTTAGGGGGTCAGGAAAATAGCAGGGTCTAGCAAGACAATACACCACCGGGATATACTGACCTTTGACCTACCACTTGGTGTGTGCATCACAGAGCACATTAGAAAGGGGGAAGAGATTCTCCCCCAGCCCAGGCTGGGGTACCCAGAGACCTGGGAAATGGGGGAGAGTCATGTGCATGAGTATGTACCATGTCCAGCCTCCAGCAATAGTGGGACAGGAGGGCCAGGGGCAGTTCCCCAGGGAATTTCTTAGAACCAGAGCACAGAGTGTTGGAGAACTCCCAAGGTGGCCCACTCTGCTTCACTCGTCCCCTGCCACTTGTCTTATATAAGGAGATAGAGGCTGTCAGTCAGACAGGCAAGGCCTTAAGTCCAGTAGGCCAAACTCTGGGGGATAAAACATAATCATATCACAGGGGTATTGAGGACAATCCACATATATAAATCCTTAGGTCAGGGCTTCTGAAAAAAGTCGTGTAAAAAAAAAATAATAAAAGGTCTCAGCTCCAGGTCATCGGCCTGCGATGGGGATGGGGAAGCTGAAAGAGGCACTCAGGGGTGGGGGGGTCTCAGCCCAGCCCCTCTATGAAACAGTTTTTTCCAGCGTGGGGCGCAGAGTTACACCTGGCTGATGATCTCTCCTTTTTCAGGTACAAAGACTTGCACAGGGGCCCCGTCAGGCGATCTCCGCAGCACACACACTGTGGGCACCTGTGCCCGGGGTCCCAGGGCTCGCCCGAAGCCCTCTCTCCCAAGGGGCAGGCTCCTGACCCGGAAAGCTCCTTGGCGGTCCAGTGAGTGGGGGCGGGTGCTCCGGAGGCGTGCACGCTCGTGCCACCACTTGAGCTCCTCGGACACGGCGGCCTTGCTGAGCCCCCGGCCTGCCGGGCTGTCCTTCAGGGAGGGCGTCCGCACGATGCGGCTGCGAGAGGGCACCAGACGCTGGTAGCGCAGGGGAGTGCCCTCCTCCTCGTAAGCAGGGCCCGGGACTGCGCGGCACAGCTCCCACTCGCCAGGCGGCAGGGGGCTCTCAGCCACCACCACGTACCGCCCCGCCGGGAAATAGCCAGGCGGCAGCAGTAGCTTGGGGTGGTGGGCGACCAGCTCTCTGCTGCCGGCTGGGACCCAGGCCCCGCGGTATTTAGCACCTTTTCTTATGTGTATTAGCCATTTAAATATCTTCCGCTGCACAGTGCACTTTCAAATCTTTTGCCCATTAAAAAATGAACTTTCTGTCTTGTTCTTACTGATTTGTATATTCTGGATATGAGTTCTTCATTGGAAATATTTGTCTTGCAATTATCCTCTACCTTTTTGTGGACTTTTAGTTCTCTTAATTTTTTAATGAAGAAAAATTCTTAATTTTAATGTTATTAAAATCCAATTTGGTATCCTATTGAAATCTCTGCCTATGCCAATATCATGAAAATTCTCTTATGTCACCTTCTAGAAGTTTATTGTTTTACCTTTAACAGTTATGTCTATAATTTATCTGGAATTGATTTTTTGTGTATGGTATAAGATAAAGGTTCAGATTTATGAATTTAATAGTATAAGAACTCTACACAGAAAAAAAACAAAAACAATTAAAACAAAATTAAAACCTAATTAAGTGAAGATATATCATGTGAGTAGATCAAGTCAATATCACAAAGTTATCAATTCTCCCTAGATTGATATACAAGATTAATGGAATCTCAATGGAAATTTCAGTAGGCCAACTTAGTAGAAATTTCCAAGCTGCCTTTAAAATTTATTTGAAAATACAAAATGTTAAAATTAGTCAAAATAGTCTTGAAGAAAACAACAACGCTGGAAGACACACACAATCATGTATGAAAACTTAACAAGTTTCAGTAATCAAGACAATATGATTTGGTTTAATGATGGTTAAATAAAACAATGGAACAGAAAAAGAGTCCAGAAACTTATCCACACCTACACAGTCGCTTAAATAGTGACAAAGGCTCCAGCACAGTGCAATGGAGTAGGATGGTCTTTTTCATAAATTATGCTGGATCAATTGATTATTCATACAGAAAAATTGCTAACTTTAACCTAGCATTGTTATATAAGGCATTCTAAATGGCATTGCTTCTGTTCATTATTTCTGTTTTCTGCAAGATAAACTTTCTTTATGATCAGGTATATTGACCCTGCTTTCTAAGTTCAAAAGGTTTTTTACACACATCTCTTTCTATTTTGGGCTTTTTATAGTGTTATGTTTAAGAGCCTGAGTTCTGGGATCAGAATGCCTGGATTAAATTAACATCTCCAGACTTACTAGCTATCTGACCTTGGTGCAAGTTATTTAATCTCTCTGTGCTTCAGTTTTTTCTCTCATAAAATAGGGACAACAATAGTATCCACATGACAGATTGCTGTGAGAATCAAGTGAGTAAAGATTTATTTTAATCTTTCATTATTCTCCCTTCTGTTATTTTACCATGAGCTTTTGCAGGTTTTCATCTAGTGTTTATGTTTCTTCTTCATTGGAGATACTGCTTTTCACAGGTCTTCTCACCATGGTCAAATGAAATTACAGACTGGACCATTAAACTGTATAATCAGCATTAAACTAAAAATAACCTTCATTGAATGTGGTGAGTTGGTTTCAATTTGTACAAGGCACACAGGCTTTGTGTGTTAATGATGTAACCAATAGAAGATCAAGCGAGACTGTGTCTTCAGGATTCTATTTTGGTTACTTTCAAAAAAAATTGTGGCAACTGGGGGACTTGAGAAACCAGTCAAAATTTTTTAAAAAATTAGTTTACTAATTATATAGGTGATATATAAGAACACTTCCAAGTAAAAGTTTCAAGCATGATGAAAATACAAATAAAATAAATAGCTAAGGCTTCCTTCATTTTCCTTCTTTCCTTCTCATTTCTTCTTCCACATGGGGCAATACGAAAAGTTTTGCATATATTTGTCTAGATTATTTTTAATATATTACATAGATAGGTGTATCTACAGAAATTTTTAAAAATCTAAAATGACCATCTTATATATACAAAATCTTATAATTTTACAGGTTACTTTTTTCCTACTAATAGTGTATCTTGGTGAATTTTTTATATCAGTATATATAGATATTTAAAATTCTTGTTTATTTACATATAATGTTATTTATGTTTCCATATATGTTTCCACATCTATTTACATATGTTTATTTACATATATGTTGCACTTGCACAGCTATACCACACTTGCATGGCCATACTACAATTTATATAACCATCTCCAACTTGATGGACATATAGGCTGTTTATAATATATGTTTGAACACATATCTTTGCTTATTCTTGAATAACTGTAGATTCCTACAGGTGTAATTGCTGGTTTAAAGGTATGCATTTTTAAAGTTTTAATTTTTTTATTATTATTATATTTTAAGTTCTAGGGTACATGTGCACAACGTGCAGGTTTGTTACATAGGTATACTTGTGCCGTGTTGGTTTGCTGCACCCATTAACTCATCATTTACATTAGGTATTTCTCCTAATGCTATCCCTCCCCCCTCCCCTCACCCCATGACAGGCCCTGGTGGGTGATGTTCCTCGCCCTGTGTCCAAGTGTTCTCATTGTTCAATTCCCACCTATAAGTGAGAACATGCAGCGTTTGGTTTTCTATCCTTGCAATAGTTTGCTGAGAATGATGGTTTCCAGCTTCATCCATGTCCCTGCAAAGGACATGAACTCATCCTTTTTTATGGCTGCATAGTATTCCATGGTGTATATGTGCCACATTTTCTTAATCCAGTCTATAATTGATGGACATTTGGGTTGGTTCCAAGTCTTTGCTATTGTGAATAGTGTTGCAATGAACATACGTGTGCATGTGTCTTTATAGCAGCATGATTTATAATCCTTTGGGTATATACCCAGTAATGGGATGGCTGGGTCAAATGATATTTCTGGTTCTAGATCCTTGAGGAATCATCACTGTCTTCCACAATGGTTGAACTAGTTTACACTCCCACCAACAGTGTAAAAGTGTTGCTATTTCTCCACATCCTCTCCAGCATCTGTTGTTTCCTGACTTTTTAATGATCGCCATTCTAACTGGTGTGAGATGTTATCTCACTGTGGTTTTGATTTTCATTTCTCTGATGACTAGTGATGATGAGCATTTTTTCATGTATCTGTTGGCTGCATAAATGTCTTGAGAAGTGTCTGTTCATATCCTTTGCCCACTTTTTGATGGGGTTGTTTGTTTTTTTCTTGTAAATTTGTTTGAGTTCTTTGTAGATTCTGGATATTAGCCCTTTGTCAGATGGGTAGATTGCAAAAATTTTCTCCCATTCTGTAAGTTGCCTGTTCACTCTGATGGTAGTTTCTTTTGCTGTGCAGAAGCTCTTTAGTTTAATTAGATTCCATTTGTCAATTTTGGCTTTTGTTGCCATTGCTTTTGGTGTTTTAGTCATGAAGTCCTTGCCCATGCCTATGTCCTTAATGGTATTGCCTAGGTTTTCTTCTAGAGTTTTTATGGTTTTAGGTCTAACATTTAAGTCTTTAATCCATCTTGAATTAATTTTTGTATAAGATGTAAGGAAGGGATCCAGTTTCAGCTTTCTACATATGGCCAGCCAGTTTTCCCAGCACCATTTATTAAATAGGGAATCCTTTCCCCATTGCTTGTTTTTCTCAGGTTTGTCAAAGATCAGATGGTTGTAGATGTGTAGTGTTATTTCTGAGGCCTCTGTTGTTCTGTTCCATTGGTGTATCTCTCTGTTTTGGTACCAGTACCATACTGTTTTGGTTACTGTAGCCTTGTAGTATGGTTTGAAGTCAGGTAGCATGATGCCTCCAGCTTTGTTCTTTTGGCTTAGGATTGTCTTAGCAATGCGGGCTCTTTTTTGGTTCCATATGGACTTTAAAGTAATTTTTTCCAATTCTGTGAAGAAAGTTATTGGTAGCTTGATGGGCATGGTATTGAATCTATTAATTACCTTGGGCAGTATGGCCATTTTCATGATATTGATTCTTTCTATCCATGAGCATGGAATGTTTTTCCATTTGTTTGTGTCCTCTTTTATTTTGTTGAGCAGTGGTTTGTAGTTCTCCTTGAAGAGGTCCTTCACATCCCTTGTAAGTTGGATTCCTAGGTATTTTATTCTCATTGTAGCAATTGTGAATGGGAGTTCTCCCACGATTTGGCTCTCTGTTTGTCTGTTATTTGTGTATATGAATGCTTGTGATTTTTGCACATTGGTTTTGTATCCCGAGACTTTGCTGAAGCTGCTTATCAGCTTAAGGAGATTTTGGGCTGAGACGATGGGGTTTTCTAGATATACAATCATGTCATCTGCAAACAGGGAAAATTTGACTTCCTCTTTTCCTAATGGAATACCCTTTATTTCTTTCTCTTGACTGATTGCCCTGGCCAGAACTTCTAACACTATGTTGAATAGGAGTGGTGAGAGAGGGCATCCCTGTCTTGTGGCAGTTTTCAAAGGGAATGCTTCCATTTTTTGCCCCTTCAGTATGATAACTGGCTGTGGGTGTGTCATAAATAGCTCTTATTATTTTGAGATACATTCCATCAATACCTAGTT